>NC_000001.11:60159895-60462925 GCF_000001405.40 Homo sapiens | reverse complement strand
CTACTACCTGCCCCTCTGTGGCTCCTCTGGCTCCTCTTTGTTTTCCAGGTCTGCTCTTCCAAGCTCTGTCAATTGGATGGGCTCCTAATAACTTTCCAGTAAATTATTTTTCTGCTTAAGATAGCCAGACTCTGTTTCTTTCACAAGTAATTAAGAACCCTGAGTTATAAAGACTTTTACTTACTTAAGCCTCCAAGGAGACAGTTTAGAAGAGATCCTAAGAAGGAAAAACACCCAAAATAAAATTTGAGGCCCTTGTGAAATTGTCTCATCCCACCTTGAGATTTTCTCTAACATATATTTAATTATTCCTTGTATGATCTGAGGTTTTATTTAAACAAATTCGTGTAAGTCATACTTCAGGATTCATCGTCCTTCAAATTTCTCATACTCTCTCATGCCTTCCTTGACATTGTCCCTTTTGCAGTGCTTTTCTGACATTTCCCACATTCTTAGTACGTGCTTCCATTGGGAAGGAAACAAACTTGTCTGTGATGCTGTGTTTACTCATCTGTGTTCCTGACTCAACCATGATTTCTATGAGAAAACAGTTCATATATTAACAGCTGTATACCCCCAGCACCTAGGAAGTCCCTGGAATCTAGTAGGTCAATAATAAAAGAATTAATGAGGAGGAAAGTGAGTGGATGAATTGCTGAGTGCAGTCAGTTTGGTCTGGAGAACCCTACTGGATTCTGTTCACCTCCCTACTGACTTCCCTTTTCGCCTCAAGCTCTCTGGACTGAAGATATTCTGTTTGAAGTCAATTACCATAGTCAACATTTCCACCATGGCTAATAAATTAGCATCACTTTGAAAACAAAAATGATTCCATTTTGCACTTGGAATGTGGTCTGTGAATTAGAAAGGGCAGGGGTGTTACTCTCCCTGAGGCTTGGAAAGTCTCTTGGTGTTTTATGAGGTAACGATTTCTGTTTTTACTGGATTTGCTGGTCACTAACTTGCCCCTGGGAGCCTGAATGAATGCCAAGAGTATAAAGAAAAATGGCATGCTCCCTGCTACCTAAAGACTCAAGTAACCTCCTAACCAAGAGACATCTATGATTGTGATTCTGAGCATGGACTTTTTTTTAAAGAGAAAAAGCAAGTAGAATTAGGTCTATATGCATAGCTTTGTTAGAAGCAGTTGGTACCAGGTTCCTTTTCTGCTCATCCTGCCTGTGAAAAAGTCCTGGAAATGAGGGAAATAGAAAGCTTTTTTCCTCATGATGATTCTTTTTAAGAATTTTTTATTGACATATTAATATAATATTTATAAGGATTTATGGGGTACATGTGGTAATTTGTTACATGCATATAATATGTAATAATCAAGTCAGGGTATTTAGGGTATCCATTACCTTGAGTATTTATTATTTCTATTTGTTCAGAGCATTTCAAGTCCTGTCTTCTAGTTATTTTGAAATATGTGATTCATTGATGTTAGGTGTAGTCATTCTACTCTGCTATCAAACAGTAGAACTTATTCCTTCTATCCAACTGGATGTTTTCATGTTTGTCCACACATACCTTTCTTAGCCTCTGGTAATCTTCATTCTCCTTCTACCTCCATTAGACCAACATTTTTTAGCTCCCACATGTGAGTGAGAATATGCAATATTTGTCTTTCTGTGCCTGGCCTATTTCACTCCAGTTCCATCCATGTTGCTGCAACTTACATAATTTCATTCTTTTTATGGCTGAATAGTATTCTGTCGTGTATGTAACCACATGTTCTTTATCATTCATCTATTGATGGACACTTTGGTTGATTCCATATCTTTACTGTTGTGAATATTGCTGCAATTAACATGGGGGGTACAGATATCCCTTTGTTATACTGATATTTTTTTCCTTTGGATATATACCGAAGTAGTGGCATTGCATGATTGTATGGTAGTTCTATTTTTAGTTTTTGGTGAAATCTCCATACTGTTTTCCATACGGGTTGTACTAATTTACTTCCCACCAACAGTACCTTTTCTCTGCATCCTTGCTAGCTTCTGTTACTTTTTGTCTTTTTATTAAGAGCCATTCTAACTGGGGTAAGATATCTTTATGTGACTTTGATTTGGATTCACTGATTATTAGTGATGTTAAGCATTTTTACATATGCCTATTGGCCCTTGGTATGTCTTCTTTTGAGAAATATCTATTAATGTCCTTGATCACTTTTAAATGGAATTATTAATATTTGCTGTTGAGTTGTTTGAGTTCCCTGTATATTCTAGATATTAGTCCCTTGTCAGATGAAATATTTCCTCATATTCAATAAGTTTTCTCTTCATTCTGTCAATTGTTTCCTTTGCTGTGCAGAAGCTTTTGGTTTAATATAGTCTCATTTCTCATTTGTCTACTTTTTGATTTTCCTGCCTCTTTTTTTTTTTTTTTTTTTTTTTGAGACAAGTTTCTGGCTGTGGCATCTAGGCTGGAGTGCATTGGTGCCATCTTGGCTCACTGCAACCTCTGCCTCCTGGGCTTAGGCAATTCTCCCATCTCCACCTCCTGAGTAGCTGGGACTACAAGGCATGTGCCACAATGCCTGGCTATTTTTTTTTTTTTTTTTTTTGTATTTTTAGTAGAGATGGGGTTTCACCATGTTGGCCAGGCTGATCTCGATCTCCTAACCTCAGGTGATCCACCCACCTCAGCTTCCCAAAGTGTTGGGATAACAGGCATGGGCCACCACGCCTGGCCCCCTTGCCTGTGCTTTTGAGGTTGTAGTCATAAAATCGTTCTCTGGACCAATGTCTTGGAGTGTTTTCCCTATATTTTCTTCTAATAGTTTTATAGTTTCAGGTCTTACATTTAAATTTTTGATCCATTTTTAGTTTATTCTTGTATATGTTGAGACATAGAGGTTGAGTTTTATTTTTCTGAATATGGACGTCCACATTTTCTACTACCATTTGTTGAAGAGGGTGTTTTTTTCCCCAGTGTATGTTTTTTAATTCCTTTGTCAAAAATCTTTGGTTGTAAATACATAGATTTATTTCTGGGTTGACTAGACAATGTCTGTTCCATTGGTCTACCTGTTTGTTTTTATACCAATAGCATGCTTCCATGCTTCTTTGATTACTATAGACTTGTAATGTGTTTTGAAGTCAGGTAGTATGCTGTCCCCAGCTTTGTTCATTTTGCTCAGGATTGCTTGGCTGTTCAGGGTTTTTTTTTGTTTTTTTGTTTTTGTTTTGAGAAGGAGTCTTGCTCTGTTGCCTAGACTGGAGTGCAGTGGCACAATCTCGGCTCACTGCAAGCTCCACCTCCCAGGTTCACGCCATTCTCCTGCCTCAGCCTCTCAAGTAGCTGGGACTACAGATGCCCGCCACCATGCCTGGCTAATTTTTTGTATTTTTTTTTAGTGGAAACGGGGTTTCACTATGTTAGCCAGGATGGTCTCTATCTCCTGATGTTGTGATCTGCCTGCCTACGCCTCCCAAAGTACTGGGATTACAGGTGTGAGCCACCTTCATTCTATTGATGTGACGTGTCACATTTATTGATTTACATACATTAAACTATCCATGCATTCCTGGAACAAATCTCTCTTGATCGTGTTTTATTATCTTTTTGATGTGCTGTTAAATTAAATTTGGTACTATTTTGTTGAGAATTTTTCCATTTGTGTTCATCCGGGATATTGGGCTGTACTTTTCTTTTTTGTTGTTGTGTCTTTGTGTACTTTTAGTATAATGGTAATACAGGCCTCGTAGAGTGGATTTAAGAGAATTCCTTCCTCTTCAATGTTTTGGAATAGTTTCAGGGCAATTGGTGTTCTTTTTTTATAAGTTTGGTAGAATTTGGCAATGAAGCCATTTGGTATTGGACTTTTATTTGTCAGGAAACTTTTTATTATTGATTCAATCTTTTTGCTCATTATTGGTTTGTTCAAGTTCTCTATGTCATTTGAATCAATCTTACTGGTTGTGTGTGCCTAGGAATTTATCCAGGTTTTCCAGTTTGTTAGCGTATAGTTGTTCATAATAATTTCTGATGATCTATTGTATTTATTTGGTATCAGTTATAATGTCTCCTTTTTCATTTCTGATTTTGTTTATTTGAGTCCTTTTTATTAATCTATCTAGCAGTTTATCTTTTCAAGAAAACACGTTTTCTTTTTTTGATCCTTTATATATATTTATTGTCTCTGTTTTATTTAGCTCTGCTCTGATCTTTATATACTTTATTTCCATCTACTAATTTGGGGTTTGGTTTGTTCTTACTTTTCTAGCCCCTGAGGTACATTGTTGGACTGCTTATTTGAAATCATTCTACTATTTGATGTAGACAGTAACTGCTATAAACTTACCTCTTAGCACTGCTCTTGCTCTATCCCATAAGTTTTGATATGTTGTGTTTCCATTTTCATTTTTTTCAAGACATTTTTGATATCTCTTAATTTTTTCCTTGACCCAGTGGTCAGTCAGGGTCATGTTGCTTAATTTCCATGTGTTTATACAGTTTCCAAAGATCCCTTTTCTGTTAATTTTTAGTTTCATTCTATTGTGGTCTGAGAAAATATTTGATATAATTTTGACTTTTTAAAATTGGTTGTGCCCTAACATACGGTCTATCCTGGAGAATGTTTCATGTGATAATTAAAACAATGTGTATTTTGCAACTGTTGGATAAAATGTTCTGTGGATGACTGTAAGGTCCCTTTGGTCTAAAGTGCAGTTTAAATCCAGTGTTTGTTAATTTTCTGTCAAGATAAACCCTCTAATGCTGAGAGTGGGGTATAGAAATTCTTAACTATTATTGTATTGAAGTCTATTTCTCCCTTTAGACCTAATAACTTTGCTTTATATTTGCTCCACTGTTGCATACATATATATTCAGAATTGTTATATCTTCTTGTTGAATTAACCCCTTTCTCATTATATAATGAGTTCTTTGTGTTTTTTAAATATTTTTGACTTAAAGGCTATTTTATGTGATATAAGTATAGCTACTCCTGCTAGCTTTTGGTTTCCAATTGTATGGAATATTATTCCCATTTCTTTACTTTCAGCATATATGTGTCTTTACAGGTGAAGTGAGTTTCTTTAGGCAGCATATAATAGGGTCATTTTAAAATCCATTCAGCCAGTCTGTATTTTTTAACCGAAAAATTTAAATCATTTACATTCAAGGCTATTACTAATATGTGAAGACTTATTCCTGTCATTTTGTCAATTGTTTTCTTGTTGTCTTACTCTTCTTTGTTCTTTTCTTTCTTAATTTTTATCATTGTGGTTTGTAGGTTTTCTGTTATGGTAACATTTGAGTCCTTTCTCTTCCTTGTTTGTGTGTTTGGTCAACCAGCGAATTTTATACTTTTGTGTGTTTTCATGATGGTAGATATAACCTTTTTATTTCCAGGTGTAGGATTCCCTTACACATTTCTAGAATGGCAGGTGTAGTGGTGATGAATTCCCTCAGTTTTTGCTTATTTGGGAAATACTTTATTTCTCCTTCATTTATGAATGATAAGTTTGCTAAGTATAGTATTCATGGATGATAGTTTTTTTCTTTTTTTGTTTCAATACTTTAAATATATCATCCCATTTACTCCTGGCCTGTAATGTTTCTGCTGAGAAATCTGCTGTTAGTCTGAGGGAGGTTCCCTTATACATAACTAGAAGTTTTTCTCCTGCTGTTTGTAGAATTCTCTCTTTGACTTTGACAGTGTGACTACAGTGCACTGTGGAAAATACTTTTTTAGGTTGTTTCTATTTGGTAATCTCTGAGTTTCCTCTATCTATATGTATAAATATCTTGTCTGGGATGTTTTCAGCTATTAATTTGTTAAACAGATTTTCTATGCCTTTGGCCTTCTCTTAACCTTTAGAATACCAAAAATTCAATACTTACTGGCTTTTTGGGGTGTCATATGTCACATAACTTTTGTCATTTTTTTTCTTTTTCAAAAAAAATCTGATTGAGTTATTTCAAGAGACCAGTCTTCAAATTTTGAAATTCTTTTTTCTATTTGATCTAGTCTACTGTTGAAGCTCTTAGTCTCTTAGTTGTATTTTTTATTTTATTCATTGAATTCTTCTGTTCCATGATTTCTGTTTGGTTCTTTTTTATGACATTTATCTTGTTGGTGAATTTCTTATTCATTTCCTGACTTGTTTTTCTGATTTCTTTGTATTCCTTGTCAGCATTCTCTTGTATCTCAGTGATTTTCTTTAGTATCATTATTTCAAATCCATTTTCTTGGCATTTCTTTCTTTCTTTTTTTCTTTTCTTTCTCTGTGTTTTTTTTTTTTTTTTTTTTTTTTTAGACGGAATCTCCCTCTGTTGCCCAGGCTGGAGTGCGGTGGCATGATCTCAGCTCACTGCAACCTCCACCTCCCTAGGTTCAAGTCATTCTCATGCTTTAGCCTCCCAAGTAGCTGGGATTACAGTCATGCACCTCCATATCCAGCAAATTTGTGTATTTTTAGTAGAGACGGGGTTTCACCATGTTGGCCAGCCTGGTCTCAAACTCCTGACCTCAAGTACTCTGCCTGCCTCGACCTCCCAAAATGCTGGGATTATAGGCATGAGCCACTATGCCCAGCCCATTTTCTGGCATTTCATACATTTCATTTTTATTGGAATCTGTTGTTGCAAAAAATTACTGTGTTCCTTTGGAGATATCATACTTATTTTTTCATGTTCCTGTGTTCTTATGTTGAACTGATATAGTAGTCACTTCTACATTTTTGGATTGGCTACTGTAGTAGAATACTTTCTCCTGAAGATATATATATGCTGTTGGTTGGGTAGGTCACTTTAGCTTTGATTCTGGTGTATGCAGTAGTGTAGTCTCCATATGATTTCTTTAGCTCGAAGCAGTGTCAGTTGTGTTCATGATTTCTTCAGTGGCTTAAGCTGCAGTTGTTAATGGAGGTTGTGTTGAGGTTTTGCTGAGGACAGGGATGCAGATGGGCCAGTCCTCAGGCCTCAGTTGTGGAAGCTGTGGGCCAAGTGTGCCTGTCCTCAGGCTTCTGGGCAGGGTACATGTGTATTGGTATTAAAAGGTCCAAGTGGGATAATTCTTGGACCTTCAGTTGACTTGCTTAAGTGCCAACAGTGGCAGTAATGGGTGGATTCCATGCCCCTGGACAGTGTATGTGACGTGGGTGACTACAGTAGTGGTGGCAGGACAATCTTCAGGCTCCTAAGCAGCACTCTTTGGTGTTAGTGGTGGCTGCGATGTGTTGGATGGGCCAGTCTCCAGGCCCCCAGGTGGTACATGTTTGTGGTTGCTGACTGTGGTGGGTCTGGCAGGCTAGATGGGCCCATACTCAGGCTCCTGGGAGTAGTGTATAGATGCCGCTGGTGGAGGATAGGGCAGGGTGATCTCCAGGTCCCCAGGTGGCATGCTTATGCACTGGGAAGCATGGTACCAGGCCCACTGGGCCTATCCTCAGGGACCCCAGTGGTGTGCATAGATGCCAGATTTAGTAGGCAGGGGAGGGGATTCACAGGCCTTCCAACAGTGGTGGTGGGCAGGGAAGGCATGTCCTTAGGGTGTGTATAAGTGCACTGCAGCCTTGGTCCTTAGGGAGTGGGTTACTGTCAGTGGCAGCAGCCAAAGGCAGGCAGCTGTCAGATTCTGGGGAGGATGCACTTCTGCTGCTATGGCAGTGGCAGCAGCAGAAACAGTCAGTACTCAGGGTGCATGTATGTGTGGGGTAGTCCTGCTGATGGGGTTGTGAGGCAACTGCCATAGCACATGCTTTGGCCTCAAATGGTGACAGTGACAGTGGCAGCAGGCAGGAAGATTCTGTCCTCAGGGCACATGTATGTGCTGGCAGGGGTTGGGTGGGGAGAGATGTGGTCAGTGGCAGCAGTTGCATGGAGGTGGCTCTCAGTCTCTGGGGAAGCATGCACTTCAGCCCCCAGTGACAACAGCGGTGGCTGTGGCAGTGACAGTAGTCGAGAGAGCCAGTACTCAGGGGACAGGCAAGGGTGCTGTGGCCCTGCTTCTGGTGACAGCGGGGTTGCCGTCAGTGGCAGCAGCCATACCAAGAGGGTTTCAAGCTCTCAGGAGCATGTGCTTTGGCTCCCTTTGTCCTGGGGCAGCCTCCCCAGTGTGCTGCACCACCTGTTACCCAGAGCACAAGATACTACATATGCTAGGGTGTTGGGAGCCCTGCCACTATGCTGGGCTCAATCAGCGTCATGCCACTACAGCCCTCTGGGTGGACATGTGGGGATGTCAGTGAAACTCTAAAGATGTGCAGATGCAGGAGCTCTTGGTACCTAGGGCAAGATGAAGACTGGTGGGAGCTGGGATCTCAAAATGGCACCATGCATCAGCTTCTTAGGACTCAGGGGTGCATGGGACCCAGCATGGGCTCACTCTCTGAGGCACTGTCATCATGCAGTCTCTGGGCAGCTCCTTATGCAAGTCTCAGGGCCTGTGAAGGTCGAAAGGCTCTTCCATGGCTAGGGTTGAAGAAGTCTGTGGTGGAAATGTGAATCACTATGTTTCTGTTACTTAATTTTCCCCATACTGGGGAGCCTCTCCAGGGTCCCAGCTCATCTTGGCCAATATGTCTACCTCATTTCCCTCTCCTTATATGCCTCAGTCATTTCCTGTCATTGCTCTGTGGAATTCCAGTGTTCTCTCTTAAATGTTCTGTTTAAAGTGGGATTATCACTTGCTATTTTGGTTCTAATTTGTGGAGGTTGTAAATGCTAAATGTCTCTAGTTGACCATCTTGAGGCCCCTTCTAATTAGCTTTTTTCATGATCATTCTTCCTTAAAAACTTGTATTTTTCAAAGACAACCAGAGAATGGGTTCTCTGTTTTGGTAATTGTGTGAGATTTGGGACACCAACACTAATTTTTCGGAATATTTGGGGGTAACTTCATGCTACAGTCACAGTCTTGTTACCTCTTAAAATCCATATTGGGCTCCTCCGTGAATTGTCCTTCCTGTTATATTGGCAACTAGAGAACCATGTGTCCTGGAACATGGTGTAGCTGTCAGAGCATTGACTCAGGAATTAGAAGATTTAGGTACGGCTATCATTTCTACCTTTCATAGATAATTGACCCTAGCTAAAACATTTAACATCTCTGAATTTTTGTTTCCTGACCTGCAAATCAAGGATGTTGCTGGATGTCTTACTTTGCTACCTACTTGTACTTTTAAAAGTCACAGAAGATGCAAAGTCTGTCAAAATGTTCAGTAGGCAGACAAACTATCAAATGGAAGAGATTACAAGAATATAATGGGGTACAGGAAAGGCTATTTCCCTTTGCTCTCCAGTTGACCTTCTGACAATCTCTTAAAACCATCTACCCTTCATGTGAGGCTACAGAAGCCATCAAACCTTCATGTGAGCAGAGAAACAAACCCAGGCTTTGGTAACAGAAATACTTTGATCCAAGTGATTCAAGAACTCTATCTTCTCTGAACCACAATTTCTCCATTTCTAAACTGGAGATAGTAATGCCTACTTTGACAGGATTCCTGGTGGGAGGCAGGGGCTTAGGTGAAATAATAAGATGAAACTGCCTGGGACATGGGAAGTGCTTGGTTTTAACTTTTATTTCTTTCTCTCTCTTTTTTACTTTTAGGATTTTAAGGAAATGGGGAGGGAGGCAGAGAAGAGTTTATTAAAATGGTAGAAATTTGGCTCCATGCCATCCATGGTTTCTGCTTTATAGAAATTTGCCCAATGGATTTGAACTCTAACTGACAATTGGGGAAAATGAATAGGAGTTTCTTTAAGAAATCAGGAATGTGGCAAAAAGATTATTCTCTAAGAGAAAACCAGTAAGTTCAACAATGAATTAGAGCAAAGATGTACAAAGTTATCTGAAAGAGATGCAGTGGCTCTCCTGCTGAAGACCCTTACTTTCGTGTGATTGAAATATTGACGTAGTTGAAGAAAGTGCACCCTGGAGTTTAAGGATATTGGTCAGGCAACAGAAACATAGAGGAAAAAAAGTTATATAGAGCCCATTTTAGTTTTGCCATCTGATGAAGAAGTCTTGGCAAAGGGACTGTAGCTATCATAGCCCTATTGGCAAGGTTACCCTGAGTTGGGGAGGGCTGTGTTGGTCTTATGGCAGGCAGCTCAGTATTGTAATTAATAGTATTTCTCTGTTTTAAGACAGACTAAGGTCTAAATCTTGGTCCCTGATGTTTACTACCTGGGTAATCCCAGCAAAGCGATTTAACCTCTTTACCCTTTAGTTTTCTAGTGCACAACATGGGGATACTATTATATCCAACTCATAAAGCTGTTGTGAGGATTAAATTATAGAATGTATGTAAATTACTTAGCACCATGATTGGCACGTAGAAAATATTTAATAAATATTAGCCTTTTTATTGTTATTTTAGCCTGTTTAAGCACAAAGCAATTAAGTTAACTTTTCTGGGATTGGTTGTCTGCTTTTGAGGAAGTTTTTTTGACTTCTTCAGGTTAGGCTGACTATAGAGAGGAAATGCAATGAGAGTTGTCTTTCACACTGTACATTTTAAAATGGCCATTCTTGTTTACGTATAATTTTCTCTGAGCCTAGATCATTTCAATTCATTCCTGAGGTAATGCCTATGGTAATATAGGGTTGACAAAGGTTAGTCTGAGTTTGTAAGGGTCACATTCTGATCTGTGTTCGATATACCGCAGAAAACACCTCCTGTCAGGCCTTTTAGAAGTCAGCAAACTGGCAGGGCTGCAGCCCCGTGAGCCTACAGGGGCCATCAACAAGCCCTTCAGAAGGCGGAACTTGGTGGGCTCATTATGGTATCATCTGTCTGGTTCAAGAACTTCAGTTCATTAGTTCATTAGGCTACACTCTAAAGAAGTATTTCTTAAATGTTACCATGCATCAGAATCATCTGGAGGACTTGGTAAAGCTGAGTTTTCTGGGCCCCACCCTCAGAACTTCTGATTTAGTAGGTCTTGGGTGGGATCCAGTAATTTGTGTTTCCAGCAAATTCTCACGTAATGCTGATGCTGCTAGTTTGGGGACCACATTTTGAGAATCACTGCTCTGCAGAGGTTTAGAATATCTATATTTCAGGATAAATGTAAAAACACTTATTGAGTTTCTGCTGTGTTCAAGAACCATGCTGGGTTTTGGATATATAAGAATAAGCTCCTACCAGAAGAGAGATAAATAAACCGGAATGCCAATAACTGAAAAAATTAAATTGGCAAAACAATTGAACTGCTTC
This sequence comes from Homo sapiens, assembly GCF_000001405.40. Taxonomy (NCBI): domain Eukaryota; kingdom Metazoa; phylum Chordata; class Mammalia; order Primates; family Hominidae; genus Homo; species Homo sapiens. Next base: position 60,451,748 of record NC_000001.11, on the reverse strand, counting down.
ATTTCACTGGTCTCTCCTCACAAGGAGAATATATGTATAGGAATTCAATCATTCTGAGTAGATTGGAAACTCTAATGTTAAGTGCATGGATGGAATAATATTAATGAGCAGGGCTCTAGATGAAAGGAATGTGCCAATCTCTTCATCTACTATGATCTTCAAAGTGCCTTTTTTCTTGCTCATTCCCCAAGATGTTTTTACTCTCATTAATCAGATTAGGTCTTTTTGTGGGCACTGTGTGATAAAAAGTTGTATATGTATGGGTTTGTTTCCTGTTCCTACCTACATTTTCCTTCCATGAATTTGGATGGATAAGGTAATCCAAAGCCTGCCTTTTAAAGACCCATTCTGCCATCTTGATTTTTGGCTAAGAGGAGGAAAAGGGCTTTGTTGTTTTCAAGGCTATAGCAAATGTTCCAACCCAGGATTACCACAATTTCACATTGAGTTTTATTGAGAACAAGCCCAGTTTACCATAACATAGTACCTTGTTTCCCATTATGCCAGATTGTTTTTTCAATAACCTCTTTTTAAAGAGTAGTTTTCAGTTCCACAACAAAATTGAGCAGAATGCATAGAAAGTCTCCATATACTCTGCCTCACAGAAGCACAGCTTCCCCCATTACCAACATCACACACCAGAATGGTATATTTATTACAACTGATAAACCTACATCAATGCATCATTATCACTCAAGGTCCACAGTTTATGTTAGTATTCACTTTTCACTGTTGGTGCTGTACAGTCTATGGGTTTTGATAAATATATAATGGCTTATATAGACCATTACAGAATTATACAGAATAATTCCACTGCCCTAAAATTTCTCCATGCTCCGTCTATTCGTTGTCTGTCTCCACTTACTCCAGACAACCACTGACATCTTTACTGTCTCCATAGTTTTGCCTTTTTCAAAATGTCATGTAGTCATAATCATCACCATTAATCTTTATATGTTTAGATGTCTCAAGAATATTTTGGGTTATTGACAGGAAACATCACAGGCATTATTGTGTACTCTAGACAAATAACATCTCCCAGTAAAACACCTCCATGAAGAGAAAAAGGAGGGTGGTCACTAGGTCCAAGGCCATACTGAATAAGATACGCTGTCAAATTTTTGCATTCTGGTGAAAATAACTCTCGACTCTGCAGGATACCAGCTTTCCATTAGCCCATACTTTAGTCATGTGATCAGAGAAAGGATATTAAAATGATAGTGGGTACTTACGCAATGAATGAAGGTATCAGAAGAGGCCATCTGTGTTCCCGTCCATGCATGGAGCTTCCACCACAATGAATACTCTTTTCATTACAGCGAAACTTGAGAGATGGAGCCTCTGAGGGCACCCCTTGAACTGTAAGGCCTAGAATGATATTTAGTAATTTTGGTATTATGAATTCATTACTAATTTTATAAAGCTATAAAGCCTCTCCACCGAAACCATAAGAGATTTATATTCACAAAAGTTTTCATAAAATATCAGAGACTTCACTGAAACCTGAAGACCACTGGCCCAATGTAAAGACAACAAAAACACAACACATAAACAAACTAAAAAAACCTCCCAAAAGATTAATATTGGTCCCTCCATGAATGAGCTTGCCTAACTCAACTAGGATGTGATTGACTGTCAGTCATTTGCCTGCCACACCCATCAGCAGCCATGGTGATAGTTGTCTTGGTGCTATATAAAGGTCAAACAACTTCATGAGAGTTATAAAACATATCTTTGGTGATTACTGAATAGCCAATCTCAAGTCCCTGAGCTAGTGAGTTCGGGTCTAGTAGTTGAAACTCCTAATCATGCCAGAAACTTTTAAAGTGATTTATTAATGTAAGTATTTCTTTAAATAGTGATTCTTGGAAACACATGACTCTTCTTATTAAAAAGCAATATATTCCATAATATAGTTAGTTAATTACATTTCAGCTTTCCATGTTTCCTATAATCCTGAGAAAATTGAGATGCTCTAGAGACACATGTATTAAACTTGGCATTGTCCTCAGCTATCTACCACAGGGGTTAACTTTTGTGTGGGTTTTTAATTTAACCCATATTCATTGGGGGTCTATTTAGTGCCAGGCACTGTGCTAGATCCTTGGGGTAGAGTCATAAAACAATCTGAGATAAGGAAACAGTACAGTGTGGAATTTGATACACAAAAATTAAAATCTCACCTATAGAAATTATTTTTTTACCTAGACTAGTTATTTAGCATCTATTTTTGAACATAAGTTTCATCATATGAAATAGAAAGGATTAATGATAACTGCCCAGTAGGGCAGTTATGAGTCTGAATTGATATATTTGATATTGAGTTTCTGGAGTTTCTTGTTCTCAAGGTAATTTTTTTTTCTGATTTTGCTGCCACACCCTGGAGGTACCTCAGTGTAGCTGCAGTGAAAGTTTACTTTTATATAACAATTGTTGAATTGAGAAATTCCTTCCTCCGTTACTACAGGGCTTTCCTCATCTCCCTCCACTGTGCACATTTCAGGGCAGAGTAAGTTCTGCTTCCTACTACTACAAGCAAAAAAAGACTTTTGCCAAGAATTTAGCTCCCATGTGCTTGGCACAGCAAAGCAATAGAAAGAGAAATGAATGATCATTGCAATTATAAATGGGTTAACATTCCACTGTACTTCAGAAGAATAGATTTCAGGCAAGGCTGCAATGAGAGCTTGGGGGAAGGGGTAAGTGCACAACTGACTCCATTCAAACATGGGAACAAACCCTTCTAAGAATGACTACAGAATGAAACACCTGCCACCCAATTCTTCACATAAAAGTTTGGCAGATATACAGTGGGCAATTTGGAACAACTTTTATATTCCAAGTTAAAGAAACTGAACAAGAAAACTATACAAACGAATCTCTGAGAATAGGCTTTTATAAATCCAACTGCTATTTAAAGCCAATAGAGCAGAAGTCAGGGGTCAGAGCTTATCTTTTCCATCTTGCATCCCCAAAATATGCTTTCCTTTTGTATCAAGATTTAGTTTAACCATTTAAAGAATTACAAAATTCTAACTGAGACACTGACCCTTCAGAGCTCTGCTCGCCTATTTTCTCAGCTGTTGGCAACAGTAACCCCAAGCTCCTGGCTCACATCCTCCCCAGTTCCTAGGACCATTATTTTTTCTCTCTCCCTCTGTTCCTTCTACCTCTTCTTCATCTCTCTCCTTTTCTCCCTGCCTCGTTTTTTCCTCCATTTTTCTTTTCTTTTCATTGTAATACAGTTTTCATACAATAAAATACATAGATACCAGATGTACAATTTAGTCAACTTTGATAAATACAAGTATCTGTGTAACCCACATCCCTGTCAAAACATAGAACCCTCCCATCATCCTAGGTAGCACTCATGTGTCCATTTCAAATCTATCCCAGTTACCACCAAACAACCAGTGACAACCAATGTTCTGGGTTTTTTTTCATCATGTTAGCTTTGCTGGTACTAGGAATATAGATGAATCAAATAATATAGCATATATATTTTGTATCTGGCTTATATTAGCTTTCAAATTCCTCCATGTTGTTGCATATAATATTAGTAATTTATTCTGTTTTATTGCTGAGTAGTTTTATATTGTATAGCTGTAATACAACATCTTTATCTTTTTGCCTGTTGAGAATATTTGGGTAGTTTGCAGTTTTGTGATATGTATAAAGTTGCTACAAACATTTCCTAGATTTGTTTACTGATGCAGTCATACATTGCATTATTAATAATTTTGCTTTAAAAATACTTGTTGGTAGAATATATGAAGAAAATGGATTCTTTTTTTGCATCCTGAGATTTGCTGTATTTACTTAATAATTATTTTAGTTACTTTGTAGATTCCTAACAATTTTCCATGTAAACAATTGTGCTGTCTGTGAATGAAGACAGTTTTGCTTTTTTCATTCCATTGTGTATGCCTTTTACTTCTTTTTCTTGTCTTACTGCATTGGTTAGGAATCCCCAGTAAAGTACTCACTAGGAATTATTAGAATAACACTCTTGTCTTGTTGCCAGTCTCAGGAAAAATGATTCAGTCTTCCTCCATTAAGTGTGAAGGTAGCTGTGCCTTTTCTATAGGTGAATTTTATCAAGTTTAGGAAATTTCTATCCATTCTTAGTTTGTTAAGAGTTTTTATTATGAATTAAAATTAAATTTGGCTAAATTTAATCTGTGCCTATTGAGATAATCATAAAAATTTTCTCCTTCACTCTATTTTCAGACTTAAAATGATTGTTTCTTAAACATTGAACTAACCTTGCATTCTGGGATGAACACTTCTTCTTTGCTAAGATGTATTACAATTTTTCTATTTTGCTAGATTAAATTTACTAATACTTTGTTGTTGAATTCTGTGCCTTTATTAATGGGGAATATTGGTCTGTGATTTTTTTTTCCTTGAATGTATGTGTCTAGCTTTAATATTACATCTATGATAGTCAGATAAAATAAATTAGAAAGTGTCCCATATTTTCTTTTCTCTTTAATGAAAAAGATTATCTTCTTTTATATTTTAATAAAAATGTTGGTATTATTTCTTCCTAAAATGTTTGATAGATTGCAACAGCATTTTCATAATGAAATAATTTTTGTTAATGAATTCAGTTTTGCTAATATAATATTTTTATTTTCAATGTCTTCTTGTATAGGTTTTGGTAATTTGTTTCTTTCCAGGGATTTGTACAGGATTTCCAAGTTTTCAAATTTATTAGGGAAAAATTGTTTATAATACTTCCATATTACCTTTTTTTCTGTCTGTAAGGACTAGAGTAATGGAGAAATAGTCTTTCTTTCATTCATGATATTGATAATTTGTGTTCTTTCTCTCTTATCCTCCCTCTTGAATTTAATAATTCTAGTTAGAATCAGATAAATTTATATTTTTAAAACACTAACATTTGCTTTTGCTGCTTTATTCTATTGTCTTTTTTTTTAATATCATCAAATTTTGCTCACATCCTTGTTATTTCCACCTTACTACTCACTGGATTTACTTTTTTTTAAAATGCAGGCTTCTTTAAGTAGGTCTTTTGATAATTGATTTTTGATATTTTTTTCTTTTCTAATATAAGTTTAAAAGGTGTAAGTTTCCCTCATGCTTTATCTGCATTTACAAATTTGTGACTTCATTATCATTGAGTTAAAAATATTTGCCAAAATTTTGGGGATTTCCTCAGGATTTCTTATTTGACTTACGGATAACTTAAGAGTATGTTGTTTAATTCCAAACTAATTCAGAAATTTGCAGACTGGCCCTAATGCAAATATTTCAATATTTCAATATTTTAATTTTTGTTGAATAAAATTCAATATTTTAATTTTAATTTTAAAATATTTAAATAATATGGAGAATGATCTTTGGTGACTATCAAGTAAAGAAGAGGACTGGGTTTTTGTTTCTTTTTTGGTCTACTTCCCTTATCTAGTACTGAGAAATGAGTTTTTAAATCTCTAACTATAATTGTGAGTTAACTTATTATTTCTTATTTTTGTTCTCTTAAGTTTTGTTTCATGTGTTTTGAATCTCTATTACTAGGTACATCCACAATTAAGGTTGTTATGTCTTTTTGATGAATTGATATTTTTATCATAATAAAATGTCTCTTTTTGTCCATGGTAATACTCCGTGTCCTGAAGGCTTCTTTGTCTGTGTTATTAATATAGCTAACTTGGCTTTTAAAAATTAGCATTTGTACGTTTTTTCTATCCTTTAACTTTTCTGTGATTTTATATTTGGAGTGTATATCTTGAAAATAGTACTTCATGAGGTCTCACTTTTCATGTAGTCTCATAATATCCTTTCAATTCGAGCAATTGGCTCATTTATATTTAATGTTAATTATTGATATAATTTAAGTTTAAATAAATTATTCTATAATATGTTTTCTTGTGCTCCTATTTTTTCTCCTTTGATTCCTGCTTTTCCTGCCTTCTTTCGGAGTAATTAAGTATATTTGAATATTCCATTTTGTCTTCATATTTGCTTTTAAGCTATATCTGTTTTAATTTTAGTTGTTTTCTTATAATTCCTAATATTTTACTTTACATATTATGTAAGAATCTTACACTTGATCATTTGTGCTATTCTTGTCTTACATTTTACTTGTATAATTATAAATCTTACATTGTTATAATTTTTGCTTTATATGATCACTAATATTTTAAATTATTGCAAAATAAGAATAGTATTTTTTATATTTGTCCACATATTTATGATTTCCAGTGTTCCTTTGTACAGACATGAGTTTCTGTTATTTTCTCTCAGCCTGAAAAACTTCCTTTAACAGTTCTTATGCTGGTCTACTGGCCATGAATTCTTTCAGCTATTGTTGGCCTGAAAAAGTTTTAATTTCACCTTTGTTTTTGAAGGTCATAATGTTAATCCCAGGCCTGGGACCCTGAGACCTGTTTCTTGCTGTTCTGCCTTTGTCCAGCTCTTTTAATAATACTCTCCCAGTTCAAAAGACCCACAGTATGGCATGCATAAGAGGAAGTCATACCTCCTTCAACAGATTAAGTCCTAAACTTGCCACTATTGCAACTGTTATTTGGTTTATCTTTGTAGCTTTTCTAAAGTTGTGGGAAGCTATTAGCTAGTTGTTTCTAGTACATCATATTGTTCAGTATACGTTTGTGCCTTGATTAGTAAGAACCTTTTGAGTTTCTAATGTGTGCAATACCCTGAGTGAATTGCCTAAAGCACTATGTCAGAAACAGTCAGCATGGTAAAAACAAACAGACACACACACACACACACACACACACACACCAGGGGTTGCTAGTCCAAAATCTATCAATAATTAGCTTTAGGTTGGTCCCTGAGCATCTCTGAGGCTTGGTTTACTCATTGTTTGTGCATCTGTGAAATGGAGATAACACATATTTTACAAAGTTGTTGTGGGAATAACTAATGACACAGGAAAGTGCCAAGCCCACTACCTGAATGTAATCAATCATTGCTGAATCTGAATAATTCGCATAAACATAATGGGAGAATGCCAAAAGAGTTACTTACATAGGACTTGTCAAGATGAATTATAACATATTGACTGGACTTCAACCCAGGCACAAATAACTTCTGGGAATTTGCAACAGATTTAGGGAAAGCAAAAATAATTTGACAATGCTAGTTTTAAGTAAGATCCTAGTAGGGTGGGGTTGTGAGTGATGATGTTGGGAAAAGTTTAAGTAACATCTTATTCAATGCAATTTAATTCCTGTCAATTCCAGTTTGTTTGAGTTTCTTTTAAGTACTAAATTCTAATAATTCAGAAATGAAAAGTAATATTTCTTATCAAGGAACCTAGAGTTTAATAAGAGACAAGGTAAATGATATTTAGTGGGACAGTATAGCATTTGTGTAGAAGTAGATGCATAGACTCTGGTACTACACTGCCTGATTTAGAATTTATATTCCATCGCTTACTAGCTGTGTGACATTTAACAAACTACTTTATCTCACTATGAGTATTTGTTCAAGTAATGCTAGATGCTGGTAAAGACAAAATCTCCCTGGTTTAACATAATAAACATTTACCTCTTCCTCATATAGAACCCAAATAATAACATGGGTGGGGTGGGATGGGGTGGGGAAGCTCTGCTGCACACTCTCATTCAGGGGCCCAGGATGAACAATGACTTCCCAGGGTTTTGACACCCAGCTAACAAATGAGGAAGAGAGGAGGTGAAGGATTATATCACAGATGTGTATGGGCAGGCCTGGGAGTGGAGAACATCACACTTACCTACATTCTGTTGGCAAGAACTCTCAGATTATTAATCCTTTGGAGCATATGGAAGTGAAGATAAGATGAAGTAACTCTGAGTGTGTACCCCTATTCAGTGATATCATTAGCATTTAACTCTCACTTCCTCTTCAAGCTCCCCCTCATCTCCCTTAGCCAAAGGAAGGATCAGGGACTGCTTTCACAGAGAATCTTTCAGTATAAGTGATGAGAATAGTAATATTTCAGTTATAATCAAAGCAGATATAAGCACCACAAAACAAACCAACCAAAGGCAATTTGTATTAGGGCAAGGAGACTCCATATTTGGTAAAAAGTAAAGAAGGAGAGATTGGAAACATTTTCGTGGAGAAAATCGTACTTAAAAATCTTACTTAAAATGAGCCCTGAAGTGAATTTGGTTGAAGTTATGGTGGCCGTCAGTATAGGTATTCCTGTTCATTGTGAACAGATGCAAGGCTGTTGGAAAACACAAAGTATGTTCAGTTAACAGGACACAGTAGTTGGAGCTGAGTGGTTAGGAACGTGGTGTTTGGATTGAGACAGGTCTCAGTTTGAATTGTACCTCTACCATTTATCAACTCTGCGACTTGGATATGTTATTTCATCTCTATGAAGCTCAGTTTCTTCATTTTTCACAAGGAGTTGTAATCTTTATCTTGAAGGTTAAAAATTAAACAGATTATGATTCTAAAGCACATAGAACATACTCAGTAGGTAAAAACTATTATTGTTTTTGTTGCTAACAGTGAAAAAAGCTGGACAAGGACAGATGTTAGTGGAAAGGTGGAAACAATGATTTATTTAAGTTTTATTTAGTCCCTGAATCCTAATGTTGCTTTTGCCCAAGAATCTGGACACTACTTCTTTCTTAAGGCCCTTTGAGTTAGAGCTGTAGTGGGAATTGGTTTTCAGAACATGAATCCATACCACATTTTACCCCTCACTGGTCTCTTATTATCTTTTCCAGCAGGAGAGATGAGCTTGCTAGGTGAATCTAAACTACTACTAGCATTTACTCCCTCAAATGTGTCTTAATTGACCAACCAATTCCAGCAATCAGATCCAAGCAGGTTTTGGAAAAGAGATTTAAAAAGGTGTTTCTTGTGAGTGTAAAAGACAAGATCATTGGCCTGTGTAACACTGGTTTTTGGACCAGCTTTTGGTGTTGGGAAGCCTCACTTCCATGGTTCATGCACAGGCTTTGCAGGTACAAAGCCAGGTTCAGATCACAGCTCTAGTAGGTTTGTTAGGACTGCATGCAAGGAATTTAACAAAGGCCCATCCACTGTGGATTAGCTAAACTGGCTTTCATTTTTCTCAGTAAAAGGAAGCCTGGGTTAGCTGTTGGAAGCAAGTGACAATGTTGGCCTGAGTCACGAAGGACCAATGTTCCTCTCAGCTTCCTCCTCTTCTATCTTTAGCATGCAACTCTTCCTTGCAATCACAAAATGAGAAGAAAATGGAAGGGCCTTGAACAATAGCCATCAATTAACTGAGTCTGTCCTTTTCCTTTTTTAATCAGGAGAACAGTAGCTTCCCTGGAAGATGCCCTCCACTGGTGCCCAGTGCCTTTTGCATGTATATCACCAGGCAAGACAATATAAACACCACAGTCTCCCACCTCAAAGAAGAATGAAAAGAGGGATTATTTTAATTCCTGCTGTCATCCCTAAAATTGGGGTCATATTTATAGAGAAGAGAAAAATCAATATAAGGTAGGGAAGTTGAAATGTTTGTCAAATCGCATTATACCAATTTTATTTCCTATTTCTTTGATGCATGACTTCCCTTCTTTTCCTATTCTTCTCCTTACTACTTGACCAGATGGTTATAATTGCCTACTAAGTGGTCACTCTCTGTTTCACCTTTACCCTTCTAAAATTGATTTTCTGTCCATAGAAGTTTTTCTAAAATGGAGGTCTCACCTGTCACTCCGTGTGTAGTCTCTCCAGTAGCTTGTTATAAAATTCACGCTCCTGAGGATGGCATCCAAAGCCTTTCATGCTCTGACTACACTTAAAGATTCCATTCTCACCTCCTATACACCCTATTTCCCATCTTGTGCTTCGCATTCATGTACCCAGAAATACTGAGAGTTCTTGTCTCTTTCACCACTCTATGCAAAAGTAGAAGTCATGCCGTTTCCCATTTTCTTATTTTTTATTCTTCAAGGGGCATCATTCCTCCCTGAGCCATTTCTATTACCATTTATTTGGACGAGAAGCATATCTTCTGTGCAGAACTGACTACCTAATTTGTAGGGCCCAGCACAAAATCAAAATGTAGGAGCCCTTGCTCAAAAATCACTAAGAATGTCAACACAATAGCAGCAGAACATTAAACCAAACACAAGCCCTGCTAAGTGCAGAGCTTTGTGAAAATTCACAGATTACACACCCGATGAAGTTAACCTGCTCCTGTGTGCCAAGATCCTCAGGCTTCCTGAGTTGAAACTGCTGGTTGACCTGTCTGCCTCTTGCACTAGCGTCTGAGGACAGTGGCTGGGTGGTAGACATCCCTGTGTTATAGACAGTTGCAGGTGCATATAGGAAACAGAGTAAACTGGGTTTTGTTTTACTTACCTGATATCATAACCACCCAATGGGTCCTAGACAAAGCTGATTTATCAAGACAGGGGAATTGCAATAAAGAAAGAGTAATTCACACAGAGCCAGCTGTGCAGGAGACCAGAGTTTTGTTTTTATTTTATTGTTGTTGTTGTTGTTTTTTCTTTTCTTTTTTTGGGATGGAGTCTCACTCTGTTGCCCAGGCTGGAGTGCAGTGATGCGATCTCAGCTCACTGCAACCTCCACCTCCCGGGTTCAAGAGATTCTCCTGCCTCAGCCTCCTGAGTAGCTGGAATTACAGATGTGCATCACCACACTGAGCTAATTTTTGCATTTTTAGTAGAGATGGGGTTTCATCTTGTTGGCCAGGCTAGTCTCGAACTCCTGACCTCAGGTGATCCACTCATCTCAGCCTCCCAAAGTGCTGGGATTACGGGCATGAGCCATGATGCCTGGCAGAGACCAGAGTTTTATTGTTACTCAAATCAGTCTCCCTGCGCATTTGGGGATTAGAGTTTTTAAGGACAACTTGGTGGGTTGGGGAAAGCCAATGAGTCGGGAGTGCTGATTGGTCAGGTCAGAGATGAAATCATGGGGAGTTTAAGCTGTCTTCTTGCGCTGAGTCAATTCCTGGGTGGGGGTCACAAGATCAGATGAGCCAGTTTATGAATCTGGGTGGTGCCAGCTGATCCATGAAGTACAGGGTCTGCAAAATATCTCAAGCATTTATCTTTTTTTTTATAATTATATTTTAAGTTCTAGGCTATGTGTGCACAATGTGCAGGTTTGTTACATATGTATACATGTGCCATGTTGGTGTGCTGCACCCATTAACTCGTCACTTACATTAGGTATATCTCCTAATGCTATCCCTCCCCCCTCCCCCCACCCCATGACAGGCCCCAGTGTGTGATGTTCACCTTCTGGTGTCCAAGTGTTCTCATTGTTCAATTCCCACCTATGAGTGAGAACATGTGGTGTTTGGTTTTCTGTCCTTGCAATAGTTTGCTCAGAATGATGGTTTCCAGCTTTATCCATGTCCCTACAAAGGACATGAACTCATCCTGTTTTATGGCTGCATAGTATTCCATGGTGTATATGTGCCACATTATCTTAATCCAGTCTATCATTGTTGGACATTTGGGTTGGTTCCAAGTCTTTGCTATTGTGAATAGTGCCGCAATAAACATACGTGTACATGCGTCTTTATAGCAGCATGATTTATAATCCTTTGGGTATATACCCAGTAGAGGGATGGCTGGGTCAAATGGTATTTCTAGTTCTAGATCCCTGAGGAATCGCCACGCTGACTTCCACAATGGTTGAACTAGTTTAAAGTACCACCAGCAGTGTAAAAGTGTTCCTATTTCTCCACATCCTCTCAAGCACCTGTTGTTTCCTGACTTTTTAATGATCGCCATTCTAACTGGTGTGAGATGGTATCTCATTGTGGTTTTGATTTGCATTTCTCTGATGGCCAGTGATGATGAGCATTTTTTCATGTGTTTTTTGGCTGCATAAATGTCGTCTTTTGAGAAGTGTCTGTTCATATCCTTTGCCCACTTTTTGATGGGGCTGTTTGTTTTTTTCTTGTAAATTTGTTTGAGTTCTTTGTAGATTCTGGGTATTAGCCCTTTGTCAGATGAGTAGGTTGTGAAAATTTTCTCCCATTTTGTAGGTTGCCTGTTCACTCTGATGGTAGTTTCTTTTGCTGCGCAGAAGCTCTTTAGTTTAATGAGATCCCATTTGTCAATTTTGGCTTTTGTTGCCATTGCTTTTGGTGTTTTAGACATGAAATCCTTCCCCATGCCTATGTCCTGAATGGTATTGCCTAGGTTTTCCTCTAGGGTTTTTATGGTTTTAGGTCTAACATATAAGTCTTTAATCCATCTTGGATTAATTTTTGTATAAGGTGTAAGGAAGGGATCCAGTTTCAGCTTTCTCCATATGGCTAAGCAATTTTCCCAGCACCATTTATTAAATAGGGAATCCTTTCCCCATTGCTTGTTTTTCTCAGGTTTGTCAAAGATCAGATGGTTGTAGATATGTGGTATTATTTCTGAGGGCTCTGTTCTGTTCCATTGGTCTATATCTCTGTTTTGGTACCAGTACCATGCTGTTTTGGTTACTGTAGCCTTGTAGTATAGTTTGAAGTCAGGTATCGTGATGCCTCCAGCTTTGTTCTTTTGGCTTAGGATTGACTTGGCGATGCGGGCTCTTTTTTGGTTCCATATGAACTTTAAAGTAGTTTTTTCCAATTCTATGAAGAAAGCCATTGGTAGCTTGATGGGGATGGCATTGAATCTATAAATTACCTTGGGCAGTATTGCCATTTTCACAATATTGATTCTTCCTACTCATGAGCATGAAATGTCCTTCCATTTGTTTGTGTCCTCTTTTATTTCATTGAGCAGTGGTTTGTAGTTCTCCTTGAAGAGGTCCTTCACATCCCTTGTAAGTTGGATTCCTAGGTATTTTATTCTCTTTGAAGCAATTGTGAACGGGAGTACACTCATGATTTGGCTCTCTGTCTGTTATTGGTGTATAAGAATGCTTGTGATTTTTGCATATTGATTTTGTATCCTGAGACTTTGCTGAAGTTGCTTATCAGCTTAAGGAGGTTTTGGGCTGAGATGATGGGGTTTTCTAGATATACAATGATGTCATCTGCAAACAGGGACAATTTGACTTCCTCTTTTCCTAATTGAATACCCTTTATTTCCTTCTCCTGCCTAATTGCCCTGGCCAGAACTTCCAACACTATGTTGAATAGGAGTGGTGAGAGAGGGCATCCCTGTTTTGTGCCAGTTTTCAAAGGGAATGCTTCCAGATTTTGCCCATTCAGTATGATATTGGCAGTGGGTTTGTCATAAATAGCTCTTATTATTTTGAGATACGTCCCATCAATACCTAATTTATTGAGAGTTTTTAGCATGAAGGGCTGTTGAATTTTGTCAAAGGCCTTTTCTGCGTCTATGGAGATAATCATGGGATTTTTGTCTTTGGTTCTGTTTATATGCTGGATTACATTTATTGATTTGGGTATGTTGAACCAGCCTTGCATCCCTGGGATGAAGCCCACTGGATCATGGTGGATAAGCTTTTTGATGTGCTGCTGGATTCGGTTTGCCAGTATTTTACCGAGGATTTTTGCATCAATGTTCATCAGGGATATTGGTCTAAAATTCTCTTTTTTTGTTGTGTCTCTGCCAGGCTTTGGTATCAGGATGATGCTGGCCTCATAAAATGAGTTAAGGAGGTTTCCCTCTTTTTCTATTGATTGGAATAGTTTCAGACGGAATGGTACCAGCTCCTTCTTCTACCTCTGGTAGAATTTGGCTGTGAATCCACATGGTCCTGGACTTTTTTTTTGGTTGGTAGGCTATTAATTATTGCCTCAATTTCAGATCCTGTTATTGGTCTATACAGGGATTCAACTTCTTCCTGGTTTAGTGTTGGGAGGGTGTATGTGTCGAGGAATTTATCCATTTCTTCTAGATTTTCTAGTTTATTTGCGTAGAGGTATTTATAGTATTCTCTGAGGGTAATTTGTATTTCTGTGGGATTGGTGGTGATATCCCCTTTATCATTTTTTATTGCATCTATTTGATTCTTCTCTCTTTTCTTCCTTATCAGTCCGGCTAGCAGTCTATCAATTTTGTTGATCTTTTCAAAAAACCAGCTCCTGGATTCATTGATTTTTTGGAGGGGTTTTTTTTTTGTCTCTATCTCCTTCAGTTCTGCTCTGATCTTAGTTATTTCCTGCCTTCTGCTAGCTTTTGAATGTGTTTGCTCTTGCTTCTGTAGTTCTTTTAATTGTAATGTTAGGGTATCAACTTTAGATCTTTCCTGCTTTCTCTTGTGGGCATGTAGTGCTATAAATTTCCCTCTACACACTGCTTTAAATGTGTCCCAGAGATTCTGGTATGTTGTGTCTTTGTTCTCATTGGTTTCAAAGAACATCTTTATTTCTGCCTTCATTTTGTTATGTACCCAGTAGTCATTCAGGAGCAGGTTGTTCAGTTTGCATGTAGTTGAGTGGTTTTGAGTGAGTTTCCTAATCCTGAGTTCTAGTTTGATTGCACTGTGGTCTGAGAGACAGTTTGTTATAATTTCTGATCTTTTACATTTGCTGAGGAGTGCTTTACTTCCAACTATGTGGTCAATTTTGGAATAAGTGTGATGTGGTGCTGAGGAGAATGTGTATTCTGTTGATTTGGGGTGGAGAGTTCTGTAGATGTCTATTAGGTCCCACACAACAATAATGGGTGACTTAAACACCCCACTGTCAACATTAGACAGATCAATGAGACAGAAAGTTAACAAGGATATCCAGGAATTGAACTCAGCTCTGCACCAAGCAGACCTAACAGACATCTACAGAACTCAAGAACTGATCTTAAGAGCAGTTTATGGAGGGTCAGTATCTTGTAGCCTCCGGTTGCATGACTCCTAAACCATAATTTCTAATCTTGTATTATCTTGTGGCTAATTTGTTAGTCCTAAAAAGGCAGTCTAGTTCCCAGCCAAGAAGTGGATTTGCCTTGGGAAAGGACTGTTGTCATCTTTGTTTTAAACTACAAATTTCCTCCCAAAGTTAGTTCAGCCTACACCCAGGAAGGAACAAGGACAGCTTGGAGGTTAGAAGCAAGATGGAGTTGGTTAGGTCAGATCTCTTTTATTATTTCATTTACAATTTTGGTGGTTTCCTTATCAAATAAGTAGCAGAACATTTTCAAAGACCCAGTCCAGTGGGCTTCCTTCTACCCAGCCCCTGGCTTTGGTGGTTATGGCAGAGCTGAGTGAAAGTCAGGAATAAGAATCTGCTCCTTGCACAGAGACTCCTGCAAAAGTTGTTCCAATGGTTTTACTTCAGTCAGACCCACTGAACTAGGGTTTAGCAGAATGTGGGAGAACTTCTGCACATTTTTAGGCCTGATTTCCTGGCAAACAGTGGAGCTATTGAGTGAGCACTTCTAGCAAATGAGAACAGATTGTGAGAAACAGTGCAAATTGCAGGAATTAAATAAGCTGGTAACAGCAGGCCTGTAACAGGCGAGAAAGAAGGAAAATGGCAGGAATGCGAGTCCTGCAGAGATGTGTATGTAGGCTCTGTGCAGCTGCAGGCTGGGCATTTGTTTGGGACTTTCTTTGTGTGACTTTGTGGGAAGAGCATTGACCTGGCATGTGTAGACCTATGTTTGTGTCCCAGTTCCACTGCTTACCAGCTAGCTGATCCTGGGCAAATTGCTAAACTTTCTCAGTTTCCTAGATTCTACATGTAATAAAATCAAGACAATAATACCGTAAGTAAAATAATATATTAATAAGACAAGCCAAACTGCATAGCTTTAACCAGAACATAGAAAATACATAAGTACCCTTATTTTGGTTACACACCCAAACTACAAGTTTTCTGAGCCCAAACAACATTCTTCCATTTATTTTCTTACTTCTGTCTCCTGGGAGTTCTAATTATGGATCCTTATTCGACATCATCTGTGGCTGGCTGGCTGTCCCTATCCTGATCTGCAGTCTCCATATTTGCATGAGTGAGCATTGTCAGCAAGAGTATACAGAGACTTAAAGATAGACAGACAGACAGATTTGGTTTTACTATTTAAAAGCTGTATGATTTGGAGCAAGCAGTTTAAAGTCACTAAGCTTCAGTTTTCTCATAGGTTTTAACAGGGGTTATTTTGAGAATTATTGTGAAGTCTTTATGAAATAATGTTTATAAAGCCCAAATACAATGGAGTGCCAATAGTTAGTGTGTAATGATAGCTAGTTTTATTCCGTTAGTCCCACACCAGTTGATCCTGCACCAGAGCAGCTGCTGAGAAGAGTAAATTCTAGTCCCTCCTGCTCATCTTTATCTGTGTGACATTGGGCAAAGCTATTCTACATCTCTAGGCTTGTGGGAGGAACTAGACCATCTATAAAATGCTTTCCCCATATTTATCCTTGATATGGTTTGGCCGTGTCCCCACCCAAATCTCATCTTGAATTGTAACTCCCACATTTCCCACATCATGGGAGGGACCCAGTGGGAGGCGATTGAATTATGGGGGTGGGTGTTTCCTGTGCTGTTCTCATGATAGTGAATGGGTCTCAAGACATCTGATGGTTTTAAAAATGAGAGTTCGTCTACATAAGCTCTCTCTTTGCTTGCCGCTATCCACATAAGATGTGACTCACTCTTCCTTGCCTTCCATCGTGATTGTGAGGCCTCCCCAGCCATGTGGAACTGTAAGTGCAATAAACCTCTTTATTTTGTAAATTACCCAGTCTTGGGTATGTCTTTATCAGCAGCATGAAAAATGCCTAATACAGTAAATTGGTACCAGTAGAGTGGGGACGTTGCTGAAAAGATATGCAAAAATGTGGAAGGAGCTTTGGAACTGGGTAACAGGCAGAGGTTGGAATAGTCTGGAGGGCTCAGAAGACAGGAAAATGTCAGAAAGCTTGGAACCTCCTGGACACTTGTTGAATGGTTTTGCCTAAAATGCTGATAGCAATATGGACAATAAGGTCCAGGGTGAGGTGATCTCAGATGGAAATGAGGAATTTGTTGGGAACTGGAGCAAAGGTGACTCTTGTTATGTTTTAGCAAACAGAGTGGTGGTATTTTGCCTCTGCCCTAGAGATCTGTGGAACTTTGAACTTGAGAGAGATGATTTAGAGTATCTGGCAGATGAAATTTCTAAGCAGCAAAGCATTCAGAAGGTGACTTGGGTGCTGTTAAAGGCATTCA
Organism: Homo sapiens; assembly: GCF_000001405.40. Classification (NCBI taxonomy): domain Eukaryota; kingdom Metazoa; phylum Chordata; class Mammalia; order Primates; family Hominidae; genus Homo; species Homo sapiens. The sequence goes on along the minus strand of NC_000001.11, from coordinate 60,434,671 downwards.
GTTTTAAAATGGAAACAGAGCATAAAAGTTTGGAAAATTTGCAGCCTGACAATGTGATAGAAAAGAAAATCCTGTTTTCTGAGGTGAAATTCAATCTGGCTGCAGAAATTTGCATAAGTAATAAGGAGCCAAATGTTAATTCTCAAGGCAATGGGGAAAATATCTCCAGGGCATGTAAGAGACCTTTAGGGCAGCCCCTCCCATCACGGGCCTGGAAGCCTAGGAGGAAAAGATGGTTTCGTGGGCCAGACCCAGAGTCCCTCTGCTGTGTGCAGTCTAGGGACTTGGTGCCCTGTGTTCCAGCCACTCCAACCATGGCTAAAAGGGACCAGTATAGCTTGGGCTGTTGTTTCAGAGAGTAGAAGCCCCAAGCCTTGGCAGCTTCCACATGATGTTGAGCCTGTGGGTGCACCGAAGTCAAGAATTAAGGTTTGGGGCCTCGGCCCAGATTTCAGAGGATGTACAGAAATGCCTGGATACCCAGGCAGAAGTTTGCTGCCAGGGTGGGGCCCTCATGGAGAACCTTTGCTAGGGCAGTGCAGAAGGCAAATGTGGAATGGGAGCCCCCACACAGAATCCCCATTGGATCACTGCCTAGTGGAGGTGTGAGAAGAGGGCCACTGTCTTCCAGACCCCAGAACGATAGATCCACCAACAGCTTGCACTATATGCCTGGAAAAGCCACAGACACTGTATGCCAGCCCGTGAAAGCAGCCAGGAGGGAGGCTATACCCTGCAAAGCCACAGGGGCAGAGCTGCCATGGGAACCCACCTCTCACATCAGCGTGACCTGGATGTGAGACATGGAGTCAAAGGAAATCATTTTGGAGCTTTAAGATTTTACTGCCCTGCTGGATATTGGACTTGCCCGGGGCCTGTACCCCCTTCGTTTTGGTCAATTTCTCCCATTTGGAATCTCCGTATTTACCCAATACCTGTACCCCTGTTGTATCTAGGAAATAACTAGCTAGCTTTTGATTTTACAGGCTTATAGGTGGAAGGGACTTGCCTTGTCTTAGATGATACTTTAAACTGTGGACTTTTGAGTTAGTGAGTTAAGACTTTGGGGGACTGTTGGGAAGGCATGATTGGTTTTGAAATGTGAGGACATGAGATTTGGGAAGGACCAGGGGTGGAATAATGTGGTTTGGCTGTGTCCCAAACCAAATCTTATTTTGAATTGTAACTCCCACAATTTCCACATGTCATAGGAGGGACCCAGTGGGAGGTGATTGAATTTTGGGGGCAGGTCTTTCCTGTGCTGTTCTCATGATAATGAATGGGTCTCACAAGATCTGATGTTTTTAACTATGGGAGTTTGTCTCCACAAGCTCTCTCTTTGCCTGCTGCCATCCACGTAAGACGTGACTTGCTCCTCCTTGCCTTCCATCCTGATTGTCAGGCCTCCCCAGCCATGCAGAATTGTAAGTCCAATAAACCTCTTTCTTTTGTAAATTTCCCAGTCTTGGGTATGCCTTTATCAGCAGCATGAAAACGGACTAATACAGTCCTAATACCACAGCTAATATTTAATTTTCAAAATACCCACACAACATGGATATTACTATGTTTTCTGTTTTGCAGTTGAGGAAAATAAGCTTTAGGAGACAGAATGAGGAAATGATGAAGCTGGGTTTCCACCCAAGCCATCTGCCTCCATAGCCTTTGTGCTTAACCTCTATGTCTATTGAAATCCATGGAGGCATGCTAGGAAAGGATCCCTGTGTCTGCAACCCTTCACTTCTGTTTTTCAGTTTTTGGACATCTGTCTATGAGCCAGGGCTTCCAGAACCTCCAGTGGTTACTTGGACCCTCAGTTAAGCATTGCAATTACTCTTCCTCCTACAAAAATTAAAAGGAGAATAAGCATAGTTGCAGAAGAGCAGGTTTGTCCTCATGCCTCAGAATGAAAACTATCTCTGTTCTTTCTCTAAATACAGTTGCAGTTTGGCTGTGTAGCACTCCATCACTTCCAGGAGTCTTTGCCCACCATGGACCTGAAACTGAAGTCACAAGCATCCAAGTGTTCCTGCCCAAGTGGGGCTCCAGAGAGCTAATTTTTCTTCAGAGGGAGTTGGGTAGTGCATCTGTGGTTTTTGTCTGACCATCATTCATTCTCCTTTTTTTAATCACAGTGCCGATTTATTTAGAAGGAACACTCCTCTCTATTCTCAGTCCATATGACTTAATTAGCACTGATCCCATAGGCTAGCTTGGAGTATGAGTACATAACCTGGTTTAGACTGGTCAGTCTTGGGAATTTTGCTAAAATTTGGGGAGAATATGGGTATCTTTTCCATAGGGTCTCTAGAATATGTTTCTGGGACTGCTAATGGCCATCTTCTTGCCCGTCTGCCCAAGAATGAAGAAAACTAGGAGGAGAACAGACTCAAGGGTTGCAAATGGCCATAATCCTGATGTTGTTTGAGTACATGTACCCAACTGTGCTTGAAGCCAGCACTTCTATGAACCAACCCATTCAACTCTAGTTGTTTTTTTTTTTTAAGTCAGTTTGTATTGGGTTTCTGTAATTTATGAAACTGAATGATCTCTGGATAATACATAAAGAGGGGAATTAGTACAAACCTTGAACTGACCAAGGAAGGACAACTAATTCTTTTGTTTTTTTTTTATTCTCAAAATGCTTTCCTAACTATATGGTAACATTGAATCCAAGTGGTACTCTCTTGCAACTTGTGGTAGGCAGGAACCTGTGAATGTATTTCCTTACATGGTATTAGGATCTTTCCAGATGTGGTTACGTGAAGGACTGAGATGGGGAGATTAACTTGGATTATTCTGGTGGGTGAAATGTAATCAGAAGTCTCCCCATAAGAAGGAGGCAGGGAAGTCAAAGTCAGAGAGGAGATGTCATCACTGGAGCAGAGGTCGGAGTGATGAAATTGCTGGCTTTGAATGTAGAGGAAAGAATGTGGGCAACATTTTGAAGCCAGAAAGGACAAGGAGATGAAATCTCCTGTGGGACCTACAGAAGGGAATCAGCCCTGTCCATGCCTTCATTTTATCCCAGAGAAACCCATTTCAGACTTCTAGAACTATTAGATAATAAATTTGTATTGTTTTAAGTCACTGAGTTTGTGATAGTTATAGCAGCACTAGGAATCTGATATACAACTCAGGTGCCTAATGCATAATATCTTCAAAACAGCATGAGTAATAGCTATCAATTGTGGAGGAGTAAACATGTGCCCAGTTTTTTTTCTTCTTTTTTTTGCATAGTTTATCTTGTATCCTCCTAGTGACTCTGAGAAGGGAAAGGATAGGCCATTAACAGCGTTGACCAAAAAACCATACACTGTAAAATATTTAAAGGAGTTTAGTCCAAGCCAATTATGAGTAACTAAGGCCCAGAGAACAATTTCAAGAGGTTCTGAGAAAGTGTGCCCCAGACATTTGGGTTACAGTTTGGTTTTATACATTTTCAGGGGACAGAAGTTACAGGCAAAGATGTAAATCAATACATTTAAGGTATAAATTGATTCAGCCTGGAAAGACAAAATATCTCCAAATGGGGCCTTACAGGTCATAGGTAGATCCAAAGATTTTGGATTGGCAATTGGTTGAAAGAGTTAAGCTTTGCCTAAAGACTTGAAGTCAGTACAAATAAATGTTTGAATTATGAGAAAGGGGGCTGTATAAACCAAGGTCCTTGTTATGTTGATGAAGCCTCCAGATAGCAGCCCTCAGAGAAAATAGATGGTAAATATCTTTTTGAACCTTAAAAGGTGTCAGACTTTTAGTTAGTCTCTCCTAGATCTAAGAAAAGTCTGGCTTCAGTAATGAAGATTTTCTACAAAGGCAAATTTCTTCCACCAAAGACGGTTTTGCAGGGCCATTTCAAAATATGTCAAATAGATTATAGTTTATTTCCTTTAGGGTCTGCTATCTGTCATGTGATGTTACACCAGAGTCAGGGTGGAATTTGGTCTTACTACCACAAACAGCCTGTTTTGTCAGTCTTCTGATCTATATTTTAATGTTAGTGTTGGTTAATTGTGCCTAACCTCCAAAATGAAGCAGGTGTGATGAGGTGTGCCAGACCTTCTTTTCCTTCCTGGCAGGGAATTCAGTTTTTCAGGTTTCTCTGCTATCCTCTTGGCCCAGAGGGGATACTTTCGGTTACTTGGGGGAGTTTAGGATTTTAGTTTTGGTTTACAACAGCGTTTGCTACAGCCTGGTCTGCCTGTGACACACTGCTGGACAAAGTTATGCCATTTATTTTATCCATTGCATTGTTTTTGGCTATAGTTAGTAGGAAGAAAATAGAATTGGCTTAAACAATAAAAAAAGTATGCGATAATTTTGAACATAGGAAGTTTCCAGGGTTTATTAAATCAATAGTTCAATGACATCATCAAAGACTCATGCTGGCTTTTTCCATAGCTATCTCTTCATGATTCCACAGCAGCTCCAAGCACTACCACTTCCTCAGCCATAGCTGGAGCTGGAAAGGGGAGGCTTCTCCTCATCCACCTTTTAGCTTCATGATCAAATAACCTTTCCTCCAAGTTCTTCTACCTAAACATCTGTTTAGTTTTTTTTAATGTGATTTTTACTATAAACTGATTTTTATAGGAAATGTAACGACCTTTCACATTTAACTAAAAGTGTAATTCAGTTTTACAGAACTTTATTAAGATTCCTCACCAATTCTGGAAAACGCTGTCACTGATGGTAACACTGCTCATGGAATTTGTCAATATAACACACCCATTTGAGTTTGCATTTATACCTACTGCATTCAAAGTGAAAATATGTATAGATGTAGGCAAATGTTTATTGTATATTCAAAGGTAGTCATGACTGAGAAGCAATTGTATATTGAAATACATAATATTTTATTATAATTTACTTTTTTTCATCCCTTGTATTATGGTTATGACATACACACAAACACCTATGTGGGATAGGTTATCTATATCTTTTATTTCAGAGTAATAAATGAGACACTACGAAATGTTTGTTATAAAAAGAGAAGCTTTAATAGGATTAAGAATGACTGGCATAACTCGTCATAGAGTTTACCATTTCAAAAACATTCTTTTTTTAAGTCTCTGGGACATTACAAAAATGTTCCTTTTGTTCAGAATGACCTTTTCTATTGTTTGCCTGATAGATACCTCCTTCTTTCTCTATCAAGAACAATATGAATTATTTCTTGACCGTGCTGTGTTTTCTAACATAACTGTGTGCCTACTTACATTATAGGACATATCACATGGCATCATAATCATGCATGAATGTCTAGCTCTGTGTTAGTTTCCTATGGCTGCCATCACAAATTACCAAAAACAGTGGCTTAAACCAACCCACATTTATTATCTCATAGTTCTGTAGTTCAGAAGTCTGAAATGGGTTTCACTGGGCTAAAATTAAGACGTCAGCAGGGCTGCACTCTATTGTATTCTAGAGGCTCCAGGGGAGAACTCATTTCCTTGCCTTTTCCAGTCCTCCAGCCCATATTCCTTGGTTGATGGCCCCATTCTGTTATCTCCAAAGCCAACATTATTGCATTTCTCTGTGCTTTTTTTCTATAGTCAGATCTTTTTCTCATCTCTGACTCCCCTTTTTCCATTAAGAACTTTTGTGATTACATTGGGTCCATCTGCATAATCCAGGAAACTCTTAATTCCATGTGCAACCTTTATTCCCTTTTGCCATATAACTTAACATATTCATGGCTTTTAGAGACTCGAACATGGACACTTTGGGGGTCATTATTGTGTCCCATAATATCCTCCATCCAACTGGGGACTCCTTCATGATAGAGATTGTTTTAATTAATCTTTGAATAACCAACAACTAACAAATTTCTTCACACATAGTAGAAGATACTCGATAATGTGTCTGAACAGATGACTGATTTAATGAATTTATGAAGATTAAAATAAGTGTTGTGGCATGAAAGTAGAGATTTCAAAAGTTTAACATAGATTAAAATGAATTGATGAGCATCTTGGTTTTGAGCAACAAATAGTATGCAATAAAGTGAGTAAAGAAAATGTTAATTATAGAATTTAAGTGGCAGAAATGTGAGTGTTTGCAGTTAAATATTTCCAACTTTCCTTTATGTTTGTAATTTTTAACAACAAGATGTTGGAGAAAGATCTTAATCCAGGCCTTAGCATACAAAACTACCTCCATAAATTGTTGAGAGATGGATAAATTTAGTGGAAATCTGCTTGCCAATTAGCTCGGAGGTTAAGATAGAGATCAGGACAGTCTGTCCTTTTCACTTTTCTGATGCACTGATCCTTCTCTGGCAAGTGTTATGCAATATGATCAACACTCCATTCCGAGATGCTTATGTGCTGAAGGAGTAGTTGCTACAACAAGCTTGTTGATGAGAAGTCTGCATAGCTAGTTTCGGCAATCTGGGCTATTGCTGAATGTGGGCAGTAAAGCAGCAGGTATCTTGTCTGAAGAAGTCTTCCGGGAGCCCTACAGTTACTGTGCATTACAGATGATGTTTTAATCCAGTTATGTATATGATACTCAGATGGAGTAAGAATGTGTGAGAGATTAGTTCAGTGATTGTCAAGTGCAATTACAGACATTAAATTACATGGTTTGTTTATGCCCATATCTAAGAAAAGTAAATAAGGTCATTGGCAGGGAATACGACAGTAATTGCTTCTCTTAGTCAGTTAATAAGCACTGTCTGAGCACCTACTGTGGACCAGGTGCTGGGCTAAGTATTGTGATACATGTGGAGATAAATCAGTGATAGGCCTTGATGTGAGTCACTCACTCTGTCTCTAGGGAGATCTCAATGTCTGTAGCTCTCTTTTACCCCCTACTGCTCAGGAAAGGAGAACTCTGTTCCAGTTCAAGGACAAAACAGATTTTTTTTTTCTTTGGAGACGGAGTTTCTCTTTTGTCACCCAGGCTGGAGTGCAATGGCTCTATCTTGGCTCACTGCAACCTCCACCTCCCAGGTTCAAGTGATTCTCCTGCCTCAGCCTCCCGAGCAGCTGGAACTACAGGTGCACACCACCACACCCAGCTAATTTTTGTATTTTTAGCAGAAACTGGGTTTCACCATATTGGCCAGGCTGGTCTCGAACTTCTGACCTCAGATGATCCACCTGCCTCGGCCTCCCAGAGTGCTGGGATTACAGGCATGAGCCACCGTGCCCAGCCAGATTTTTTAAAGTATGCACAATGGAGCCACCATAGAGAGTAGTGTACTTTCAGGAAGATGCATGGTTAAACTTGGATCTACTTTGTGACTCACCCTGTACTCCCTCAGACTAAGGTCACGCTAAGATTAGGTCTGCAAGTGGCATCTTGGGAACTGCCTTGCCTTTGGAAGGCCAAATGTAATAAGGAGTTTCCCAGTCAGAAGAATGCCTGGAATGAGTAGTTTAGATAAGTTCCACATTAGATATGGGATGGGGTGGGGTGAGGTGTGATATAAAATGATATAAAAGGGCCTCAGTTATTTAACTCAGCATTGCCTGGTACAGAACCACATAGGGACTCTAGCCGAGGACAGGGCTAGTAAGAAAAAGGGAGCATTTTTCTGGAATGTCCTTTATATAGGTATATATTCCTTGGAGACAACATTTGAGTTTCCGTAGAGGTAAACATCTCATCAAGAGTCAGGGACTGAAATCTCTACTCATCTTCTCTCAGGTGACATGTTTTACACTTAGCCCAAAGAGCTTAAGTCTCAAATGGGGAGGTAAGATTACATCCCTATAGTGACTGATCATGCTAATTACCTTTTGCTGTAATAATGTATTATTTTATATTCCTGTCTCCTCTACCAGTTTTTGAATCATTAAGATCAAACACTATTCTTTAGTCTTCTTTCTATTTCCAGTGCCTAGTAGAGTGGCACAGTGTTGTTAATAAATATTGTTGAATGAATTAAATAAATCATTAATAGGAGGCCAGGCATAGTGACTCACACTTATAATCCCAGCAGTTTGGGAGGCCGAAGTCAGGAGTTTGAGATCTGCCTGGCCAACATGGCAAAATCTCTCTATACTAAAAATTACAAAAATTAGCCAGGTATGGTGGGGCAGGCCTGTAATCTCAGCTACTCGGGTGGCTGAGGCATGAGAATCACTTGTACCTGGGAGGCAGAAGTTGCAGTGAGCTGAGATTGTACCACTGCTCTCCAGCCTGGGTGACAGAGTGAGATTCTGTCTCAAAAAGAAAAAAAAAAAAAAAGAATTTATTATGGACAAAATGTGTCTCCTCAAAATTCATGTTGATGCTCTAGCCCCCAGAGTAGCTATATTTGGTTGGAGATAGGGCCTCTAAGGGAGTATTTAAGGTCAAATGAAGCCACATGATAGAGCCCTGATCCTGTAGGATTAAAGATCTTATAAAAAGAAACATGAAAGAGCTCCTTCCACCTGCTTGCTCCCACCAAGGAAAGGCCATGTGAGGACGTAGCAAGAAGATGGCCATCAACAAGCCTGGAAGAGAGACTCCACCTGATACTGAATCAGTTGGAACCTTGATTCTGAACTTCTAGCCTCCAAAACTATAAGAAAATTAATTTCTCTTGTTTAAGCCATGCAGTCTATGGTATTTTGTTATGGCAATATAAGCAATGTAATACAGAAGTCCTATCACAGTGTAGAACATTTGAGAACATTAGCAAGATGGCCAACTAGAAAGAAGCTCCTAGTGCTTGTCCCTCTCACACAGACAGCCAAAGAAATAAATAAACAAACGTTTTTAAGGAAAATAGCTAAAGGAGAGCACTGGAGTACATCAAAGGAGTAGCATAAATCCTGTAGAGAACAGAAACCCAGGATGACTACCTAGAGGATGGAAGGAAACAACTCACCTTCCCTAACCCATTCCCCAGATAGGATCACCTTGGAACCAGGAGGGACTTCTGTCTGTGAGGAAAAGGTAGACGATAGCACTCAGCAGCCTCCATCACTACTTTAGATACCTACAGTTCTCACCACTAGGGGCTCCTATAGTCCTCACAGGCACTAGACCCAGCTGAGAGAGTTTTCTGGATTCCACATAGCTGTATAAGTGATGCTGGAATAACTGGGTTTCCCTATGCAAAATAAATGAAATTTGACCCTTATACCACACACAAATATTAATTCAAAATGGATGAAAGAAATACATATAAGTACTGAAGTTATAAAACTACTAGAAGAAGCTAGGCACAGTGACTCATGCCTATAATACCAGCACTTTTGGGGGCTGAGACAGGAGGATTTCTTGATACTTGGAGGTGGAGGCTACAGTGAGTTGTGATCACACCACTACACTGCAGCTTGGGTAAAAGAGTAAAATCTTGACTCAATAAAAATAAAAAATAGAGGGGAAAAAACAGGGAAAAAGGTCCTTGACATTGGCCTTGGCAATGATTTCTTGGCTATTGCACCAAAAGCTCAGGCTGCAATAGCAAAAATAAGTAAATGAGACCATATCAAATAAAAAATCATCTGCCCATCAAGGAAAGCAAGCCACAAAATAAAAAGGCAACCTGTAGATTGTAAAAAAAATTTGCAAACTATGTATCAGATAACAGGTTAATATCCAAGATTTATAAAGAACTCATAATTTAATAACAAAAGCCGCCAATTAAAAAATGGCCAAGTGACTTTAATAGGCATTTCTCCAAATATGACATAGAAATAATCGATAAGTACATGAAAATGTGCTCAACATCATTAGTCTTCAGGGAAACACAAATCAAAACTGCTCTGATATACCACCTCACACCTGTTAGGGTAGCTATTATCAAAAGGACAAGAGACAGCAAATGTTGACAAGGGTGTGGAGAAAGGCAACCCTTGTACACTGTTGATGGAAATGCAGACTAGTGCAGCCACAAAGACAAACAATATGGAAGTTCCTAAAGAAATACAAAATTGAACTACGATGTGACCCTGTAATATGTCTTTAAGGTACGTACCCAAAATAAGTGAAACTGCCACCTCATAAAGGTATCTTCACTCCCATGTTCATTCCAGAATTATTCACAATAGCTAAGATGTGGAAAGAATCTAGATGTCCATTGATGGGTGAAAGGATGCAGAAACTGTGGTATAGATATACAATGGAATATTATTCAGCCTTAAAAAAGGAGATCCTTCCACTTGATGCAACACAGAAGGATCTGAAAGACATGCTAAGTAAAATTAGCCAGACATAGAAAAAGGAACAAATATTGCATGATCTCACTTATACGTGAAATAAAAATATGTCTTATATATAGAGATAGTGAATAAAACAATGATTACCATGGTTGGGATGGCAGGGGAGAAAAGGGAAGATGTAGGTCAAAGGATACAATGTATCAACTATGTAAGATGAACAAATCAAAAGATCTAGTGTAAAGCATGAGGGACTATAGTTAATAATAGTGTATTATATTTAGTATTTTTGCTAAATGAGTAGCTTATAGGTGCTCTTGCCATGGGACAATGGCGGGGGGAATGGGTAACTATGTGAGATAAAGAATATGTTAATTTGGTTCACTATAGTAGCCATTTTACTATATGTATGTATCTTATGTTGTGTAACTTAAATATACACAATAAAACTTATTTTTAAAAAGTGCAGAAAATGCTAGCATTTAAAAGGATAAAGACGTCACTTCTAGCTGAGGGCAAGAGGATCATAACAATGAGGAAGTAGCACTGGAGAGCCTTGAAACCTAAAAGATGCTATTTCCAGTAAGGGAAAACATGATGAACAATGGCAGGGGGAAGGAAAGGATAAGAAGTCAGATCACAAAAAGGAAACGTAATGCCTGAAAATGGGGTTTGAGAATTTAAATGTTGGAGGATACTTTAACGTCCAGCTAAGGTCTTTTAACTTATTTTCATAGGCATCAAATAGCTATCACAATTTGAGCAGCCATACTAATGTGGTCAGAGTGATGCTTTGAGAGGAATGGTTTCTGTGTTCAGCCTTCCTGTCTGAGGGTGACTGACATCAGGCATGACCTCACTATTGACAGTCTTAACAGGATAATCCTATCTTGTATATCGGCCCCCAAATTCATATGTGATACTCCCTTAGTTACAGGGAGTCATTCCTTACATCACTGCTAGTACAAAGGTTACTTTGGGGCCAGTTCTTATCCAAGCAGTTTATCAAGCCAGGGTCGCAGGCATCCATTGCAGGAGGAAACAATAGCTCAGGAACTTCCTTAAATTTACCACTGGATTTATTTCAAATTCCTTTGTAATCTCTTCCTTAGAGCAGTAAATTCTGAGCTCAGGGCTTTGCATTTAATTCCAATATTTGGATTGTGAGAGCTTTTAATACCTGTGGACTTGGCTATTGCAGGGAACAAAATGCATCCCCATTAATCAGAACTAGACTGAGTCATGTTACACAAACCGCAGATTTCTACAAGAAAATTAAAAGGCAGTATCATTTCACTTCTGCCAAGTGTTTTCTTAAGATTCAGGGGGAAAATTGGGACCCTCTATATTGTGTCCAGTGATGCTGCCAAAAATATAGCACCCGAGGACACGACAAATGAATGTATAAATAGGAATTGCTCAGAAGGGGTTAGTCATAAATCACTGTGTGAGCTGGAACCCAGGCTTCTTTTTTTGTGTTGCTTAAAATGTGAAACGTTATTGGTGACTTCTAGAAAAACAATTTGATTTTTGTACAGTTGCTTTAGAAGGTTGTGGAAAAATAGGGAAGCATAATTTCCCTAGTGGAACCAGAGGCAAGTTATAAGATTTTCTGGTGACTCTAGGATCATATAAACTACTTTGAATAATGGAATAGAGTCTGTTAAAGAACTGCAATGGTGTGGTTTCTGGAATCGTAAGTTTTCATCTTAAACATTTAAAAATCTGGGGTATGGTGATGGACTGGCTTTGGGTCAAAAATGCACTATAGTAAATTGCATTGATGTGGCAGCAACAATTATGGGCCTTTTCTGTTGGGGTCCTGTAATTCTTCCATAGTACTTACTCCTAGAAAACTTTTCTGTGTTTTTTTAAAAAACTGCTTTATAATGTCCTAAGTTATGTCTGAACTTTTTTTTCTTCAAAAAATAAAATAGAGTTTCTGTTTGTTAAAGATATTAAACTCAAAACTGGAGGACTATGGCAAAAAGACATTAAGATCTTCATAGACAAAAGTGCTAAGCATTTTAATAAAACTGCATGTTGTTAATGCTAAATAGGTATTTTAAATTTTTTTACAGATATTCCTATTATGCCAGTTATGATTTTGGTTAAAAGTAGTACCTTTCCTTTTATTTAAGAGCACAGTGGTTGAGATTGCTACTTTTATTTTCAGAAAACCTATAAAGAGATTTGGAAGGTAGCGAATTAATTCAATCACCAACCCCAATACTAATTCGTTAGGAGTCAGCAAGAGTTAGCTAAAAAGGCCTGAGATGTTGAATATATTTCCAAAGTGTTATAACTTCTCAATGGCCCATGTTTTTGAATTAGTTTTTGCTACATTATTTGTTGTCATGATTTTATTCTGCTGGCCATTTGGTCTGGGCTCAGCTGGATGGTTCTTCTGCATGTCCTATCTAGACTCACTCATGTGGTATAGTCAGAGGGCTGATTGAGGCTTGTTGGTCTAAGATGGCTTCAGTCACCTATTTGGAGTTTGGATCAGGTGATGGGGCAACTGAACCACGTATTTCTAACATCTGATAGGCAGCTCTGGCTTTTTCTCTCCGTGGTGACTGGGTTCCAAAAACAAGAGAGGGCAAACTCCAGTGTGCAAGCTCTTTTTAAAGCTTCTGCTTTTATTATGTTGCTGCTGTTCTATTGGACAAAACAAATCACATGAACAAGCCCAGATATAAGGGTTGGTTGGAAAAATAGATTCCAAACAGTGTAGATTAGCTTTCAGTTTTATAGATTTGCTGAAAATAATATTAGCAATCTCAGCTCATGGGTTTTTGAAGGAAGGAGTTGCAAAATATTGCAGTGCCTGTGTGTGTGTCTGATGTGTATGTGTTTTAGTTAATCTATCATATCAAACTTTTCTTTAATGATATGATCCTAGTGGTGGATAAATATTGTAGCTCTTTTACTTACTAGTTGTGTGACTTTGGGAAAGTTTCTTAGCCTCTCTGTACCCATTTTCTCATTGCCTCATGGGACTAAAAATAGTATTAAAGGATTAAATGTGTTAACAATTGTAAGGCTTGGAACAATGCTTGGAACACAGTGTACACTCAATAAATATTAGCTATTACTGATTTTGGTCCTTTCCCTCTGTATTATTTTCATATTATTGCTGTAACAAATGACCACAGACTTGGCTTAACACAACACAAATATATTATCTTACTGTTGTCAAGGTCACTGGGTGACCTCTGGGTTTTCCTGGGCTAAAATCATGTATCAGCATAACTGGGCTGGCCTATTTCCTTGCCTTTTTAAAATTTGTTCATCTTCAAAGTAATTAATGTCCAGTGGAGTCTTTCTCATATCACATCACTCTGATCTCTGCTCTGTCATCATGTCTCCTTCTCTGACTCTAACTCTCCTGCCACCCTCTTTCACCTATAAGGCACCTCACCTTGCCCTTATATTGGGCCCACCTGAATAATTCCGGGCTAATCTTTGCATCTCAAGATCCTTAATTTAATCCCATCTGCAAAGTCCCTTTTTCCATGTAAAGTATCAAATTCAAAGGTTCTGGAGATTAGAATGTGGACATCTTTGGGAAGCCATTAGTTTACCTGTCCTAAACTTGGATTATTCATTACAAAAATAAGCATGTTGGAAACACTTCACTTAACCATAGCTCTTTCAGGAAAGATTCTAGTGCCAATAAAGAAATACCATCCCCTACAATGTTGAGAGCATGTCTTTCCACTCTATACTGACAAAGAAGAATAAATATTTTGAATAATGAGATAAAAATTGTGATCCACTATGAATCAGTTAGAGTGTCAGAGAAAATGCTATATATTCACCAAATCTTATTTATTTTTATTCTGGCATTTAGCTATATTATATGTGCACCACTCTTGCCTCTCAGTGTTGTCTTGAGACAAATCCTCACCAATGAAATGACAGTGGCAGAGATCTATGTCACACCTGGAGTGAGGCAGTTAACAATAGGTATGGCTTTCACATGGCAACTTCCCTGTTAGAGGGACTCTGAGGCCCTAAGGATGACCAAGACACAAATTAGAAGAATCCTGGGTCCCTAATGTCTGTGTGGTAGAGCCCCACCTTCCTGCTGCTGAGACACAGAGTTGAAGTCGCTTCCATCAGCAGCTGGCCTACCATGACTAGTTACCCAAACACTGATGTGCAGAAAGACTCTCCATCCTCAGCTCTGTACCCTTAGTGAAAGGGGTTAGAGTCTGTGCTCCATCTTGACCACATTAGTTTTTTTCTTACTCCTGTACTGCAAGAAGAGACTTTAGATAGTTCGATAGACTATAATTTGGATTAGGGAATACTAGAAAAGAGTGGTGGCTATTGATCTTCTCATGCTTCTGGCCAGAATAATTTTCACAGTATTACAGAATTTAAGGAGCCACAAGGTCTCCTAATAATCATCTCATCTTGTCTCTACCAAACAGATAGGGAAACTTAGGGTCATAGAGTTTCAGGGATTTTCTAAATTATTCTAGTGAAACTCAGAAGTAGAACTGGGACTTGAATCGAATGCAGCATTTAGCTCGGTACTCAGCATAGTGCTTGGTGTACCAGGTGATCTGTGAGATGTTGTTAAATGAATGATTGAACGATGTACTCATCCTTCAATGTCCAGTGCAATGCCACATTCACCATGGAATCTTTTTGAAAAGTTCCCATTTCAAATTAATCTCTCCCATCTTCTCTCTTCCTAAAAGATGATATTGATTCTCTATATAGCATTTAATAAAATCTGCCTGAAATGTTAATTTGTATGCATCTATCTGGCCCTGGGGGACAAATAGGTTTTATTTTGTTTGTCAAATTAGATTGATTGGTGGTAATGCCTGGATCACAGTAATAAAATGGAGTGTGAGATTTTGTCCAGCTCAGTGGAAAAGAATGTCATAAGTGAGAAGGAATGTCCGCCATGGAAAAATGATTAGAATATACGGAACATGTGGCATGTGTTTACCAATCACAGTCTATTGTTTATTAGAATAAAAGCTTCTTTAGGACAGAGATAATATGGCTTTTTCTTTCTTATAGTCTACATGGTGCTAAGAAGAGTATCTTGTAAATAATAGATGCTCAAAAATATTTGTTGAATTAGACTGAAATTAAATTCACATGAATCTGAATCTATAAGTCTTTTAAAACTGGAAACTTCCATCTACTCCTTATCCACTTATTTTTATTCTTATATCTATAGTCATGTGTCACTTAACAATGGACATATGTTCTGAGAAATGCATCATTGGGCAATTTCATCATTGTGCCAACATCACAGAGTGTACTTACACAAACCTAGATAGTAAAGCCTACTACATACCTAGGCTATAAAGGATAGCCTATTGCTCCTGGGCAATAAACCTGTAGAGTATGTTACTATACTGAATACTGTAGGCAATTGTAACACAGTGATAAGTGTTTGTTTATCTAGACATATGTAAACATAGGAAAAACACAAAATATAAAGGGTAAAAAAGTTACGCATGTATAGGGCATTTAATATGAATGAAGTTTGCAGGACTGGAAATTACCCTGGGTGAGTCAGTGAGTGAGTGGTGAGTGGATGTGAAGGTGTAGGACATTACTGTATATTTCTGTAGACTTTATGAATACTGTACACTTAGGCTGCACAACATTTATAAATACGTTACTTTCTTCAGTAATAAATTAATCTTAGCTTACTGTAACATTTTTACTTTAAAAACTTTACTTTTTTAAACTTTTTATCTCTTTTGTAGTAACACTTAGCTTAAAACACAAACACATTATACAGCTTTACAAAAATATTTTCTTTATTTATATTCTTATTCTACAAGGCTTTTTTTTCTATTTTTCAATTGTTTATTTATTTTTACTTTTTAAATTTTTTCATTAAAAACAAAGACACAAACACACACACACACACACACACACACACATTAGCCTATGCCTACATAGGGTCAGGATCATCAATATCACTAACTTCTTCCCTCAAATCTTGCCCCACTGCAAGGTCTTCAGGGACAATAACACACACAGAGCCGTCATCTCCTAAGACAGCAATGTATTCTTCTGGAATACCTCCTGAAGGACCTGCCTGAGGCTTGTTTGCAGCTAACTTTTTAATTATAAGTAGAAGGAATACATTATAAAATAAACATAAATAGAATAGTATAGCAAATACATAAACCAGAAACACAGTTATTTATTATCATTATCCAGTATTATGTACTGCACATAACCGTATATGCTGTACTTTTATATGACTGAAGACACAGTAGGTTTGTTTACACTAGCATCACCACAAACACGTAAGTAATGTGTTACATGCTCCAACATTATGACAGCTACAATGTCACTAGGCAATCGGAAATTTCCAGCTTCATTATACTCTTATGGGATTCCTTTCATGTGCATGGTCTGTCATTGCCCAAAACCTCCTTATGTGGCAAATGGTAGTATATTCAAAGTTTTTTTTTGAGGAGTGCTCTGAATCTCTGTGGTTAGTTTACATGTAACAATGAATCTCTTAGAACTATTTACTTCAAAATATGTATTGATTCTCCCTTTTCTGGTCTTTATATTACATAAAGGTATTCACATTAGTATATCCCTTCTGCAAGAGTATAATAGAAATAGTGCCCTGGAGGATTATCATAGTGTGCCAGCCAGAAACTCTGCCTACCAAATGATAGCAAACCCACTGACAAACACACTGAATTGAATTGTATCTTAAACACAAAGAAAGAAGAAAAGAAAAATAAAAAGAAAACAAAAGTAAAGAAAAGAAAAAGAAAGAAAGGAAGAAAAAGAAAGAGGTAGATATGAAAGGGAAGGTGACTAATGTTGCTTTAAACAGAAATGGAGAAAAACTTTCAAATACCGCCATGAACAAAATCTGGGGAACTAGCCAGATGTTCTATGTGATATATTGTTAAAAAAATCAGAATAGTTGGGCTTATACCCCAATATCAAATTTACATGCTTTCTTGAGGAAATGTAAATTATTGCTAAATCATTATTTTACAAATGAAGGAACTGATTGTAGGCCCAGGGCTGAGGAGGAAATATGCTTTAATAATACAAAACTTATATTGTCTCTTCACTTAAAAGCAAGAGTAGAGGAAGCTGGACTGCATTATCTGGGGTCTGTTTCAAACAGCTTTAAGCATCGAGATTTAACTGTTGTATCTGCCTTTGAAGGTTGTCTCCCTATGCCCATTTTTGTAATCCACATTTGGTCCTCAAGGCATTTGAGAAAATGACCTGGTGGGTTCAGCCCTCATCTGCAACAGCCAATTGCACACCTCCCTGTAGATGTACCACGTGTGTCTCAAACTTACCACACCTAGCATTGAACTTGTCCCACCAGGAAATCTGTTCCTCCCTATTCTGTGCCCCACTTCTACTAATGGGATCGCCAAGCTGTCAGTCATCCAGGCACAAAGCTCTATGCTTAGCTTTGGCTCTTCTTTCCTCTTTCATGTTCTACACTCTTCTAGAAGCTCAATAAGTCATATTCATCCTACCTCCTAAGCAAAAGAGTAGAGTCTCTGGGGACCATCAGACTGAAATTCAAGACCCGGTTCTCCAACTGAAGAAGTGTGTGACCATGTGAAAGTTGCTATCTTCTCTAGGCCTTAGTTTTTAAAATCTAGAGTGGAAAGGATACCTCGTAGACTGGTTATCCAGGTTTTCAATGATTTAATGAATGTAAACCACTTGACACCATGTCTTTTGTAAGTTCATTGAAACCCGAGTACAACTGATAATTGCTTCCACTACATATACCTCTATTATTAATGCTGCCACCACCATCCCACCTCCCTTCTCTTTCCTCATTACCAGGACTCTCACTTAGGACCTCAGAATCTCTTTCCAAGGATCTTGCAAGCATCTTCTGCTCTGGTTTCCCTGCCTCAAGCCTGTTGCTTCAGTGTATTTTTCATATGTTTTTCACTGTTATCTTTCTGGTGCTTAGCTCTGACCAAGTCATCTGTGATTTTAAAAGTTTCTGTGTCTTTCCACTCTCATGTCCTCTGCTCCTCTGCCTATGAGAGTCCCTATAGGGTAGGAAAGGACATTCCATGGAAGACTATACGTCTTTGCGCTTACTACTGCCTTGGCAACTACCTCTAATAGAGACTTGAAATTTTCGGAAAAATAAAAACTAGAGTTATAATCAAGATCAAATCTCAGCCTCTTGAAAAGGACTAAAGATGTGGGTCAAAGTCAAAGAAAAAAATCATGCCTTTCTACTAAGGGTGGAAGTGTGTGTATATATGTGTGTGTGTGTGTATGTGTTAGGGAGTAGTGATAATAAATTGCTGATTAAAAATCAGTCTCTTGCTTTAGGGTGCATTTTCTACCCATTTATCCCATGAGATCCCAAGAGTCACAGCAGAAAAACATGGGCTAAATCTTAGGCTAGAGGCAAGAATGTCTTTAATTCTCACATATTCAGCTTAAGTGACAAGGGCAGGTTTTGTAGGCCAAAGCCCTATGGTAATAAACAAGTTGAATTTCACTGGGGGATTCTGGACCCTATTACATCTCTTTCAGGTGTCTTTAGTGCTGGCAGTAAGTATTTGGGGATTCATGGCTTGGGAGTCTTTGTCAGGTGGCTTTCTGATTCATCACAAGCAACAAAGGCATTTTCTTAATTCATTTCAGAGAATGGTCCTGAAGCACTTCCTCTTTGGCAGGCACACAGCACATGGCCTGGGATATAAAGATAAGTAAGGGTCAATCTGTGTCCTTGAAACATTAAAACTTATGGCAGACATAGACACATAAATAATAAAGATGTAGCATGAAGAGTGCTATAAGAGATGAATATATAACTTTCTCTGGAAACATAGATGAGAAAGCAATTAATTCTGTCTAGGAGGAAGGTTATAATTTCCAGGAAAATGAATCAGAATGAATGAAGATAGGGGAGTGAGAATCCAGGGGGTCTAAAGGCATGGAGAAGGCCTGCATGTGGGGGTCACATACCTAAGGCCAAGTGGTGTGGGGAGGGAGGTTGGCCAAAAATTAAAAAGAAATAATTAGTTAACCAAGCCAGATTGATATGCATTGTATGGGAGTATCTTTTTTTTAATTCTGCGGTTTTCGCTGGGTTGTTTGCCCCAGAGAATCTTGCCATTAACTATGGAAGTTTTAGAAATGTTTTACATAGGAAATAACATGTCCAAATCTAATTTATTATTATTTTTTTAATTTCACAAGTTTTTTTTTTTTTTTTTTTTTTTTTTTTTAGAGATAAGGTCTTGCTATGTTGCCAGGGCTGGTCTTGAACTCTTGGCTTTAAGGGATTCTCCTGTCTCAGCCTCTCAAAACCTTGGCATTACAGGTGTGAGCCACAGGAACTGCCTGAAATCTATATTTTTGAAAGATAATATTGGTGGCATACTTGGCATGTACTGCAAGACCACTTAAAAGACTTGCATTAAGGCCAACCATGATGGCTCATGCCTGAAATCCCAGCACTTTGGGAGGCCGAGGCGGGTGGATCATGAGGTCAGGAGTTCGAGACCAGCCTGGCCAATATGGTGAAACCCCGCCTCTACTAAAAATACTAAAAGTAGCAAAGGACGTGGTGGCACCCGCCTATACTCCCAGCTACTTGAGAGACTGAAGCAGGAGAATCTCTTGAACCTGGGAGGCAGAGGTTGCAGTGAGCCGAGATTGCGCCACTGCACTCCAGCCTGGGCGACAGAGTAAGACTCCATCTCAAAGAAAAAAAAAAACAAAACGAAAAGACTTGCATTAAATGAGATAAGATAGGTACGATGAAGAAGACCTGGATAAGGGAAATAATCGTGGGCAGCAAGAAGGAGGATGATGCTACAGAAATGTCAGTGGTATCATTGCACAGATTTGGTGATTGACTAGCTGTGAAGAAGAAAATATCAAGAACGACTCTAAGATTTGTAATGTGGGCAGTTGGGTGGATGGAGATAATGCAAACTACATAGAAAAGGAAGACAAATAAGCAGTTTAGGGAAGAAGATGATGGTTTTGTATGTTTTAATTTGGTGAGCTTTTGTGTACCTTCTTACCAGAAATATTGGGTAAGCCACAGGAAATGGGAAATGTGGAAACAGGCTGGGACTTGGAATGTAGATTTCATACATAGGTGGTCAGCAAAGAGGAGGGCTTTGAAAGGACAAGAATGATGGAATCCAGCAGAGAGAGAATGTAGAATGAGAAGAAAGTTTGGAGCAGAACTCTGAGAGACTCAGCCATTCAAGGGTGAACATTCTTCCTCTGTACCTTTTATAATCTCTTCTCTCAGCTTATGACTTTAACCTCAGCTTCCTGAATCTTTTCATTGAGTTGACATATATGGTGAATTTCATCCAATATTTTATTTCAATAAATGTTACAGCTATTTAAAAAAAATTCTGTAAAAAACGATTTCCTTACCTTCTGCCAATTAAAAATTAGTCTCTTGCATGATGGACTCTTCTGCAGCAGATTTGGAACAGGACATAAATTGAGCCATGATTTCTACACAGGCAATTTAAGTGGGCCATATCCACAGGCAATACTGTAAAAATATGCAATTTGTGCCAGGTACGAAGCAGTGCACAGTGTGAACATACAAACCTCGATTCATTGGTGTTCTGAACGTGAAATCCCTCCATCAAACAGCACTGCCATCTGCTCAGAGGCAACTTTCCTGCAAACCCACCCCAGTACTAGAGAACAATGGAAACGGAGGCAGTTGCTGGGCTGTCTTTTCCTAGACAAAAGACTCAGTATTGCCAAAAGGAGAGGCTGCCCTGCAGCAAATTGCTGTGGCTTCAAGTGTCCCCTTCATCCAGATATCAGGAAACATCATGGGCCTGTGGGGATCTTGAAGAGATGGAAGTATCCACAGTTGAGAAGAAGATCCTTCTTTAGGAGGGGAGGTGTCTTCTGAGAATTCCACATAAGTAAAGTTGAAGCACAGAAAACACCCATAGTAGCTTAATGTCTCATTATAAACATCTCGCAAGAGGCCAGAGTAAATACCCCATGTTGCTATGCCATGGGGCCTTCACCCTGATCTTAAATGTCTTATGATCTGGAGGTCTGGAAGAAGCCAGTACTCATTTGGAAATGGATGGAATATTTTGAAGAACAGCCAAATACTGAATCCAAAGCAAGCAAATATCCATCCCTTCCTAATGGTGCTGGATGGGGCACAGAGGCAGGAGAGCCGTGCAATGGTATTTCATGTGCTCTTGCCAAAAGCCAGAGGCTTTTTTTCCTCATTTATTTTAAATCATCCTCTCCAAACTCACCTCATAGTTCAGACTGCCAAAGCCCTTAAGTTCTAGTGGTCTGCTTTCCTTTTCTCACACCCTTCTAAAACATATTGTGGTGTTTGATCTCATGCCAAAGATTGACCACTGGGGAAATATGGAAATGGAACCACTCAGTATTTTATAACCAGAAGGGGAGAGGGGGGCATATGATTCCAACAGTGTTGCCTACCCAGACTATTGCAACTGGTTGTTTGAAACCTCTGTACTTCCAGAGAAGTGCATAGAAGTATAAAGGAAGAGGAATAAAGAAGCTTGTAGAAGTCCCACCCATAATTGTATCATCCTAAAGAAACCATTGTTGCTATTTAATCTTGCTGTCATTTTAATTTTTGTTTCTAATGGAGCTCATATATGCTAATTATTTCCTTTACTATATGTACATTTTACCAAATATTTAAAACTACAAAACAAAGTGTTTGCATTTTATTCTCACAACAGTTAGATATTCCCATTATATAAATAATTTTATAAATTCAGAGAGGTTGGATGACCCACTTAATGTCACACAGCTAACGAATAATCAGGCTGGAATATGAACATAGGTTCCCTGGCTTCATGTCTACAGTTTTTCTCACTACAAACAGAGCTGCAAGATTTTTTCTTTCTTCTTTTTTTTTTTGCTGGAGTTGTTCAGTGTTAAACAGCCTAAATTTCAAGCAGCATGTGAATGGACAATGCAGCCTGGACAGATTAGTATCCACAGGTGTTGAGATTCAGTGATAAAGCTCTGGCTTCCTTGACCTCTGCAGACTTGGTTCCAGAATAGTGTTCCCGCTTTCTTAAAGGAGATAATCCAGCTTGTTTAGGTCCCCAATTTCCTATCAGTGGGTTGCTGAAAAGCTTTCCCTTGTGGGTTGTGATGCAAACTGAGTGCAAGATTCACACTTCATATTGAAAATAGGTAGAAAATAGCTAGTGGACTTTTTGAAGAAAAGTGTATTGCCTTTGTTTTATGAGCTGTAATTTGTACACTCTTAATTCTAGATCTTGTTGAGTTTTTCAATCAATTGCTATGGTTGACCCGCGTTCGACAGTTTGATCTCTGATGTTTGTTTGTTTGCTGTACCCTTGTTTTCTTGGATTTAATGCAAGATTAAAAATAAGCTTTAAAACCATAAACAGAATTTACTTATTTATTTTTCAAAAGTAAAAGTGCTTCCAGACCGAGATAGGATGTCTTGTTCCAAGTTCCAGTCAAGGCTACATTTTTTTGTAATTGAGTTATGACTCCACAATTGCTGTATTTTATGAAGGGAAATTCAGAAATCACCCTCCCATATCATATATTATGAATATATTTTTCATAAAAAAGTTAACTACCTACTTCCTCCCTGGAATATCACTGGGGTACTCATCATGTCTCATTCGAATTGTTGAAAACCACTGATGAGACCATAAGCACTTCCAAAACCTTTTCCTGTTCTGGCTCAAAGTTTCTCCACTGAAGTTCTCAGTGGCAGCTAAAAATGTGCCTTTCATCATTCAGCATCTAATTTGTGTCTACCAGAAAACGTTGTATCTCTTAACAACACACTCTGTTTTGAACAGGATTTACTGAAAAAGAGATATAAAGGCACTTTTCCTTTTTGCTTTCCTTTCATTATGAATCTATAACCCAGAAACATGAGTTCCTTCAAATCCTGCTCCAGGTAAAATAATCAAACTTGGACCTATGGTTTGTAACCATTTTTTCCCACTTGTTAAACTTTCTCAATTTATGGCCAAGATATTGCACATAAATTCATATATAAATTACATAAATGAATTAATACTAAAGCTTGATGACTTTTCTAATTATAAAAAGAATATATTTTATTGTAAAATATTTAACAAATATAGAAAAATAAAAATAAAATCGCCAATAATCCTAGCATCTATAAAAATCTGCTAATAGTTTGGTTTCTTTGCTTCTAGTTTTTTAAATGTGCTTGTGGTAGGTGTGAGCACATGTTCAGAATATAACACTGCATATACATTTTTATATCTTGTTTTTTCACATAGAACTATCATGTAGGCATTTTAACCGCATAAATTTAATTGCTGATGGCTTAATCGAGTACATAATTCACTTAGGTATTTTCTCCTATTATTGACTACTTAAGTTGTTTTTGCACATTTAACTTAAATGATATTTTGTTAATTTAGAACTAAATACAGGAACTATTGGCCACTTATGATCAGATTTGTTTATGTTAATGCAAAGAATATTCATTGGTTTAGCCAAATGTAAAAAACAGCCAATAAATATCAGAAACCTTTCGTTTTATGTTGTTTTGATCATTGTCCCTATTAGGAGACAATGGTTAAAAATTGGATTTGAAGTGAAAACTGTCCTATATTCTGATCTTGGTTTAGATATTGTCCTTCAATATGTTAGGTATTAGACCTTAAGCAGGTTATTAAAGTTCTCTATGCTTCTACAAAACAAAGTTCATGATAATACCTATTTGATAAAGAAATCGTGATGGTTAAATGAGATAATGCATGTCACGGGGCTTTTAGTTAGGAATAAGGTACAAGAAACATACATACATAACACAAAACAGCATCACCAGTGCTAAGGTATGATGAGTATCAGGTCTTATGGGACTAGACAGAAGAATCACCTACCTCAGACAGGAAAGGCAGGGGCAGGGCTCAGATTAGGAAAAGCTATTTGATAAGTAAGTAGGAAGAATAGTTGGGAGTAAAAACGGAGTTAAGTGTTTCCCAAAGGGCCGAAGAGGAGCAAGAAACAATTTTATATGGGGAGGGCTTAGGAAAAGAGGCATGAGATAGGAGTGCAATAAAGACAGTTGCCCCAACCATATTAAGATGAGAATAGGCACTTAGGATATATAATGAGTGGGAAGCACCACAGACTTTGATATCATCTATGAGGATCAAGACTCTAGATGACAGGATTAATAGCCATGTACAATGTAGTTGATAGAACCACTATGATTTCTACTCATAGTTCCTATGGAAAAGTAGAGAAAAGTTTTTACCTATGGTCCTAAGAACCAATATAACTACTTTTATATTTTGTTATTTTGGGGATACTTTTCTATACGTGATTACTTTTATACGGTGTGATAATTCTGTGTATATAATTTTTTATCATTTTTTCCCAACTTCATATTACACTAGGAACATTTCCCCATATTCTTACCAACCTTTCAGAAACGTCATTTTAATAATTATGTAATACTCCAATATAGAGATTTATCACAATGCATGTAACTTTTCTCCTGATTTAACTTCTAAGTCTGTTACAGTTGCTTTCTATTGTTAATGTTAGAGTAATCACATTTTTCATTTTTATTCACTTTTTACCTTAAGTCCTTAGGTTAGATACTAAGGAGCTAATTATTGTGTTAATGGGAAGGGTTGTACCCAATGCTTCTGGGGTCCGTGTCAAGTTCCCCCTACCAGTCTCTCATTTTATTTGTGGCTGGGATGGTTCATTCTAACAATTAGGCTCATTTTACATTGACAGCATCTCACCTTAAGTGTGCTGCCCAGCTTGCTTTTCTTTAACCAACACTAGGAAGCTCACAGGTGCTTTCTTGGCCTGTGCACACATGATGTTCAGCAGTGTAGGGGATCGAGCATTCCTAAGAGCAACCCTTGACCAAAGGCTTGATGTTGGCTGATGTCATTATAAATGTCCCCATGACTTTTGGATAGAAAATTTAGGGTAGCATTTTGTATACTTCTTGGGAAGTTCTAGCAAAGTTGATTCCCCATTTCTCACAGTGGGAATCTTGATATTGTACTTACAGTATGCTTTTTCTTCTTTCATTGTCTCACTCTTCCTAGTCCTTCATTTTTGTTCTAAGGAATGACTCTCCTGAACATATTTTCTTGTCAAACGTGGAAAAACCCATGCTAAGGCAAAGGGATCATAATATACATGTTGCAAATCTTGCTTTTAAAGTGTTAATCATTCCTCATACATTTGTTCTATTAAAATCTTATTTGTTAGCTTCCCCTGAGGGTGGAGCTCCTCAATGAAGAGTATACCTTGAGTGATATCTCAACAATGACCACCAATCTTATTTCATCCAAGTACCAACAATAGTGATTTATCTTTTTCAAGTTGAGTTGTACCTAGGCTCTAAATACAACAAGAGCTAAGATAAGTAATACATTAGGAGCTCCCACTGCACCAGTGGATGATGCCTGCAAAGTCCGTTGCTACATGCTCAGAGTCCAATGCCTGTAGGAAACAAAACACAGTGTTTTTACAAACGTGGTGTCCCAGGAACCCGACCTACCATCTGCTTTGAATTTTTGAATCTTACATTCCACCCTGGCTCTGTATTATTCATGGAAGCCAGAACCCTACAGAAAACTGAGCAGTTCCTTGAGCCTTCCTCCTTTTTTTCATGGCCCAGTGAGTTCCCAGTGCTACTCCTGGGCAGTATTCTGCTTGTGTGTTCTTCAACATGATTTCATCCACACTTTCCTAATCCATGATTTCTGCTCATATCTGATTCAGGACTCCTGTTACTGACAGTCACCTATATG
The DNA here is from genome assembly GCF_000001405.40 of Homo sapiens. Classification (NCBI taxonomy): domain Eukaryota; kingdom Metazoa; phylum Chordata; class Mammalia; order Primates; family Hominidae; genus Homo; species Homo sapiens. Next base: position 60,408,747 of record NC_000001.11, on the reverse strand, counting down.
AAATACATTAAGCACAAGGTTAGAAGACTGTCAAAACAAAGTTTAGTGATAAGTCCTAGAGATCTCATGTACAGAATAGTGCCTATAGTTAACAAAACTGTATTGTATACTTAAAAATTTTCCAAGAAGATGGATCTTAAGTGTTCTTATAAAAAATAAATAAGAAGGCAACAGAAAACTTTTGGAGGTGATAGATAAGTTTATGGCATAGATTATAGTGATGGCTTCACAGATGTCTACTTATTTCCAAACCCAAATTATATACATTGAGTATGTATAGATTTTTGTATGTCAATCATATCTCAATAAAGTGGTTTTTAAGAAGGCTTAAAAACAAGTTTAGAGAATGTAGAACAGATAAAGATGGAACAGAGATAAGGACTTGGGTGAAAAATTAAGTTGCAGAAGTTCAAAAGTGAAAATTCCTGGATCCCAGGCATGAAGTCCCTTTGATATATACTTTGTGGCATTAGTGTCAAACTTTCTTCACCAATGGGCTCTTGAGAATGAGGTTAAGAGGCACATCTTTGTAGGGGTGTCCAAAATGCTCCACGTTAAGATAATTTCTGGAGGGCAGCTAGAAGTTATACATAATACACTTCACATTTTACAGAATAAAAGGTCATGCATAATTCACTCACACCTTCTCACTGTACTCCCCAAGATGAAAAATCTTAATGCTTTCACTCCATCATTCATTTAAGACCTGCTCAAGAGAAGAAGCCACACTCTTTATGGAGATGCCTCTCATCTGATAACACTTTGTTAAATTGCAGGCATGTCTCCTTGCTGTTACCTGACCACCCTGAATTATTCATAATCAGAACTTAAAACTGTTTGTTTATCTAGAAATTCAACTCTTGCCTTGCATAGCCTATGTAATTTACTGTGTACTTTAGAGACAATAGCATTATTTATTCTTCCAGAATTACCTGAAGTCCATACCGTTTATCCATCACAGCTTGCAAGTATGTTCACTGTTTCTTTGATTGCTTTTATCTGATTATTTTTCAGCTTCCTTTCCTCCAGTGACTAATACGCAGGAAAAAAAGAGTTTCAGTTGTCATTCTATAATGGGTAATCCCAAACTTGTGATGTTCCCTGCTGCCAGTGGAATTCTCACTATCATTAATTCATTTATTTAGCAAGAATTTACTGAGTGTTCTCCCAGGAAGAATACAGTAGTGAAGAAAAAATAACTGTGGTCCCTGTGAAGTTTGAAAGTAGTATAGAAATTTGGGAACCCCAAAAGGGAAACTTATCCCCCTAAATACATGGGATAACCATCAAGGGGTTGATATGCTCCAGTAAGTTTTAGGCAGAAAAAGAGGGTTTCTAGTCATGTTGGGGAGAAGGAACAGTTTCTTCCTATTTTTTGTATGTTGGATGTCTCTAGGATTTTGGACAATCACTTCATTATCCTATGTCTCATTTTGTCTTAAGTATAAGAGGAAGATGATAATTTTTATTTCAAAGAACTAAATTCTATGGAAAATTTTTATCATAGAACTAAATTCTATGATAAATTTTATTTCATGATTAAATATGTATATAGTGCTCAGCACAGTGAATAGCACACTCAGAAATATTAGTTATTGTTGTGGTTGTTACTGATGCAACAAAGAACCTTGGGGTTTTAGTATTTTGAATTTAGGATTCAGGTACACAGTTATTATCCATGAGTTCTGCCTAGAGGTAACATAATATTGGCCTTGTGGTCAGCTAAGGGAAAAGCTGGATACAGATGTGAGGATGAGAGCCTGAATACAAGCAATTCAGGAGAATGGAGAAGGTAAGTGCTAGAAAGATGTTATGAGAGAAAGCTCACCTATCCAAGAGTTGTTAAGCAAGATCTTATAGGATGTGACATCCCGAGTTGAGCTTCAGAGAATAAGAAGGGCTTAGCTGGGAAGAGAAGGGAGATTATAACTGTTAAGGAAAAGAGTAAAGTGTTTGAGAAACAACAAATAACTTATTCTAGCTTTAGTATAGGATATAGAGTACCCATTACATTTTGGGAAATGGTGAAAGAAGATATTAGAGAGAAAACAGGGGCTATATATGTAGAATCTTATATAAAAATTATTAGGGGAGGTAACTAATACTAACAATTCCATGATATCAATGGGTTAACCTAAATAAGTTTACTTCTCAATAATTTAACAATTTAATGTAGATAGCCTATGAACTCATAGAATCTTCCAGATAGTGCTCTAGCAACCCAGGTTCTTTCAATTTTGTCATTTCATCATCTTTAGATACCTTAAAGTATTGGGGTATTTTGCTAAATCATAGACTTCTGGGGTTAGAATGCCATTCTAGAATTAAATACTCCAAGCCATCATTTCCCAAATTGTGTGCTGAGGCAACCCAGGGTGCTGCAGCCTCCTCAGAAAGGCATTTTTCTAAATTTCAAGAAAAACACAATGATGCTTCACATCTTTCAGAGAGCATGGCAACTACCACCTCGAGATAGTTTAGAATTTTAACACCAAATCACAATATATTCCTTTCAATGAGGTCACATCTTTGCATAGCTAGGATTTTTATTAAAAACCAAGCAACAAGTGTGTGTGGGCAACGGGGTACGTGAGAACTCTCTGTACTTTCTGCTCAATTTTGCTGTGAACCTAAAATGACTCTAAAAACAGTATGTTAAAAAAAAGAAACAAAACCTAACATAACGTGAAAATCAATGTGAAACAGGGAGTGAAGGTGATAGCGCAGTCTTTTTCCAAAGTTGAGAGGTTATATGGAGTGTCCAAGAGGTACATGCTTCCTATTCATAAGTAATTTTGGTTACGTAAAAATGAAATAAAATATTTTTCTTTATATGTAACTTTTTTTTCAAAAACTTTTTCAAAAAGTTACTCAGTAGTTAGGATACAAATACTTGTTAATTTGTTTTTACCCAACTACATAATAAAATTATTAAGTATTTCTTTGGGCTGTGAAAAAAATTACTCTGATACTAAATGTGCCATGAACCAAAAACATTTGGAAGACTCTCTATTAAGCTGTATTAAACCCTTTTAGAATTAGAAGTCTGTGTGACATACTCCTTTTAATCTTTCTACCTTAATTAAATTTTGTACTTTTAATATTTACTATTGCCTTTTATTTCAGTGTTCTTTTTAAAAATTTGTATAAATTTAAGGGGTACAAGTGCATGAATTGTTACATGAATATATTGCATAGTGGTGACCTCTCAGCTTTTAGTGTAACCATCACCCAAATAATGTACATTGTACCAATTATTCAATTTCTCATCCTTCACCCACTTCCCACCTTCCCACCCTTCAGAGTCTCCAATGTGTATGATTTCACACTCTGTCCATGTCTACACATTATTTAGTGCCCACTTGTAAGTGACATTATGCAGTATTTGATCTGTTTATGAGTTATTTCACTTAGGATAATGGCCTCTACTTCCATTCATGTTGCTGCAAAAGAAATGGTTTCGGGCCGGGCGCGGTGGCTCACGCCTGTAATCCCAGCACTTTGGGAGGCCGAGGCGGGCGGATCACGAGGTCAGGAGATCGAGACCATCCCGGCTAAAACGGTGAAACCCCGACTCTACTAAAAATACAAAAAATTAGCCGGGCGTAGTGGCGGGCGCCTGTAGTCCCAGCTACTTGGGAGGCTGAGGCAGGAGAATGGCGTGAACCCAGGAGGCGGAGCTTGCAGTGAGCCGAGATCGCGCCACTGAACTCCAGCCTGGGCGACAGAGCGAGACTCCGTCTCAAAAAAAAAAAAAAAAAAAAAGAAATGGTTTCATTATTTTTTATGGCTGAATAGTATTAGTATTTTCTTTATCTAATAATCTGTTGATGAACATTTAAGATGATTCCATATCTTTGCTATTGTGAATAGTGCCAATGGGGAACTAATATCCAGAATATACAAGGAACTCAAACTGCTGCTATTTTTAAAGCAAAAGCCATGCTGTGAATGATATACAGTCTACAAAATTTTGCTCCTTTTGCTTGTACCATACAATTCAGCACTTAATTTTATATTTCTATTTTTAAAAATGTTTACATTTTCTATTGCTATCTGTACTATATAGCCCTTGTAGGCATAGAGGTCTCATGTTCTTGTATCTGTGTGCATATATCATAAATCAATTTATTCTAAGCATAAGAAAAATTAGATACATACACGTTGCTCTGTTAGTAATTGTTATCTCTAGAAGAGTTATTTTATAAATTTTAAGTGGTCAGATTAGGAGTTGGATGTATTTTATTTTTCTGCCTGTTTCTTCAACATTTTTCAAATAGACAGTTTTTAGAGACACTCTGCAAGGAGTGCTTCTGGCATAAAGATTTGTGATAGCAGAAATCAAGCCAAATTTTATTTGGCAATATCTGTGCGACAGGCATTGTGTTACCTGCTTTAATGTAGTATTATTTTATTTACTTCTTACAACTGTCCGAGGAGGTATTTTTTTTTCCCACAAATAAGGAAATGGAAGTTCAGTTCAGAACTCCTGGATTCTTGTCTGGTTACATGAAAGTTTTAAAACTCAAGCTCAAGCTAGTCACAAAAACACATATAATTCAATTTCTATAAGATATCCAGAATAGAGACGAGAAAGATTAATGGTTGCTTGGGACTGCATGCTGAGGCATAGGCATAGTGGTGGGGGTAAGGGTAGCTGGGGAATGAAGGGTGTTTGCCCATCCATATGGGTTTCTTTTTGGGATATACCTGTGAATATATTAAAATTTGGTAAATTTTACATTATAAAAAGTGGAATTTTATGGTATGCAAATTTATCTTAATAAAGCTATTTAAGAGAAAATAAAACAAACAAACTCAAGCTCTCTATTGTTTAAGCCTGAAGGACAATTTAGTAATGAACTTCTGTTACAACCTAATCCAAAGGATTCAGTAGGATCCCAGAAAATGCTTCAAGGCAATAAATTCTACATGGGAAGGAGTATTCCTTATAGGATTATTCACTCCTCCTTAAAATGTATCATAGCACCTCCTAAAATATAATTAAAAACTGGGAAATTATGAGTGCAGTATGGCTAGGTAAGGGAGGTCCTTTACGTCAGTGCACCCCACATCTAGCATAAGGCCTGTCACATCATGTCTTCTCAACAAATACGTGTACAATTGAAGTTGCATCAGTGACATTCAGTAACAATAGTCTATTCCTGGGAAAAAGAATCCTTTTATAGAAAGAATAGCCTATTTTCCTTAGATGATTTGAAAGAAGCACATTGCCCATTTGTGTTTTCATGTAAGTTTTTGGGAATCTCCTTTGTCATTATGGTTTAATTACCATGGAACCCCTAATCCAGGCCAGAAATTCCTCGCTACCCACATTTCTTTCTACTTCAGAATGTGTATCTAATAGCAACCAATTACTTTTCCTATTTTCTCACTTGGAATCTGTTTTGGGAGCAGGGAATTGCTATCTTATAAAATCGGTAACATCTGTGACGAAGGGCAGCTGAGTGGGGCAAGGTAGCGGGCTAGACAGATTTCCTGAGTGGTAAGGTTCTTTTCCTCCGCAGGGATTGCTCCAGGACAGTTACTTGTAAAGCCTTCTATGGCTTTTCAAAAGTCTTTCCAACCCTTCAGCCCCCCTTTTTCTCTAAGGGGGAAGAAAAGAGTTTTGTGTTTAAGAGGTCAAGTGACTTAAAGGAACGCTTCCAGCCTTCTGAAAAGTTTCCGTTTCAAACACATGAAAAATAATTCTGAAAGAACAACCCCAACTCTGCTTAGCTTCCAGGTATGGCTTTGATTTCCATGCTGGCATGCATCTGCCCCTCACTATTTTAGCTGGTCTTCCAAGAAGTCGGGCTTGGTGCCTGCACACTGGTGCTTTTTTACGTTTGGCCACAGCAGACCTAATGCTGAAGTTGGAGCTTTAAAGATTAGAAACTGCATTATTCTTATAAGCATCCTTATGCTACATGGAAATGAGTCTTTTATCATTTTCAGAAACAGTTTTGTACTTGAGAAACATATCCAAGATGCAATGGTGTTGGATGATTTTAAGAAAACAAGGGAAAAGAAATGATCCTTTAAAATGTATTAAATAATTTGTTTTAGATTCTTTTCCCTTATTCTATTCTCTCTCTCTCTCTCTTTTTTTTTTTTTGTTTTAAACAGAAGTCTCTTCTGTATTCTTTGGCTTAACTGGTGCCTTGATACATCTGCAATTTTCAGATAAGGCAAATTCAAGGGTGAAAAAGATGGTTTTATTTTGGGGGAACTAATTTTGTTGTTGTTGAACAGCCTCTCTGCTCTTTGAGCAGACAACAAAAGTGTCATTATCTGGATGTGGGAGCTGCTGATAAATTATTCATACCACTAATGATGATGCTGAATCTTCCTGGGGAATGCTGTGACTTATTTTTCTTTTCCTTAAAAGATGAAACCAGTTGTGTAGGCATGTCTGGCACACATGCATGCTTGAGGCAATCAGGTGTGATGTATTCCTGACACGCATCCTTTTCCCGCCATTCTCCAGGCGTGGGTTTTAAAATCAAATCCTCTGGATATTTGGCCTTCTTTTGTGTAATAGACATAAATTTTTAGATAAATTCACCAGCTTGAAGGAGAAAGAACTAACCCATAGCTACTTGTGATTAAGAATTTGACACCGTGGATCACATTAGTATCTTAATTGCTGGTTGCAGGTGCATATGCCTTTGAAAATGCCGAAATGTTGCAAGCTTGGACAATATAAATAAAAAGATAGGGACACTGTGCTATTGAGGTGAAACTCAATAGTCTTTATTGAGAGCATATTCTATGCTAAGTCCTTAGTACACATTATCTCATTTAATCATCATAACAGTCTTATTTTGCTAACAAGAAAACAGTCTAAAATAGGTTGAATAATTTTTCTGAGTCACTCAGGTAGTAAGTGATGAAACTAAAAGTAGAATCAAGAATATTATGCCAAACCCCATGCTATTAACCATGCAACTGTTTTCTAAGTGCCTACTATATGGCAATCAGAATGCTAACTGTTGGGAGTATAAAGGCAAGTAAGTCATTGCTCCTGCCCTCAGGGAGTTTACATTTGGAACTCATATACTTTGATTATATTATTCATTCGTTGAAAGATAGATTATATTACTCATTCGTTGAAAGAACGTTAATTGAGTGTCTGTTTCAGTGCTGTGCAATATATGGGATGGTGGTTCTATCTTCAGAAACAAAACTTGGGACATGCCATCTGGCATGGATTATGAATAATGAGATGGGATGTAATGGAATGGAATATTTCAATTGAAATGTTTTGGCACTGCTTGTAGAGAGGAAAAGGGGATAAAAGGGCTGGGGAGCTAGATATGAAGAAAAGGGAAACTATGAAAACTGAAGGAATAGCTGTCTTAGGGTTTCTCTTTTGAAGAACACGAGGCCATGTCCAGAAGAGATGGATGTTGTCCGTCTCTGGAAGCCTCATGCTTCATATAAACTCTTCATATGGGCTCAAGACTGGCAGGTAGAGAAGCTGGAGGACAGTAGAATTCCTAGCTCTGCCCGTGCCTTTTGTTGCTGAAAACCTGACAGTTGGTGAGCAGAGAACCAATAAAGAGACAAGCAGAGGAATTCCAATTTTCTCAGCTTAGGACATAGGTGGAGTAGGTTCACCTAGGAGTGTAGCAGAGAGGGGTGTAAAGGTCGGGCTTATTACAACCTCTCACTCACTTCTTCCTATGCCATGTGGCTAGAAAAGGCAATTATTCTGTTTGATTTGGGCATTGTGTATGATCTTTCTAACAGGCATTTGTTTTGTAGGAAAACTGTTGAATTAGCTTTGTATAAATATAGTTGTTTTTACCTTTTGATCATAAGAAATGTCACTTTCATTTGAAGACCATGTTTTAGGTTCCAGTTTTTAACTTTTACTCTCCCATGGTTTTTCTTGGAATACAAGGCCAGTGGTGTCATTCAATGATAAATTATTGAATAAGAGGGTGAGAAATCTTTTCTTTGTGGTCTCTTCTACACTAGTGTATCATTAGTCAAACTAATCTTCTCAATGAGATATAGAAAATTAGAAGGAAAATATCTCCCTTGTTCTCCCAAGGAAGGCAGAGAAATATGGAGATCAAAAAATTAGGAGCATTTGTCCAACAAATCTTCAGAAGCAGTTGGAGGGGAGGCAACTTTGCTTTAACCCAAAGATAGGCAAATTCATCTTTGGATCTTCCTTGTGTGTGTCTAGGTATTGGTAAGGAAATTAGTTCAATTCATTAGATTTTGATTGATTATCCACTGTGCGTTGGATCTCAGCAAGGTAACACGTGTGTCAATTAGGGTAGGCTAGGTTCTGCTGCAATAACAAACAATCTTCAAATCTCAAGTGAGCGAAACCAAATATTGATTTCACACCCAACGGACATTTCCAAAACATGTTGACATCAGACGTTTGCTCACCACAGTCACTGAGAGATCCAAGCTGAAGAAAGCTGTACCTGGATGTGTGTTTCTACAGTGGCTGCAACAGGAAAATATGTCATGGCTCAGTCTCATTGGATCTCGAAGCTTCTTTCCACAGGGGCCACATATTACTTATGCTCCTATTGCCTGCACAAAGGAAGCCATTTCTAACTTCAAAAGGGTGGGGAAGTAAAATCCATGTGCTTGGAAGGAAAACTAGAAGTATTTGGTAAGCGATTTTAAAGATTACTACCTAAGCAAACTGCCCTCCCACAACATAAAACTCATATCAGCTATAGGATGAAGAAAGTCAGGTACATGTGGTTCCAGCTCACCTCCAAAAAAAGAAAACTGAAGCTTTGGAGGGAAAGGATGTGCAAAAGTTTGGTTGATTGCTTTTATTTTTCATTAGCTTTCAGAAAACACAAATGAAATCCTCAATTTATCTATTTATTTCTTGTTGAGCTAACATGTCATACGGTTAGAAACTAGGTGAGAACAGTGCTAGAGGATTTACATGTATTATATTTCTTTTAATCCCCTCAAAATCTTTCTGTACTATGTTCTATTTTTATATATAAATAAAATAATATATTCATAAATATTTTACTAATATATATTACGTATAATAGTATAGTGTTAATTATATCATAATTATACCACTTTATATTATTATATTATATGTTATATAATAACTTGGTAGTGATGGAAATAATATTATATAATGTTATTCAGTAAAATACTACATAGTACTATTACATACTATATAATATTATATAATATTATTTCCATCACTCCCAAATTTTCCTTGTGCTCCAATCTCCCCTGTCCTTGCTTTATTGGCAAAGAAATGAAAGGCAAAATGTTCAGTTATTCATTGCTCATTACATATTTTTTTAAAGAATCTGTACACCAGGTACTGGGCTACTTCCTGGGAATGCATGGATTAAAAGACCTGGCCTCTGCCTTCAAGGAGCTTACAATATACTTGAAAGGCAGTCATGAAATAAACATCAAAAGATTTCTAGCTTTGCAATGTGGCAAATCGACTAATGCAAAATGCATTTCATTATAAACTAGAAATTCTGGAGAGAATCAGTGACAAAAACCCAAATCAAGGTTGGAATAAGTTTGCCAGGCATTAATCATATTAACGTTTTATCAGACAGAAACTTACTCTGTTGATCTTGTATCTTGATTTTGTATACTTCAAACAAGATTCAGTTTCAACATATACTTTTAGTCATTCTGAGACACATCTTTCTGTCTTTATGGGTGTTATGTGAAATACATTGAGGAATAACTTCCACATCTCAAAAGACTGTTCTTTTAAAGAACTGGGCTTAAGACCCCAAGGCTTAGTAAACACCTCAGCAGTGGGTAGAGTGTATGCATATGAGGAGCAAAAACACAGAGTAAGAGACATATCTCCCCCACCTTCTCCAGCTTTACAGAATGAATCGAGGGTGCAACATTTCCTCATTTCTTGAAACCAAGCTTGACATCAAATGTGCCTGCCTTCACTGCTTTCAGAAATAATTAGGTGTTGAAAGCTCTGACTAGAAGGATTAGAGATATGAATACCAACTTGACAGATCAAATCAAATACATTCTGATTTGATTGCATTACTAAGTCAATTATTATTTCTTGTCACATTAATTATGGCAAGAGTTATAAAATGTGTCTTCCAATAATTCCCTACCTAAATCATTATGGCCATATTCTTGTGGTGAATCTGTATAAGGTCAAGGCTACACATTCATGTTCACAATGCAGGAGGGACTAGAAGGAGGGAAGAATTTTTATATTTGTCTATTCATTTATTTAATATTTAAGCACCTATTCTGTATGAGGTATTGGACTTAGTTATAAATGTTGGGGATACAAAAATAAAAAGATTCAGCCCCTGCTACCTTCAAGGAACTCACAGTTCAGAGAGTGAGGCCGACCCAAGACAGACAAGTCTATTTGACAATGCAGGAGGGAGGGAGGGGAAAGGAGGCATAATAGGAGAATGGAGAGAGGGTTAATTCTGCTGGCATATTCAGAGAGGTCTTCACAGAGGATTTTGTTTGGATCTCATGTTATTTTTGCATCAAGCCTACCCAGAAACTAGGGGACTACTTGAAAACTAATGAGGATAATGTTTTGAAAAATAATAGTTATTTGTGTGGTAGATGCTTAGTAGTCTAAAGGTAATGCTTTCTGATTAGAGTTGAAAGAGACTAGAAGATACTGTGCTGAACAAGGTCATCGCTTATAGAAAAAATGGCCCAAGAATGTAGTCCAAGCATGCATCAAGGCCTAGAGAGCAATCGCATTGTCACTCTGCTCCCAAAAATACATGCGCCTAACGTTTTTAAATGAGACTAAGGAATACTTGATGTTGAATCAAAATATAAAGGTTTACTTTGGTATATGAGTGTGCACTTACATGTATACCTGAGTTGGGCACAGTGGTTGAGGTGGGGACAAGCTAGGAAGGCATGAAAGTCCCTTCCATGAGCCAAATACATAGCTAAGCACATTCAATGGCCCTTAGCTCACTTAGCCCTCATGTACTCCTCTTGAAGAAGATAATATTCTCAATCACTTGCAGATAAGGAAATTGAGAATTAGAAGGGATGGGTAACTTACTTAAGATTAAACAACTAGTATATGGCAGTGTTCAGATTCACACTTGGTTGTCACTGATTTAAAAAAAAATCATTCCATTGTGACTATGGTGCAACTTTAAATCTAGACACTATTTTTCCCAAGGTGGATCAGAGTAAGTCAATAACTTTCTCAGGATCATAAAGAAACTTAGTGGCAGAGCTGGAACTTAGACTCCAAACACACAAGCTGCCTCCAAGTAATTTTATTCTCTTTTCAAACTAGGTATTAAGCCACAGTATGTGGTCCTGCACATCTTGTAATCTACATATATATAGTATATAAAGTGAGTGATACAGATCAGACCCAATAGTTTTGGAATGAGCAAACTGCTGTATCTAGTAAGTTTACAAGGATTCAACATGAGGTCAAATTTCAGACACTAATCTCACTTGTTTAATGGAAAAAAGTGGAGGAAAAAGAAAGAGAATCAATTAAGCACTGTGCTAACAACAGCAACAAAAATAGTTACAATAGCTACCATGAATATGGTATTTATTATAAGGCATTATAAGCATTTTATGTGGATTAACATATGTAATCTTCAAACAACCCTATGAATTAGGTTCTATTACAATTCTCATTCTACTGAAGTTGAAAATGAGGAGCAGAGAGGTTAAGTCTCTAGCCCTAGGTCACAAAACTGAAAAATTCTATTCTCAGCATTCTAACCCAGGCAGTCTGGCTCCAGAGCTCCTGCTTTACAAATGTTTTCTTATTTAACATTGGATGTGATTATATGAAATATTTTTATTGCCAATTTCCAGATGAGGAAGGTGAGGCTCAGAGAAGGGGAATGAAATGCCCAATGACTCACCAAGAGCAATGGGCAAAAAGAGGATTTTAAACCCATGACCCTGTGTTTGTTTGGGGTACTAGTAGCCTGTTAGACCAGAAGTATTAAAAAGGACCCTTGGGTATCAATAAGATCCTCATAAGACTGATGTGGCAGAAGACATGAGGTGGACTTCTCTTGAATCTACTAGTCATTGGTTGATTGAATCTGCTTGTTCATCCCCTGTTGTTCCCAGTTCATTTCAGCTTTTGGAATTGATTATTTCAACCACCGGGTAAGTCCCACCTGTTATCTGAATTATTCTCAACCCAAACAGACCATGTCATAGAAGCCTCACACGCACCAACATGTAAGAACTAGAATTTATCTTATTCCATTTAAGAGGCAGCCATTGTATAAATACTATACTCTAGAACTAACTGCATTCGTTCAAATCCTGATTTTTCTTATTTTTGTCTGTACTACCTCAGGTAAACTATTCATCCTTTTATATATCTGTTGAAGAAGATGATAACAGGACCCTGCTCCTATGGTTGTTATAAAGATGCATATACTAATTCATATACAGTGCTTGGAACAATACCTGGCACACAGTGGGTATGCCATACTTTGCAGCTTTTGCAGCCAGGGATCCAGCATTCTAGGAAGCAACTTTTTCCTGGTGCCCATTACAATTAAGGGTGCAATCCCACTTCTAGCCATCTCTTCAAATCCTGATCTGACCCCCAGACCACTCATAGAATTATCACGCACTGCCTAACGCTTGCTAGCCCCTTCTCAAATCTTGCTTTCTGGGTGCCTAGGCCTTTGGCTGGGACACGATGTCACATAAAATTTCCCATTTGAAATAGTTATGATAGGGCCATCCTCGTGACTTTAAGGATCCACACAGATTTGCGATCTCCGTGGATATCAAAATGAGAGATGACGAAGCCTGAGCTTTCATACCTCACTGGGCACCATCTCGCTGACTCTTGGATCCACTCAAACAAGAGGCCAGTACTGTGCAATATCACTGCACATCTGCTCTAACCTGGCTTCCTCCACTTTCTCAGCACCTGCTCCAACATACAAGTCTTACTTGCTGCTGAATGTATATGAGTTATATACTGCTTAGAGTATGTTGAGAACCAGCCAAAGACCGTCTAGAAGAATATTTTTTCTGGTGTTTTAGCCCTGGACCTCTTTAATCCAATATTTTGAATAAAACATTTCAATATGTGGGTAAGATTATAAAAGACATGTGACTAAGATCTAAGGAGATGTCTTATGGTAAATCCATGTACTAAATAGAGATGGAATTTGGATGGGAACTCAGTTACATACCCATTGTTGACTCTTATTTTTTTATGATTTTATTTATTGAGATATTTTGGGACTAAGTTATTTATAAAATGAAATTATAAAACATTACTGTCTGAAGTTAGGAGATCAGTAAAAGTGGTGTCTCAAAATTCTAACCAATTCTAAGATCTATTATTATGAGACTGATAATTTTACATTTTGTGGTTTTAAAGAATCTATTTATTTTTAATATTAACAAATAAAAATTATATATATGTATACATATTTGTGGTGTAAAATGTGATGTTCTGAAATATGTGTAAATTGTGAAGTGGATAAATCCACTGTGTGATTTTTAATAAATGCTATTGGCGCAACCTATTCCAGAATCCAAGACTATACAGCAAATCCTCACTCACTTTTTAGCATTTAGATAATTCATCCCTAACAGAGTTCATTTTGCTCTCATTTTCCAGATTTTATACAAGAATTCTCTATTTTGCCAGAAGTTGAAGATCTTTCTAATACTCTGTACTCAGGAGGGAGGCAGAGCTTCCTATATGTGGTGGCTGAAATAATTTGGTCCAAATGGTTGATGCCACAGGCAAAATATCCAAAGATTGTTCATTTGAAAATTATGACTCTTTTTCAGAATTTTACATCGCGTTATTTGTTTTATGGACTATTCAGTATGCATTGCACCAACACTAATTACTGCACTAATAAGTCAGCGTGCTACCAAGATGTTTTGCCATTATAATTACAGCCACATGTTGTTGTCCTTCCTCAAATAGTCCAGGCTTAATTGCATCATTTTTCAGGAGAATTTATGTGGTGCAGCTTAATTCAAAATTACTACATGAATAAATGAAGTGTAAACTTTTTTTTGTACTGACTCACATACAGAATAAATGTTCTAGAGAGGAGAGTAGCCAAGTTTCGTTTCCCCATTTTCTGTGGTTATTTCTGTGATGAACTCCCAGTGGTAATTTATAGAATGGAGGTCGCAAAATGGCAGAGGAATGAGGGTGAACATGTAGAAAGAATTTTGTGAAAGGTGCCAGGAGCATGGTTTCTAATCTCTGCCCTTCATTTACCATACGACTTTTGTGGTTTATTTTTCCTTTTTGAAGCTTCAATTTCCTCATCTGAAAATTTAACAAGTCATTCAGATGATCTCTGACTCACTAGCTCTCTCATCTAATAATATTTTGCTTCTACTAGTATAGTTCTATGAAGATAATATTAAAAGTCTGCCTGCCCTTAAAGGAATTACTCTTCTTTCCCATGCTAAAAATGAATAATAAGATGCATAAAATAAAAATCAACGCAAGTCTTTTGAATTCTACGTTCTATAACCACGCCTGCTCCCAACATTAACCTACATAACCTCTTCCTTACAAGTGCATATATTTATTTTTTCTTCAATTTTCCTTTTTTTCTTTCTACCCTGCCAATAAAATTGAATTTGATTTTGTGGATATGTACATATTGCTATCCTGATCTTCGGAAGTTGGACTCCCACTGCCGATTTTCTTGTATGTTGGTGTGGAGAAGTCATTTCATGCCCCCTGCTCTGCCAACTCAGACTGTTCTTTAGTTTGTGACTTAAGCTCTAACGTTTTTAACTAAATAGTGCTGGCTATGTGGTGAATAAAAATTGGCCTAAAAATAAAACTCTTTCCTTTTCTTCCATAGAAAACTATGCTGTGGTTGGATATAACAAAGACTACCAGTCCATGCCCAAGAGCTCCTGTTAGCCAGTCACATTTTTTTTCCTGCAAGGAAGACTGGTTTAAGAGAGATTCACCTCTCCCTTCCCACCCAGGACTGAACAGAGAGACAGGAAGGAAGGAAAAAGAGATGTAACTATGAAGAGGCATATGCTGTTGAGAGTCTCAAACTGTGACCTACCTTTGCCTCATTCAGGCAAATCTTTGAAACTTGGTTTCCTCATGGTAAATTGGAGATAATCCTGCCTACATGATTAAATGAATAACATATGAAATATGTGTTTCACAAGACCTCTAAAACAGGTTGATTTTCTATGTCTTAAAAGTAAGCCGATAAGTATATGCAGTTGCTGGTAAGAGCATTCTAGGCAGTGAGAAATGGGTCAACAAAATTATAGAGGGAAAACAAGGTGTGCTCAGTGACCCCCAAAGTGGAACTAAAATTTCGTGAAAGAAAATATTAAGAAAGAAGCATAGAATGGTAGGTAGAGCCAGGTCTCAGAAGGCTGTCGATATCAGGCTGTAGAGCTGAGCTTTATGCTTGTTCTGTAAAGTAGGATTAAGTAACAAAACCTCTGATGTCACAGTAGGAAGTTTGCAGGGTCTCCACGAGTTCACTTTTTGCAAACACTCTTGTACAAATTAGAAAAAATTCACACCTTCCACACTTCTTCCATTAGGCAGAAGTTTATCTTTATGAGAGATGTATAATGCTATGGTGTCTCTGATGTGAGTTGTGCTCTCTGGAGATAGGGCACCCTTGTGCAGTGAACAATTGCAGAAGACACAGAACTTTTGACCTGTGGAATTTCATGACCCTCGATTGTGGAGGGGAGTGAGGAGTGATAAATTCATCCATTCACTCTTTCAGAAAATATATCATAAGGATCTCTTAAATGCCAGGCAGGGTGTCAGGCACTGGGGATACAGAAATAGAAACACTTTCTGATGTTAATGAATGGTGAGACTACATTATGAACAGGTAAATAGGGTTCTGAACATTCCAATGAGTTTATACCAGGTGCTAGCTATGCTATGTTGAGAAAGACTGTGAGCCCGCATGTTGTCTCTAAAGGATAAAATATCTGGATTGGCCATAGCTTTATCCCATAATCTCAGGAAAAATAAGTGGTGGCATGCATGATACCTGACATGCTTGGTTTAAAGTAGTGGTGCTTAACTAGCATGACTTTGCCATCGAGGGGACATTTGACAATATATGGAAACATTTTTGGTTGTCACCCCAGGGGAGGGGAGGTTGCTACTGGCATCTAGTAGGTAGAAGCTAGGGACATTATTGAATGTCCTACAATGCACCGAGCACCCTCCCCCTTACCTCCAGAAAATAGTAATGTTTTGGTTTAAAATATTGAAAGTTGTGGCACTGAAAAACCTTTATCTCAATAAACATTATTCATTATGCTACTGTAACAGTTCATATGGGAGATAATAGAGTAGGAGGTAAAATTTCCAGCAACAGTACTAGGTAGAAAATGCACCTAGGAGAGAGAATGGGATCATAATGTAAGAAAGAAAATTTCTTAATTGACTGGAAATGGAGGCACAGTGATGGAGAGAAGTTAAAAACAGGTTTCAGGATTATAGTTTGAATGACAAGAAAAATGGTGGTGACATGACTAGTAACATGTTGGTTGGATGTGATTATTTGTAGGGGGTAAGGAGAAGTAATTGATTCAGTTTTTGATATGTTGAGTTAATAGGACAATCAGATGAACACACCCAGGAAGACTCAGAGATATGGGGGGAGTTTGGGCCACTGGAAGCATCTGGGCATGGGAGGCATTGGCAGTGTACTTGAGATGTGAAAGTGAGTGGCATCTTCAGACAAGCCTCACTCAATGACAAGAAATACATGTATGCATTTCTCACAGGCTGTGGCTTTGGTGGCTAAAGAACTTCAACATTATTCATCGTCCTATCCCCTGCTTTCAAAGAACTGCAACGTCCTATCCCTTTCTACACCAACATTTACTCCCTTGCAGGCTAAATTCCTCTAAGTTAATAGGTACAATGGACAAGGAGATGTGGGGAAGGAGTGGAATTTATTCCACACTTCATCAATTTCCATTACATTACATGGGTCTTGAAAGATAAAAGGAAAAGGTCTAGGGGCAAAACACATTTTAGGTTTCATTGAAACAGGGCTTGAGTGTTCCATTCATTCAGCCAGAGACTGTGAAGCAAAGCATTTCAGGGCTGGAACTAGTCCTGTGGAATCTGGTACCCACGAGACCAAGGAGTGGGAGATTTTGAGTCTCCCTTCATCACAGAGAGACACAGCAATTGCATTTTATGAGTGTTTCTGTTTTTATGAGATTAGAAACTTACTATCGATGAGACAGAAATAGAAGTAAACTTTTCTGCCTATCTCTTTCTTCCCTCCCTACTTCCTTTTATTTTTCTTCCTTCAACATTTATTACATGCTGACTATAGACTTTTTATATGCCTCAAGGATAGAGAGATGACATTTTATAGTAGTCAAAGCAATTTTGCATTTTGTTGTTATCTGTTCCTCACACTCACTCTCCACAGGGCAGGCCAGGAATTATTATCTTTACTTTTCATATAGGGAACTTGGGCTGAGAATAGTTGGAACTTACTTAAAGTTAAATGTTGTCTTTGTTCAAGCGACTATGACAAAATACCAGAAACTGGGTAGCTTACAAAAAGCAGAAACTTATTTCTCACAGTTTTAGAGGTGAGTAAATCCAAGATCAAGGTTCTGGCAGATTAGATGTCTGATGACTCAGATGACACCTGCTAGCCATGTCCTCATATGGTTGAAAAGACACACTCTCTAAGGCCTCTTTTATAAGGGCACTAATCCCATTCGTGAGGACAAAGCCAAATACCTCCCAAAGGCCCCAACTCCAGATACCATCACATTGATGATTAGGGTTTTAACATATGAATTTTGGGAGGACACAAACATTTAGACCAGAGCATATAGCTAGTTGGTTATATGCCCAGGACTAGAAGCCAGCTCTGCTGATTCATTGAGCTGAGTTAGAATAGCAGAGGAAACTTTGCATAGTGATCCATAAGCTTTGAAAAAAAAAAAAACCCTACAAAACCAAAGCATATGAGGAGGGGGGAAACAGTATAAAAATAAGTCCTGAGTCACAGGACTCAATTGACTAGCTGTGTGAGATTTCACTAGGCTTGATTTCTTCTTCTGTGAAATGAGAATGCAAGATCAAATAAGTTGTTTTTCAACGTATTTTTAAACAGCTAAAACATTTTTCCAAATAAAATATTCTTTAAGACCTTGATATATAGATAAAATTAAAGTGAATTTGCTTATATTGAAATAGCAGCAGGGACTCCAGAACAGGCCTACTTGATCCCTGCTCTATCACCTCCTTCTCTCCCACCAGTGGACACTTAAGCACCTGAAAACCTCAGGATTCGGCAGAAGGCAGTGTGAAATCTCCTAGGCCACATCTTCCTAGCCTAACCTATGTTTCTAGTCATGATCATCCTTTATCTAGCATGCATATAACTTTCAGCACCATGATTTCATGTTTCAGATGAGCTAACTGGGGGTGTGATAGGTTAAGAAACTTCCCCATGATTATTTAATGAATGCAAGATGGTGCCAATACCTTGGCTTTTTTTTTTTTCTGCCTGTAGCTTCCTCCCAGTGGATCTGAAGTCTCCTGCTTTGAATTTGTCAAAGATAGAAAGGAACTCCTATGTAGTAGCTGTAGTGTACTGGGATCTAAGGTCTTAGGGAGTTGGTCAGTTCACCCTTCCTGCTTGGTGGAGAAAAAGGCTCTGTGTTATTTCTAGTTGTGTATCATGCCATGCCAGCCTGTCCCATGATGTTATTTTAGCCATTATCTATTAATCAACTGGAGAAAAAAGAACAGGCTTAAATAATATGGTTATAAGGGAATAGAGAAGATGGAATGGGGAAGTATGTTCATTCATCCATTCAATAATGCCTACTGTGTGCTAGGTACTATAGGTGCTGGCAATATGAAAGTAGTCACAAGAAATATGATTCCTGCTCTGCTGAAGTGTACAGTCCAGTGATAGAAATAAAGCATTCATCAGAAGATTGTGCTAGTCTGAAACAACAAACTGATAAATTCTAAGAAAGAAACACGGTTTCTGTGAGAATTGTTTAGAGCACCTAAACAATTTTGGGAGTTCATTAAAAGCCTCCCTGAGGAAGTGGCATATGAAGGTAGGG
This sequence comes from Homo sapiens, assembly GCF_000001405.40. Taxonomy (NCBI): domain Eukaryota; kingdom Metazoa; phylum Chordata; class Mammalia; order Primates; family Hominidae; genus Homo; species Homo sapiens. The sequence goes on along the minus strand of NC_000001.11, from coordinate 60,389,643 downwards.
GGTGAATTTATTGAATTTATCAAAGATTAAAAGGAAAAGTGGTACAGGGAGAAGGAATGGTTGGAGTATGGGGAAGAAGACAAGTGTGGCTGGACTGGAGAGAATGAAATGGAGATGACATGAAATGGGGCTGGAGAAGCAGCCAGAATGTAAACCATTGTACTGACAATGACCAGCCAGGCTGTGTGGATAGTCTGGATTTTATCCTGAGTGCAGTGGGGAACCTGAAGGAAGAGTTGTCAGCATGAGGTGACAGGATCAGAATAAAGTTTTAAAAAGATCTCCTTGGATGTTGTATGGAGACTAAGCCAAAGACCTAAAATATTCTGGATCTTTCTTGCCTTTAAAGTTATTAGACACTACCAGACAGACTTCTGGAGACAGTCAAATAAGTTCTAACCTAAGATCTAATGAAAGCATAATGAAAATATACCTTTTAGTACTTGAGAATTTGACATATATGGATATATATTTTTTAAAAATAGATCCGATTTTAAATTTGGGTTCATTAGCTATATGATATCAGACTGTTTCACATCTCTGTCCCTTAGCTTCCTCATCTGCCAAAATAGATAACAATACCTATCTCAAAGAAGTTTTTAAATATAAAAACATTTCAAAAGGGTGAGATGGCTGACACTGAATATTAATTCAATAAATATGAATGATTTGTATGCAATTTAAATTTTAGGTTTTGAGCTGATGATTCTTTAGTTTATAAATGAACTAAAAGCTGCCTGACACACAGGTGTTTAAATAAGAAAGCTAAACAGATGACTAAAAATTGTTTATTGAGCTGAACAAGGACAGTTAATACTACCCGGGTTAACAGGTGCTTAATTGCCATTTCCTGCCCATGGAACATGTTCCCAGGAGCTGTCTGCTCCAGTGGGTTCCCAGGGCACTGAAGCCTTGTGTGAAGCCTCTCTTTGAACACCTCTTCTAGAGGTACGACGTGTGTATTTTGACAATCTGAGCCCAAAGTGGCCCAATATTTTCAGCAAGATTCAGAGCTAGAGCATCTTTTGCAATAACAACCAGTTTAGCTTAAAGCTGGAGGCTGTGCTGACCAAAACGAAAGACAGCCAATGCTTACTTGGCAACTGGAGCACACAGCCAGTTGCAGCCAAAATGCTATCGCCCCATTCACAATGGGGTGCCAATCACAGCAGTCTAGCTCTTCCAGGAAGGGTGCTCATGGTGTCCCACCTAGGTCCCCTTTATGAGGCCAACAACCCATCTATTGGTGATGTGAGTGTTTGTTGCTAACAGCTCAGAGCTATCCTCTTCCTGTGGGAAATGCCGTTGGCACCAAAGAGGTTATGCCTCCTCTCTCCCTGGAGATATACTCCAGGAAATGAGTGATTAAGGTGGGTCTGCAGAAGGCTGGCCTCTTGCCTGAAGATGAGGCAATTCATCTCGCTCCAGTACTTGCTGCAGGATTAGGCTGAAGCTAGTCTCCAGTTGAGACCACATCTGTAGTTTTTTCCCCTTGCCTGTCCTGGTCCTCACACTCCCTTTCTCCTGGGAATATACCCTTTAATAAATCATTTGCACAAGAATCTCCATCTCAGACTGCCTCTAGGGAACCCAATCACATTTAAAGCATTGAATTGTTTCTTGGGAAACCTACCAATGTAAGTAGAAAGGCATCTGTGATGCCACAAAGTAAGACATCAGAGAGTCATAGCTAAGAGTATGGCCTGCAAGGCTAGACAGATACGGGTTCCGATCTTAGCAGCATCATTGACTGGCTGTGTGAACTTGGGAATGTCTCTTTAACTCTTGAAGTATCAATTTCTCCATGGATAAAAATGAGATGAGTGGACGTACCTCAAATGAGATGTTGTCAGAGATAACAGTTTGAAAACTACTTGGCCTTTAAATTTTTATAGCATGCTGCCTTACATAATAAAATTGGGTGATGAATGCTTGCTTATCCATTTATTTGAAAAATCTTTACTGACCATTCATTGTGTGCAAACATAGGAACCACGTTTGGGCTGGATAGAGACCAGTCCTAGGCAGATCAATAGTGGTTGTGAGAATGACAAGTGTCATACAGTAGTGACACTGAGGGACAATGACTTACTATAATTGGAGGATATGGGAATTATAATTTTGAGGAGGCAGTGTGAACATTTTCATGTTTCTGCATGAACGTATACTTTATGAACAAAAGTGATTGGCAACTTGGGTTAAATAATGACTGAATAGAAAATTTAGGATAGTAAAATGCCTTAAAGAGGGAGTGAGAGGTTATCTCACTAGAGGTAAGGATTCGAGTCTCAAAGGAGGATAAAACAAGGAGTCATTTGTATACATCCCAAAAGGTTCTAATAACTTAGATGTCATTTCCAGAGAGGATTTGATGATTTTAAATAAGATAGGCTTATGACTCTCTCTCTCAAAAAAAGAGGGGCAGCTCTCCAGTGGTTCCATAAATTCCCAGATTCATAATTTTGAATTTTGAAATTCCTCTCTCTGTACATACAGCATGACATCTGCCCTCATCACTTTGCTCTAAGGGGCAGCATGTCATAGGGAACTAGTACAGTTGTTTCTGTAAGTAGTAATAAGCCTGGTCTTTGATCCACAAACTTAATGCTTGCTCACAGGATAAAATAAATATAGATATTAAAATTGTATCAATGTTATAAGTTATTAGATAAGAAACCACAAGTGAATTATTGATGTAAGTCATAAAGCATGAATTGGGGTTCAGCAGGCAGAAGTGAACAAAGGCATTCCAGGCAGAGGAAGCAAAATGAGCTGCAGGACATATACATGAAAATAAAATATGGGGATACTATAAGTAGATAAACATTTCCATTGCTTATCATTTAGGTCTGCATTTCTTCCCCATTATGCATAGCCTATCTCCTTTCTGTTCTCATAAAGCAATAGTGTTTGGCCATCACTAGTGCTGTCTGAATGGTGTTCTGTTTTAGGGAGGAAAAAATTAAGCAAATATTAATATTAGGTCTTGAGGTGATACATTATAGATGATGGAATATTTTTTCCTAAACATCAAAAGCAATGTTAATTGAAATAGAGAAGTTTTGATTGCTCAAGGGGCATTAAAAGCCAGCAAGGAGTCAACCTGAACATATGCGTGGATTGGAGCAAGTTGGTCCACATAGCCCCAGTAGAGGGAGATTACCATCTGCAGAAACAAAGAAAGTGATTCAGGGGAGAAAAATCAGGGAGCACGTACAGAACATGCTTGAAGAAACCCTTTGGATGCCTGGTGTCATTTTTCTCCATCCTAGTCCTAATGGTAGCTGCCCAGGGCTAAGGGTTTCCCAGGGGATATTTCTGTGGTTAAGAAGTTCGAGTTATTTAATAACATATTTGGAAAGCTTTCTCAAGTCCACTTTAAATGAAAAACATTAACTTAATGATATAAGAAGACAGCCTTTACTCTTTGAATAATGTTATTTTTGGAAACATGCAAATGCACATACAGTTATAATGCTGGCAGGCACAAGCATAGAGATGCTACAAGGAAGTCGCTTACCTGCAGTAATGGTAATAGTAATAGTAACTCCTTACATCCAAGTAGCACTTTCAGTGTGAAAATATTGTTACATAGTCTTATTGGGTCCTTGAGGAAGACAACCAGGAATTATGAGAAAAGTAGGGGCTTTGGAATGGGACAGACCTGGGTCCATTTCCTGGCTCTTCCACTGCCATGTTATCATAAGCAAATTTCCTAACCTCTCTACAAATCAGTTTCCTTATTCACAAAAATTGGAACACAAACACCTTGCAGAGTCAACTCTGCATTTACCCCAAACGTGGAGGTCACCTAACATAGGCTGGCATAGTAGGTTTTTAATAACTTAACTATTTGTTAAGTTCAGGTGAATTAGGATACCCTGTTTAATTTTTTTTTTTCTGAAGAGAAAATGAAAACTTAAAAGAGATAAATGACAATACCAAGGTCACCAAAGTAGAAAATAAATAAGTTTAAAACCCACCTTTTGTATTCTTAAGATGAGTTCTTTCCATGAGACCATGCTGCAGTCTTGGGTGTGCCAGTTTTTGAGCAGCTCATTTGGGGCCAGTGAAATTGAGTTTGTAAGATAAACCTGCAGAAGATTGATAAAAGCCCTAAATCCTGACCCCACCAAAGATGTCCACATTCCTGTTTCCAGAATCCATGAATATGTTCCCTGACATGGCAAAATGAGCTTTGCGAATGTGAGTTCAGGATCTTGAGATGGGGTATTATCCTGAACTATCTGGTAGGCACAATACAAGAATCTTTATAAGAGGAAAGCAGGAGGTCAGAAAGGAGATAAGATGCTATGCTACTGACTTTGAAATGGAGGAAGGAGCCACAAGCAAGGAATGCAGGCAGCCTCTAAGATTTTCTCCTAGAGTCTCCAGAATGAACACAGCCCTGGTGACTCATTTGAGACTTCTGACCTCCAGAATTGTAAGATAATACAAATTTGTTGTATTAAGTAAGCCATTGAGTTTGCAGTAATTTGTTACAGCAGCAATACGAAACTAATACAGAATCCAATAAAAACTTTAGCCCAGGAAGTGGTAGAGAAAAGTGGACTTTCTAAATTTAATCTATACACATAACAGTGATGATGTTTTGAAAGTAAATGTCTGATACTGCCTCTTCCTGAAACTAGCATTGGATATAATACTCTTATTTTCCTCAACTGTAAAATGGGAATGATAATAATGGGTACTAGAGAACTAAATAGAAATATTTTGTGGATCATGATACATCAATTAAAGTCTGTTATTGTATTAGGCCATTCTTGTGTTACTATAAAGTAATATCTGAGACTGGATAATTTACAAAGAAGAGAGGTTTAATTGGCTCATGGTTCTGCAGGTTATACAGGAAGCATGGTGCCAGCATCTCTTGTGGTGAGGGCCTCAGAAAGCTTTCAATCATGGTGGAAGGTGAAGGGGAGTCAGCGCATCACATAGAGAGAGTAGGAGCAAGAAGTGGGGGAGGTGCCACACTGTTTTAAACAACCAGATCTCACGTAAACTAATAGCAAGAAATCACTTATGACCAAACGAATGGTGCTAAACTATTCATGAGGTATCTGCCCCCATGACCCAATCACCTCCCCCCAGGCCCTACCTCCAACATTGAGAATCACATTTCAACATGAGATTTGGAGGGGACAAACAGCCAATCTATGTCAGTCATTATTATATATATGAAGTTTAGAGTTAATAAAGTGTTCAATAGTAACAGCCTAGATAGTTTAGCTGTGGGTTAGAGGATATGCTAAAAATTCATTGAGAGAAGCTTACATTAGATAGATTTTAGTTGGTCCAAATAAACATTTTTAAGAAATGTATTCTTTATGCTTAAATGGGGATATCTAAGCAAATATAAAGAATATTCCAAATGTATTAAAGTGATTGTTAGACTTATGGAATTGTAGACTCTCACAGTTGGAATGGACCTTAAAGGATCCTGGATCCAGTTATTTGGTGAATGCTATGTTTTCTATTAGGCATACCAGATAAAAGATTCATGGGGAAGCAAGACTGTTCATTTCCATGGCATGTTTGGATATCTACCATTTATTCAGTGGCTGGATCATTGGAATCCCACCACAACCCTTTGAAATGGATCAAGCCCATAGCAATTGCCTATTTTTTAGGAAGAAGAACAAGCAGAAAAAAATAAACTTCTTGCCCAAAGTTATACAATTGGTTAAAGTAATCTCAAACAATTTCTGGGCAAATCCTTTCATGGCTTGGTTGAACTGTGTTTCATGGAAACCTAGGATTCTAAAGAAGAGCTGGGTATGCTGTATGGGGCCGGGGGGAATCAATGCTGAGCAAAACAGGCATAGCACTTGTCATTGTGGAATTCATAGTCTAGTGGAGAAGACAGATAATGAAGCATGGGAATTTCACATGGGAATTTCAGGTAAATAGACCCAGTGGGTGACATGTGGGATCACAGGTCAGTAAAGCCTTGACTCCTAGAATTTTGGTTCCAACTCCAGGTTATGTTTCTTATACAATGTGCCCTCTTCCAGAAGGTAATCAATTCATCATATTATCAAAGATTGACCTATCTGTGAACCTTATTTGCCTCTTCTCTTCCTTGGAGTGTATGTAATGAAAGCTAAAATAATGGCAGAGACAGACACGACCACGCCTAACAACATTGCCTAAATTTAAGAATCGCTCCAAAGAATCCTGCTGAACTTAAGGATTGTAAAGGCATTTAGAGATTCCTGTGGTGGTGGACTCCTTGCAACTTGAACTTCTTGAAGTCACCAAGTTAGATGAGCTCATTCCCGGTGTAGGTGAAGGGAAGGAGCAAGACTTTCTTTTTTTTTTTTTTTTTAACATATTACCAGAGTTCCATTTTTATTTTTATTTTTTTTCTCCTGATCTATAAGGTAATTTTTATCTTTATTTTTTTATTTTTATTTTTTTTTATTATACTTTAAGTTTTAGGGTACATGTGCACATTGTGCAGGTTAGTTACATATGTATACATGTGCCATACTGGTGTGCTGCACCCACTAACTCGTCATCTAGCATTAGGTATATCTCCCGATGCTATCCCTCCCCCGTCCCCCCACCCCACAACAGTCCCCAGAGTGTGATATTACCCTTCCTGTGTCCATGTGATCTCATTGTTCAATTCCTACATATGACTGAGAATATGCGGTGTTTGGTTTTTTGTTCTTGCGATAGTTTTCTTAAAAATCTGGCTTGTGTGGGAGATTGCCCAATGCGTAAAAATTATAGTTGGATAGAAGGAATAAATGTTGCTGTTCTATTGTACAGTAGGGTGACTAATACTAACAATATTGAATCGTATATTTCAAAATAACTGATGATTTGGCTTTCTGTTTGTCTGTTATTGGTGTATAAGAATGCTTGTGATTTTTGTACATTGATTTTGTATCCTGAGACTTTGCTGAAGTTGCTTATCAGCTTAAGGAGATTTTGGGCTGAGACAATGGGGTTTTGTAGATATACAATCATGTCATCTGCAAACAGGGACAATTTGAGTTCCTCTTTTCCTAATTGAATACCCTTTCTTTCCTTCTCCTGCCTTATTGCCTTGACCAGAACTTCCAACACTATGTTGAATAGGAGTGGTCAGAGAGGGCATCCCTGTCTTGTGCCAGTTTTCAAAGGGAATGCTTCCAGATTTTGCCCATTCAGTATGATATTGGCAGTGGGTTCGTCATAAATAGCTCTTATTATTTTGAGATACGTCCCATCACTACCTAATTTATTGAGAGTTTTTAGCATGAAGGGTTGTTGAATTTTGTCAAAGGCCTTTTCTGCATCTATTGAGATAATTATGTGGTTTTTGTCTTTGGTTCTGTCTATATGCTGGATTACATTTATTGATTTGCATATATTGAACCAGCCTTGCATCCAGGGATGGAGCCCACTTGATCATGGTGGATAAGCTTTTTGATGTGCTGCTGGATTCAGTTTGCCAGTATTTTATTGAGGATTTTTGCATCAATGTTCATCAAGGATATTGGTCTAAAATTCTCTTTTTTGGTTGTGTCTCTGCCTGGCTTTGGTATCAGGATGATGCGGGCCTCATAAATTGAGTTAGGGAGGATTCCCTGTTTTTCTATTGATTGGAATAGTTTCAGAAGGAATGGTACCAGTTCCTCCTTGTACCTCTGGTAGAATTCGGCTGTGAATCCATCTGGTCCTGGACTCTTTTTCGTTGGTAAGCTATTGATTATTGCCACAATTTCAGATCCTGTTATTGGTCTATTCAGAGAGTCAACTTCTTCCTGGTTTAGTCTGGGAGAGTGTATGTGTCAAGGAATTTATCCATTTCTTCTAGATTTTCTAGTTTATTTGCATAGAGGTGTTTGTAGTATTCTCTGATGGTAGTTTGTATTTCTGTGGGATCGGTAGTGATATCCCCTTTATCATTTTTTATTGCGTCTATTTGCTTCTTCTCTCTTTTCTTCTTTATTAGTCTTGCTAGAGGTCTATCAATTTTGTTGATCCTTTCAAAAAACCAGCTCCTGGATTAATTAATTTTTTGAAGGATTTTTTGTGTCTCCATTTCCTTCAGTTCTGCTCTGATTTTAGTTATTTCTTGCCTTCTGCTAGCTTTTGAATGTGTTTGCTCTTGCTTTTCTAGTTCTTTTAATTGTGATGCTAGGGTGTCAATTTTGGATCTTTCCTGCTTTCTCTTGTGGGCATTTAGTGCTATAAATTTCCCTCTACACACTGTTTTGAATGTGTCCCAGAGATTCTGGTATGTTGTGTCTTTGTTCTCGTTGGTTTCAAAGAACATCTTTATTTCTGCCTTCATTTCGTTATGTACCCAGTAGTCATTCAGGAGCAAGTTGTTCAGTTTCCATGTATTTGAGCAGTTTTGAGTGAGTTTCTTAATCCTGAGTTCTAGTTTGATTGCACTGTGGTCTGAGAGATAGTTTGTTATAATTTCTGATCTTTTACATTTGCTGAGGAGAGCTTTACTTCCATGTATGTGGTCAATTTTGGAATAAGTGTGGTGTGGTGCTGAAAAAAATGTATATTCTGTTGATTTGGGGTGGAGAGTTCTGTAGATGTCTATTAGGTCCACTTGGTGCAGAGCTGAGTTCAATTCCTGGGTATCCTTGTTGACTTTCTGTCTCGTTGATCTGTCTAATGTTGACAGTGGGGTGTTAAAGTCTCCCATTATTAATGTGTGGGAGTCTAAGTCTCTTTGTAGGTCACTCAGGACTTGCTTTATGAATCTGGGTGCTCCTGTATTGGGTGCATATATATTTAGGATAGTTAGCTCTTCTTGTTGAATTGATCCCTTTACCATTATGTAATGGCCTTCTTTGTCTCTTTTGATCTTTGTTGGTTTAAAGTCTGTTTTATCAGAGACTAGGATTGCAACCCCTGCCTTTTTTTGTTTTCCATCTGCTTGGCAGATCTTCCTCCATCCTTTTATCTTGAGCCTATGTTTGTCTCTGCACATGAGATGCGTTTCCTGAATACAGCGCACTGATGGGTCTTGACTCTTTATCCAATTTGCCAGTCTGTGACAAACAGAGAGCCAAATCATGAGTGAACTCCCATTCACAATTGCTTCAAAGAGAATAAAATACCTAGGAATCCAACTTACAAGGGACGTGAAGGACCTCTTCAAGGAGAACTACAAACCACTGCTCAATGAAATCAAAGAGTATACAAACAAATGGAAGAACATTCCATGCTCATGGGTAGGAAGAATCAATATTGTGAAAATGGCCATACTGCCCAAGGTAATTTATAGATTCAATGCCATCTCCATCAAGCTACCAATGACTGTCTTCACAGAATTGGAAAAAACTACTTTAAAGTTCATATGGAACCAAAAAAGAGCCCGCATCGCCAAGTCAATCCTAAGCCAAAAGAACAAAGCTGGAGGTATCATGCTACCTGACTTCAAACTATACTACAAGGCTACAGTAACCAAAACAGCATGGTATTGGTACCAAAACAGAGATATAGATAAATGGAACAAAACAGAGCCCTCAGAAATAACGCCACATATCTACCACTATCTGATCTTTGACAAACCTGAGAAAAGCAAGCAATGGGGAAAGGATTCCCTATTTAATAAATGGTGCTGGGAAAACTGGCTAGCCGTATGTAGAAAGCTGAAACTGGATCCCTTCCTTACACCTTATACAAAAATTAATTCAAGATGGATTAAAGACTTAAACGTTAGACCTAAAACCATAAAAACCCTAGAAGAAAACCTAGGCATTACCATTCAGGACAGAGGCATGGGCAAGGACTTCATGTGTAAAATACCAAAAGCAATGGCAACAAAATCCAAAATTGACAAATGGGATCTAATTAAACTAAAGAGCTTCTGCACAGCAAAAGAAACTACCATCAGAGTGAACAGACAACCTACAAAATGGGAGAAAATTTTCACAACCTACTCATCTGACAAAGGGCTAATATCCAGAATCTACAATGAACTCAAACAAATTTACAAGAAAAAAACAAACAACCCCATCAAAAAGTGGGCAAAGAACATGAACAGACACTTCTCAAAAGAAGACATTTATGCAGCCAAAAAACACATGAAAAAATGCTCACCATCACTGGCCATCAGAGAAATGCAAATCAAAACCACAATGAGATACCATCTCACACAGTTAGAATGGCAATCATTAAAAAGTCAGGAAACAACAGGTGCTGGAGAGGATGTGGAGAAATAGGAACACTTTTACACTGTTGGTGGGACTGTAAACTAGTTCAACCGTTGTGGAAGTCAGCGTGGCGATTCCTCAGGGATCTAGAACTAGAAATACCATTTGACCCAGCCATCCCATTACTGGGTATATACCCAAAGGACTATAAATCATGCTGCTATAAAGACACATGCACACGTATGTTTATTGTGGCACTATTCACAATAGCAAAGACTTGGAACCAACCCAAATGTCCAACAATGGTAGACTAGATTAAGAAAATGTGGCACATATACACCATGGAATACTATGCAGCCATAACAAATGATCAGTTTATGTCCTTTGTAGGGACATGGATGAAATTGGAAATCATCATTCTCAGTAAACTATCGCAAGAACAAAAAACCAAACACCGCATATTCTCACTCATAGGTGGGAATTGAACAATGAGAACGCATGGACACAGTAAGAGGAACATCACACTCTGGGGACTGTTGTGGGGTGGGGGGACAGGGGAGGGATAGCTTTAGGAGATATACCTAATTCTAAATGACGAGTTAATGGGTGCAGCACACCAGCATGGCACATGTATACATATGTAACTAACTTGCACATTGTGCACATGAACCCTAAAACTTAAAGTATAATAATAATAAAATAAAATAAAAAACAAAAAAAAGAAGATTAAAAGAAGACTACAATTCTAAATACTTTATTTAACTTTGGTTATATTAAAAAATCAAACTGGGACAATGATGAATGGTTTTAAATTTTCCTTTAATATGGTGTCTTTTATTTTGTCTTTACCTCTGACTGGGATAATCATCAGTGATAATTTGGATTTTATGGTAATGGAGGAAATCGGCAAGTCACTTGTGAAATATTATGGCGATAATGGTTTTGTACTAAAGATAAACCCTTTATCTTCTCCAAAGTAATATGATGTGTCAATAAATGTAAATAAGAATCACATATATATTTGTTTAGCCAGTAACCTTTAAAGAAGCTTGCCATGCATGATAATAAAGGTGTTTAAATATCTTTCGTTTTAGTAAAAAAAAAAAAAAAAAGAACAAAATAACTAAAAGAGAAGATTTTGGATATTCTCATTGCAAAGAAATGCTCAATGTTTGAGGTGATAGATATGCTAAATGACCTAATTGATTATTACACAATGTATACATGGATTGAAACATCAGACTATATCCCATACATCTGGACAATTATTATATTAATTAAAAATACAATAAAACTTGAAAAATCTGATTTTTTTTTTTTTTTTTTTGAGATAGAGTTTCACTCTGTCACCCAGGCTGGAGTGCAGTGGCATGATCTTGGCTCACTGCAACCTCTGCCTCCTGGGTTCAAGCCCTTAGCCTCTTCAGTAGCTGGGACTACAGGCATGCACCACCACACCAGCTAATTGTTTTGTATTTTTAGTAGAGGCGGAATTTCACCATGTTGGTCAGGCTGGTCTTAAACTCCTGACCTCAAATGATCGGCCTGCCTCTACCTCCCAAGGTGCTGGAATTACAGGCATGTGCCACCGTGTCCGGCCAAAAATCTGATTTCTAACCCGATTAATGACTGCTACCTTATGTGAAATCATGCTATGTCAGAAAGTACAGAAGTGATAAATTCTATAAAATTTGAGGCATTATTATTACTTCAATTAGAATTAGAGGCAAACTCTAGGGAAAGAATCACAATGTTTCTTGAGTATATTTCAAAATCTGGAAGAATGTTTTGCTCTTGTGTATGTGTGTCTGTGAGAGAGAGAGGAAAGAGAGAGAGAAAATAAAAAATTATCCTTAAATGTGGAGAATGTGCCTTGTTCCGGTGCCATCCTTTGCCATTCTGGGCTGGAGAAAATGCTCTATCAGGAGCTCCATTCTGAAGATTTTTCTGCAAGTAGGACTTGAATATCACAACTTAATCTCACATCCTCACTCTCATACTAATAATACTTCCATTTAGGTCAAGCTCAATAGCAAAATATGTAGATTTTAGCACCAGCTCCAAGTCCATTTGAAATATTGACCTGAATAATACTTTTAGGGGAAGAGAGTAAAGACAGAGGGAATAGAAGGGAGAATACATGATTTGAAATACACATTTATGCTGAAATAATCATCTCTGACATTCCAATTATCCAATCTATAGAATTTCTCTAAGAGCTCAATCAGGGCATTGCTTTTAACTTTTGATCAACTCTTTTCTTCTTTACATTGCTTCTTCAACTTTCCAGATTATATTTTTATCTAGGTTCCCTTCTATCACCATGTTTTCCTCTTGTCTTTTTTGCTATTTTCTATTTCTTTCCTTCCACTCCACATCTTGTCTTTTATGCCTAGCTGATTTCTTCTCTGTTTGTTTCTTAAAATTATTATAGTGCAAAATGGTTGAGTATGGATTTAAAGTACAGGTAATAATCTAGAGTCAGATTTCTTAAATACTGGTTCTACCACTTGTTGAGTGTGAAGACTCAAGAAAGTTACTAATTTCTCAGTCATTCCATTTGTTCATCTATACAATGAGTGTACTTGGTTGCAAAATGGTTGAGTATAGATCTAAAAGTACAGGTAAGAATCTAAAGTCAGATTTCTCAAATACTGGTTCTAACACTTGTTGACTATGAAGACTCAAGAAAGTTACTAATTTCTCAGTCATTCCATTTGATCATCTATATAATGAGTGTACTTCCTTTATAACATTAAGGTCAGGATTACATGAGATAGTACATATGAAGCACTTAGCATAGTGTCTATCACATGGGAAGCACAAAATGAAGATTTATCATCATCATCATCATCATCATCATCATCATCATCATCATCATCAGTGTCATCAACATCATCATCATCATCAACGCCATGTTACCACAACCAATAGCTCTAGCTTTGGCCACTGTCTTCTTAGCTTCCCATTTATCAGCAAAAGTCCGCTGGCATTTCCACTGACATCTTTGAATCCACATACCTAATTCCAAACTTACATTTTTCTTTAGAAATTCTAATTGGATTTGAATTCCCAGACATTCTGACTCATGATGACTGGAACCACAGAATAACTAATTAAGAACTTGGTTCTAAAAGTCTCTGAATAAATAAGGCTATAGAAAGACTTGTTGAGGTAGGAAGGATTTGATAACACAGGGAATGTAGATGGATAGATACACTGGCAATTGTGTTGTTAGGAAATTGCCAGAGCCTCCTGAGTAAGGTCTTAGAGTGACTAGGGTTTTATGAGCATTTTTCTATTGGAGTTGCTTCCATTGCATATGTTTTCTAAATTTAGATCACAGGTCAAGGCACACCACAGGCTCACGATTAGTTATCTCACAGGTAATTCTTTCTTTACATGGCTTAGGGTAGCCTGCCCCATTTGGAGCTACAATCCTAGGAGAGTTGAGATGTATCTAATTCCTATTTTAATGGACTTAACAGACCTTCTTGGCTCCCAGCATTTAGCCAGTGGGCTCAGTACCAGCTTTGACTTTCAATATTCTATCTAGGACACTAATACCACAACCTATTATTTATTGATTTTTTTGTCTTCCTTCTTTGCTTTAATTGGCCCAAGTGTCTTAAAATGAGAATTTTGACTGGATTTTATATTTCTATTACTCTCTGTCTGTATATATTGAAAATTACAAATTCACCGTAATAAATTAAATTCAAATCCAACAACAAATGACTCGTTCTATTTGTTTCCTGTTTGGAACTCTTTTCTCCAACAGTGAGTTATCTGGCTTCCATTATCCTTAACATATTTTCTTATCTAATCAATTCACCTGTATGCTTCCAATCTCCCATTGCCATTATAGCACCTTCCTGAAGCAGAGGCTCTCCTTATTCTACATATGCTTCCACACCCTGTGCTGGGTCTCTGTAAACTCCCTCTCACTGGGCTCCTTACCCTATATATGCTTCCACACTCTGTGCTGGGTCTCTGTAAATTCCCTCTCACTGGGATCCTCTCCTTAAGGAAGGCTCTGACACCTGTGTTAGACTGCCCCAGTGTGTGGAATCCCTTCTCACTATGTAGACTCCAATCCTTCCTTTGGCTCTCTGTCCTCCACACCCCTCCCCCATTGCCTGTAAAATGCTCTCCTACTATGCTTGGTCTCTGATACTCTATACCAGTCTTCTCCCACATGGATGCTCTACCCACTCCCATTTAGGCTTTGATACTCTGCACTAGATCATCAATCTCTGTAGGGTCTCACCCCACTTAGGCTTTCATCCTCCATGCAAGGCTGACTTTCTAAAGAAATACCCACCTCATACTGCCTGGACTCTGACATCACATACCAAGCCATATCCTTGCACGCATGAACATCCGTTTTGCCACACTTGGATTCTAGCTCCCTGTGCTAGGTTCTCCCCATGCATATATATTGTCAAGCCTACTTGGACCTTAATATTCCACATCAGTCTGCCTTCAAGGGGATGCCCCTGCATGATACTCTCTTTACCCTCTCAGGCTTTGACAGCCATGATCAAACATAATCTCACCCTGCTGTAGCTCAAACTCCCCTCTCTGGGACACCATGGCTCTCTTTTGTTTACCAAACATATTCGTCTTCTGGTACACCAGCTAAAATAAATAGTTACAGCAGTGAACTGTCCTGACAGGAAACAAATAGGAAAGGGAGAGAAGAAAGTGAAAAGAAACCCCAGCTCTTTCCCTTTAGATGGAGGTAGATTTCTGATTCACCTGGGAATTGCTGAGCTTTCATTTTTACATACTACTCTGGCTTTGAGTTTCTTCCTTGTTTCTTACAGCTGGAGAGAGATGTACAAGCTTATGCATGTATTTTTTAAAGTAATTGTTATATTGTATCCAGCATATTTTTATATGATTTAAACAGAAACAGAGGCTTCCTGGATCAACCCATTCTGGTGTATTGATGTAATGACACTTGAGTTGAAATCAAAAGAATAAGTGAGGAATTAAATAGATGAAGGAGGAGGACAGACTGTTAAGGCAAATCTGAAAGCAGAAAAGAAGATGTTGGAGACATTATGGTTGCAGTACAGAGAGTGAAGGAAAAAGTATGGTTGAGGATGAGGCTGGAGAAGAAGAAAGTAGCCAGATTACATATAGCCTTTGTGTTTAACCTAAAAGGAAAGGGAGGCCAGGTCTGATGTTCAGAGGAGTTCCCACTAGTTACCTTTCAAAGGCAATGGGTTGCCTCTAGCAATGAGGTTCTACCTTGTTCTACCAGGTAACCAGGTCAATGGAATCTGGCTAAAACAGTGGCAAACTCTTAAGGAAAATTCACCAGGCACTTTGTGTGTCAGATCCCTGGCTCTTTTCTTCAATTCCTGCTTACTTCTTCAGTTTTCTGACTGTCTTTCTTGGAGTTCAGCAGGTTTCTTACTCTCTGGTACATTCTCAAATGAACTCCCAGGTGGTAATCTGACTGTCTGCCCCAGTGCTGCCTCTGAAGTCTCAGACAAAACCTGCCTCCCAAACCCACATTCCCACTTAAATCTGGGTTCACACCAAGTCCCATTATGCTTAGATCAAATTTCACTCAACACATTTCAGCTACAGAGATGGATCTATAAGGTGAATGATATTGTCTCTATCAGGAGGTTTCTGTCATCCTTAATAAACACCTTATCCCCCACCAAGATTCTCTAGGATGGCATTTGTTTGTGTTTCTTTGTTGTTCTCCTGCTGATTTGAACTTTATGTAATTTATGCTGCCTTTACAAAGGTCCCTCTATTTTCTATTTTTCAACCAGAAAGGCCAACAACAAAGTTCATAGGGAAGTCTGGATTATGAGTACATGGAATCTCATCTGAGGATGAATTTAATTCACAGGCATCTCTAAATACTTGGTGATGGTTAAAATGCTTGCCGGCTGTGCCATGGCACATGAATACAATTAATTACAGTATTTTTTAAAAAGAGATGAAATTGGGGAATTGAACACTGACCAAACGTGTAATACCTCAACTGTGTTTACATGTCCATGTGTTGAGGTCTTTAGTAGAAAACTCAGATAAAGATTTCAAAGTGAGAAGAAGAAAACTCTGAAGTGGCTTGTAAAAACTTCAAGAACCATAGTCAATTGACTGAGGTTCCTTCCACAGAAAAGAAAACTGCAATGGAAACAACATTGACTATGAAATCTAGGAGAGTTCAGTTTTCCAGTCCTGGTTACTAGCTCTGACTCTGTTATTGCAGGTAAGTTAGGAAACGTATATGTCAAATATGGAAACATATTCCATACACCTAGCAAAAATTCCAAAGTGTAGGCACTCAATAAATGTTGACTCAGTGTGCTAGGCCATTTTTGCACTGCTATAAAGAAATACCTGAGAATAGGTAATTTATAAAGATAAGAGGTTTAATTGGCTTACAACTTTGCAGACTGTACAAGTATGGCACTGGCATCTGCTTGGCTTCTTGGGAGGTTTCGGGGAGCTTTTACTCATGGCAGAAAGTGAAGAGGGAGAAGGTGTCTCACATAGTGGAAGCAGGATCAAGAAAGAGAGAGTGCATGGGGAGGCACCACACACTTTTAAACGACCAGGTCTCACATAAACTCAGAGCAAAAGCACACTTATCACAAAGCAAATGGCCTAGGTCATTCTTGAAGGATCCACCCCATGATCCAAACACTTCCTACAAAGCCCCACCTCCAACATTGGGGATTATATTTCAACATGAGAATTGGGTAGGGACAAATATCATTCTGCCCTGGCCCCTTCCAAATGTTTTCCTTATCACATTTCAAAATATAATCATCCCTTCTCTAAGTTCCCCCAAAATCTTAACTCATTCCAGCATTAACTCAAAGGTCCCAAGTCCCAAATCCAAACTGAGTTTCTTCCACTGATGAACTTATAAAATCAAAACAAGTTATTTACTCCCAAGATGCAATGGAGGTCTAGGCATTGAATAAACAAAAGGGAGAAATTAGCCAATAGAAAGGGAATACAGGCCCTATGTAAATTTGAAACCCAGCAGTAAAGTCATTAAATCTCAAAGCTTAAAAACAGTCTCCTTTGACTCAATGTCCACATCCTGGCACACTGCTATAAGAGGTGGATTCTTAAGGCCTTGTGTAGCTCCACCCCTTTGGCTTTGCAGGGTTCAGTCTCCAGGCCTGCTGTCATGGGTTGGAGTTGAATGCCTGTGGTTTTTCCAGGAACAGGATACAAGCTGCCAATGGATCTACCATTCTGGGGTCTGGAGGACAGAGACCACATTCTCACAGCTCCTATAACCAGTGGCCCATGGGGCACTGCATGTGAGGGCTCCATTCCCACATTTCCCCTTGGCACTGCCCTAGTAGAAATTCTCTATGAGGGCCCCAGCCCTGCAGAAGCCTTCTGCCTGGCCACCCAGGCTTTCTCATACATCCTCTAAAACCTAGATGGAGGCTGCCAAGTGTTCCTTACTCTTTCATTCTGTGTACCTACTGGCTTAACACCATGTGGAAGCCACCAAGGCTTAGAGCTTATATTCTCCAAAGTGGCAGCCCAAGCTGTACATAGGCCCCTTTGAGCCACGGCTTGATCTAGAGTGGCTGGGGTGTGGGAAGCAGTGTCTTGTGCAAGGAAGAGGGGCCCTGGGCCGGGCTTACAAAACCATTTTTCCCTCCTACACCTCTAAGCCTGTGACAGAAGGGACTGCCTTGAAGGTCTCTGAAATGCCTTTGAGGTCTTTCCCCATTGTTTTGAATATTAGTCGTTCTCCTTTTTAATTATGCAAATATCTTCAGCAAGTGGTTGCTCTGCAGCTTGCTTGAATTCCTCTCTCAAAAAAGCATTTTTTTCCTCTGCCACTGACTAGTCTGCAAATTTTTGAAACTTTTACACTCTGCTTCATGTTTAAATATAAATTCTAACTTTAAGTCATTTCTTTGCTCCTACATCTAAGCACAGGCTGTTAGAAGCAGCCAGGTGATATCTAGAATGTTTTGCTGCCTAGAAATTTCTTCCCCTAGATACCCTAGGTCATCACTCTCAAGCTCAAACTTCCACAGTTCCCTAGGGCATGAACAGAATGCAGCCCAGTTCTTTGCTAAGGCATAGCATATATGACCTTTGCTCCAGGTCACAATAACTTTTTCATTTCCATCTGAGACCTTGTCAGCCTGTATTTCACTGTGCATATCACTAGCAGCATTTTGGTCGCAACCATTTAACCAGTCTCTAAGAAATTGCAAACTTTCCCTCATCTTCTTGTCTTCTGAACCCTCCAAATACTTCCAACCTCTGCCCATTACCCAATTGCAAAATCATTTCCACATTTTAAGGTATCTTTATAGAAATGCCCCACTCCTTGGTATCAATTTTCTGCATTAAGCCATTCTTGCATTACTATAAAGAAATATATAAGACTGGGTAATTTATAAAGAAAAGATGTTTAATTGGCTCATAGTTTTGCATGCTGTACACGCATGCCACTGGCAACTGATTGTTTTCTGGGGAGGCCTCAGTGAACTTTTACTCACTGAGGAAGGTGAAAAGGGATCAGGTGTCTCATAGAGTGGGAGTGGGAGCAAGAGAGAGAGATTCAGGGGAGAGGTGCCACATACTTTTAAATGACCAGATCTTGTGTGAAGTTAGAGCAAGAGCTCACTTATCACAAAGGGCATGGAGCAAGCCATTCATGAGGGGTCTGCCTCCATGATCCAAACCCCTCCCACCAGGCCCCACCTCCAACACTGGGGATTACATTTCAACATGAGATTTGGGTGGGCACAAATATCCTAACTATATCGCCCAGTCTTTCTGTTTGGGCTACAACTACAAACCCACTTCAGCATATTTAAAGTTTAGATTGATTCTTGAAGCTGTCCTTTGAGAATGGATAAAGACTAACATTATTTGATTAATTCTATAAATTGAGACAAGCCACTTTGGCTTCTAGTACTTTTCCCGGTTTCTAGGAATCTCTTTTTGACAAAATATATGTATGAAAGATACATTAAACAATTGAATCTTTATTTCTCCAAACCATTTGCCTCCCTGACCCTATCCCATTCGAAGAAAGCTGAAATGTAATTTCAAGACAGATATGCTTTTCCTTTTCATTCTAATTTGGTATAGCGCAAGCCACGGGTATAGTGGTTTCTTTTTCTTCCAAGTGTGCAAACTTCTCCACATGTAACATTCAAGAAACTTGTTTATTTTGAGAACAGGATCTTATGATGTATTCACTGATTCAATATAGTTTAAAATGTTATTGTTTTAGATGAGAAGAATTACTATTCATTTTAGAGCATTTGAAGACTGCAGAATATCCCCCCACATATAATATAATTAAATAAAAACCTACTGCATAAAAAACTGTTTTCCTGAGAAAGTATTCTTTGAGTGCCTATTCTGTACCCACACTTTGATAGGCACTAGACATCAGCAACACAATAGATATAAAGTTGTTGCTTTCATAGAGTTAGTAGAGGAGAAAGGAAATATAGAAATAAAGAAACAAATCAATGATTAATCATGATGAAATTTGTGAAGAAAGTAAATGAGGTGGTGTTTTTCAAAGTAATAACACATTAGATAAAATGGACAATATGGGCTTTCTAACATGGCTTCTGAGTGAAAACTGAAGGAGAGAATGAGGCACCCATAAAAAGAGTTATGGCTAGAGACTTTCTGGTGAAAGAAAGAGTAATTGTGATTAGGAGACAGAAAGAATCTTGGTGAGAAAGAGAAAGGAGGTAAGAGTGACTGGTATGTTGTGTGCTGGGGGAAAATGATACAGGATAAACTTACAACTGAAAAACTGAAGAACTTGGAGTATGATGTTGAAGGGCAGGCATCCAGCACGGGAGAAAGATGTAGGCTGGGAGGCTAGGCCGGTCTCGCTTTTTCACGTTTTTCTGCCTGCTTTATATTCACTGGCAGCTGATTAGATGGTGCCCATCAGGTTAAGGGTGGGTCTGCCTTCCCCAGCCCATTGATGCAAATGTTAATCTCCTTTGGCAACACCCTCACAGACACACCCAGGATCAATACTTTGTATCCTTCAATCCAATCAAGTTGACACTCTGTATTAATCATCACAATATGGACTCAAACTAAGTGCCTGTCAGTAGTGGATTGGGTAAAAAAAATGGTACATATACATCACAGAATACTATGCAGTCATAAAAAAGAATGAAATTATGTCCTTCACAGCAACATGAATACAGCTGGAGGCCATAATCCTTAGCAAATTAACACTAGAACAGAAAACCTAATACCGTATGTCTCACTCATAAGTGGGAGCTGAACATTGAGTGCACATGGACATAAAGATGGGAACAACAGACTGCAGACTACTAGACAGGGGAGGGAGGGAGGAAAGTGTGAGTTGAAAAACTACCTATTGGGTATTATTCTCACTACCTTGGTGGCAGAATCATTTGTATACCAAACTTTAGTTTGGTGCAATTTACCCATGCGACAAACCTGCACATGTGCTCCCCTATCCAAAATAAAAGTTGAATTAAAAATTAAAAAACAATTCTTTGCCTCTATAAGGAACCGGCTTTGTAAAATAACCTCTCCTTCACATTCATTGCCTTTCTAATAAAATAAGGACAATATTACAAGCACATTTCCTTCAGAGTAGTTGTAAGGATCAAATCAGGTGTATGTAAAACACCTGCACTAAATTCATGTTCAATAAATTTAGTACATAGCACAACACAGTAGGACAAATATGAACTTTGAAATCTAATAGATTAAAAAGAGTTCAGCTCCCAGCTCAGCATCTAATTGCAGGTGAGGCATTCCTCCTCTGAATTTCAGTCTCCTTACATATAAAATGGGAAAAAGAATTTCTTTCTCTCATGCAGGTTGTGGAGTTTTGGCGAAATCACGTGTCTAAAGTGCCTCCTCTGGTGGCACACAGTGGGGCTTATCAAACATGACAGGAGACAGTGCACACTTGCTCTGCTTATGTGGAGACTTGATCAACTGTCTTTTGCTGCCTTGATCTGATCACTTTCCTAGTTTCCCTGAAGGGCACTAAGAAGTGGAAGATGTGGCAGGCATGAGCTGGCAGAGGGCTGGGTGCTGAACTGCGGAGTGAAGACCTGTCATCCATTAGGAAGTCAGTTACTTTGTAAATTCTCAGAGAGAATGTTCCCAAGAAAACCCAACCCCCATCCACAGGCACCTAGGCACAATTTTCAAAACTCTTCACCATGCAACTTTCATAGTGAATAACAAAGAAGTATTTTTATTTCTTCTCTTTTATCCTGGTCGCCGGAGTTCTCTCAAACCCCAGTCTGAAAAAAATTTAGCCCTGGATGTGCAGGGTTAGTAGCTGCATGAACATGCGATCTTCCAAAGGGGCACCCATTTCTATCCCCTTTTGCATAGTGCTTCACCAGAAGGGGCTTTTGGAAAACCTGGCAGGTTCAAGGCCCCGACCGCGGCTTCTCTACCTTCTCAAACACAGATGGAGAGCGATAGGTCACATCAAGGACCAGCCTGGTAGCTACACAGCTCTATGCTCTTGTCACAGGGCCATGCACGCGTCTGCTTTCTCTTCACCCCATCTTAGATGAGAAAGAAGAAAACTGCAGAGAGATCATCTCTTCTGCCTCAAGCCAATTACTGAAGATGGTAAGATGGGAGAGTGGCAGAGCCAGAAAAAGAAGCCGCCTTGACTCTGCCAAGCACTCACTCCTGCTGCCAACTCCAACTCTTTGTCTGCAGACAGTCTGTGCAGCCGACTAGGACCTGCCTCAAGCACCGCATCTGCCCGGGGCTCTTTCCCAGTATAGTTTCCTGCTCTCCAGCCCACCCCGGAGGATGTCACTTTCAGATCCCTCTCCCAGTCCTCCGCGACAGCTTCCTGTCAGTTGACTCTCCCCCACAAGTCTTTTTTGACAAATCTCAGAGATGCAACAGCTGGTCACCCTTCAAGACTTCCACATGTCTCTGCTGCCACTTACACAGATTTCTTTCTTCCTTATTGATTTTTTTTTTTCCATTTCTCCTCTTCTGTTTTGTGGGTAGTCAACTAACAGTTTACAGTCTCTTGTATTGCTCAGTTCTGTCTATTTAAAGTCCCTACCTTGTGGCAACTCCTGCACATATGGACCTTCCAATTATAAAATTAAAAGGAACAATAATAGATACTAACATGTCTCTGCTTACATTCTGTTTTACTGTTCAAAAAGTATTTGCACAAGCAGTTGCATTATAACTTCTCTCTGAGATAAGCACCTGGTGCAAAGATTTAGTTTTAAATTTTTATGAAAGATGAAATAGCTTCAAAATAATAATTATAATGTCTGTTTAATTTTTTTTTTTTGAGAGAGAGAGCCTTGTTCTGTCACTCAGGCTGGAGGGCAGTGGCGTGATATCTGCTCACTACAAACTCCATCTCCCGGGTTCAAGCGATTCTGCTGCCTCAGCCTCCCGAGTAGCTGAGATTACAGGTTCCCGCCACCGCCCCCAGCTACCTGTATTTTTAGTAGACATGAGGTTTCACCATGTTGGCCAGGCTGATCTAGAATTCCTGACCTCAGGTGATCCGCCTGCCTTAGCTCCCTAAAGTGCTGGGATTACAGGCATGAGCCATAACACCCGGGATAATGTCTATTTAATTTTAAAAAGCATCCATGCTCCTACCATCAAACTTATGAAACAGAATATTATCAGCTCCTCTGAGTACCCAGGAACCAGTTCTCTATCTTGGTGCCCCTCTTCCCTCCTCTCCCAGAAGTCATGGTCATCTGGATCTTGGGTTTATGAATGCCTTACTTTTCTTTGTAGTTTTAACACATATCATGTGTCCCTAAATAACATATAGTTTTGTTTATTTTGAAAGACGGGATGTAAGTAAAATTATACCATTTGCATCTTCTCAAACTGTGCTGTTTAACATGATGGCCACCAGCCACATGTGACTGAGCACTTGAAACGTGGCTAGTCCCAGTTGAGATGTCCTGCACATATAAAATTCACTTCAGATTTCCAAGATTTAGAACAAAAAATAATGTGATATATATCGTTAATATTTTCATATTGACTACATGTTGACATGATAATGGTGAACATATTACCTTAAATAAAATACAAATTTATTGTTAAACTAATCTCACCTGTTTTTTCTTATGTTCTTAATATGGCTGCTAGAAATTTTAACATTAAATATGCATCTCACATTTGCAGCTTGCATCATATTTCTATTGGACAGAGCTACTCTGGAACTTGTATTTTTCTTAGTGCCTTCTTTATGAGTCTCATTTATATTGCTGTCTATAGCAGTATTCACTGTGTGTTGTAATATGCTTTATTCCTCTATTCTATTGTTAGTAGATGTTTGGATTTGTTCCATTTATGAATACTGCTGATAGAATCAGCAAGAGTTTTCTAGAGTAATTCTAGGTCCTAGGGTTTGCACCTATTCATATCACTAGATACATAAAGTTGCTTTCAGAAGTGTTTATGCCACTTTCACTCCTACCAGCAGTGTAGAATTCCCATGCTTTTTGTATCAGCGTCAGCAAACATTTTCTGTAAAGTGTCACATAGTAAATATTTTAGGCTTCAGCATCAAGAGGCAAAATTGAACAACTATTCTCCCTGAAAGGCTAATAGTCTTTTTAAACTCTTCATTTAAAAATGTAAAACCATTCCTGGCTTATGGGCTATACAAAAGCGGGTGGAAGGCTAGATTTGGCCTGTGGAATTCACCAACTTTGGCTCTACCTCCTTTTCACCACTTGATATTGTCAGTCTTTAAGTTTAGCCCATCTTATGAATGCAAAGTGATGTTTCACTGTGTTTTTAATTTTTATCACCCTGATTACAAAGGAGGATGACCATCACTTCACTGGTTTATTGACTTGTGATGTTTCTTTTTCTTCAAAAAATGTTGGTTTAAATCTCTGGCCCCTTTTATTAATCTGGTATCATTTCATAGGCAATGGAACTACATTTGCCTGAGAGGACAGACTATGTGAATGTTCTAAGATCCCATAGCTGGAAGGAACAAAATGTAGACCTATCCTTTTTCCTCTAATTATAATCTCTTTGATGCTCTCTTTAAAAACAAATTAGCCAAAAACTCTAACACTATTATAGTGATTTACAATCTTATTTGATACTGCTATTCATTTTACAGATAAATGTCTTTTCTTCTTAGCTTCTAATAGATTTTATAATGCCTGTTTGGATAAGGGTAGTAACATTCGTATAACTTGAGGTGAGCTTTAGAAGCATCATACTGCTTAGAGTGTGTAGCTGATTTTCTCATTGCCGATTTTGCACACTGTGTCTTATCTAGTCTCCATTTCTTCCTAATCAAGAAAGCCTAACTATATATGGACAGTACTTTGCCCAGCTGAAAAGCCTGATTTCCGAGGCTGTCTTGCACCTTGTGATAGCTATTTAACATACATGGAAGTCCATTAAGTGGTGCTTCTGGAAATGATTTTGTTCCCCTGATACAAGGGAATACATTCAAGGAGCACTGGCCTTTTGATTCCACCTCTACTTCTGCCTGGAGTTTAGCCTCATGCCCAACAGTGCAGGAGCCAATTTCAATCACAGAAACTAGAAAGTTCCTGGATTCTCAGTGGCTTCCTGAGCACCTGCACTAGCCTTGGACTACCTCCAGATGTCTTATTACCAGAGAAAAATGAAGCCTCTTCTACTGAAATAAGTTACTGTAGTCAGGCTTTTGCCGAAGCAGCTAAAGCCACTCTAATTGATGAAGGCAGAAACATGGGCTTGCAGAAGGTCTAGCTAATGTTTGAATCACTTTTAGTGACTATTTTTTTCAGGAAAAAAATAAATTCCAGAGAGGATACATCATATGAAGTCTTAAAAATGTTTATAGAATTATCATATATTTGCAGAAAACATTTCCCATTTCCCTGACAGCATTTCACTCTGTAAAAACTAGGAAACTAGGCTGTAATATAAAAGAACACTGTTACTTAGTTTTTTTTTTCTTCAGTTATCCAAGAAATGAATTAAAGAAGACTGAAAGAAGAATATTTGTAGAATCTGGGAAGAGGCATTGGGTCACCATCTAAAATCGCAGAAGGAGATAAGCATGGTATGGGAGAAAAAGTATGGGATTTTGAAGTTGATCAGACAGACCGGTATTCAAATCTTAACTGAGTCATTTAGCAGCTGTTAGGTCTTCGGCTTTCTGAGATTTATTTAGACCGAGCTGTTATAAAGATTAAAGGCATTTTCAACATCCATTACTTCTCTTAGGTCCTCTTTCTTCTTCTGAGAGTGATTTGGTAAAACAAACTTATAATGAATGAAGAATAATTAATGCTAGACACAATACATCCTGAAATGAATTGCAAATGGTTGTAAGAATCCTTGATAATTAAATGACTCGGTTAAAAAATAAAGAAACATACTGATTGTTCTTTAGCCTTAATCTTCACCATTTCCGGTACTTGGCAGACTAGTATAATAACCACACCATCAACTACCCCTCCACATACACATAATTAGTTAGTTGCCTTACTAACGTCTTCTAGTCCCCACTCATTCTTCTAATCTCAGCACTGATTTCACTCCTCACAGGATGCCTGGCCTGAAGCTCTCCAATACCCCACCTTTTCATACTGTGTTTATTCCTGATTTGTATCCTAATTCCTTGCATTACAATTTCTTGCTTACTTGCTGTTTTCTTCCCTAGATTGGGAACTGCCAGAAGGCAGGGGGCATGTTTAAGTCACCATCTTATCCATAACACCAAGCACAGTTTCTAACACAGTAGATGTTTAACAAATACTTCTTGAATGAGTGAGTGAATGTTTGACTTCTTGATGCCAGGTATGGTTGGGTCCACTTGTATGCAAGGTCAATCCAACTGGATTGCAACCAAAAGAGTTCAAATACAATCGCGTGCACTGTGAATCCATTTGTGGAATAATCATATAACTGAAGACAATAGCATTGTATGACGCCTTGAAAAAACAGAGACAAAGAGTAATAATGTGAGGCCAGGTGTGGTGGTTCATGCCTGTAATCCCAGCACTTTGAAAGGCTGACACAGGTGGATCACTTGAGGTCAGTTCAAGACCAGCCTGGCCAACATGTCGAAACCCTGTTTCTACTAAAAGTACAAAATTAGCCGGGTGTGGTGGTGCATGCCTGTAATCCCAGCTACTCGGGAGGCTGAGGCAGGAGAATCGCTTGAGGTAGGGGAATGTTAGGGGGAGGTTGCAGTGAGCTGAGATTGCACCATTGCACTCCAGCCTGGGCAATAAGAGAGAAACTCCACCTCAAAAAAAAAAAAAAAAAGAACAACAACAACAACAAAAAGAGTAAAGAATGTGCCTCCTCCATTCTCCATCACTCCAGCACCTTTCACAGGAATGGGAGCTCTTATTCAAAGAAACATAAAGGAGAATGCAGCAACAGTGTCCTTAGAATCTGAGACCTTTGATTAAAGAGCAATATTTCCTTAGCAGTATTTCTGGAGCACAGCAATAATATATTAAGGAACAAATGTGCCATTTATAGACTTGATCCATATAGTAATATAATATTTGTATGAATATAATAAAGTCATATAGATAAAATATGAGTAAATACAAATATTTATAAATCTATATAAAAGTAGATATAAAATAACATATTGTTTTATAGTTTAACATTAATATTTACACATTAATAGATTGTTTCATGTTTAAATTTTTGGTGAATTAACAGGGAGCAACTTTCTTAAAATGGCCTCAATTAGAATTCTAAGCAGAAGAGCCCTATAAACAGATATCTTCAACACCTCCTCCTCCATCCTGGTTACCCAAAGACCCTTCTCAATCAGATAACCATTAAGTATGTTAATATATTAATATAGGCAGAAACAAATGTGTTAAATTTGGGAATAAAGACTCAGAATTGATCATGCACAAGAAACTATTAAGAGTTCCTGATAAATATATGCTGTTAGGAAATGTGTGAGGATGAAAATTTTTTTATGAACTTGGTATGTTTTATCTCTAGAGGAATAACAATGGGGCCAGAACAGTAATAAGAGGAAAGCCTAGGAGATCTCACGTCTTTCAAAATAAATTTCCACTGAGCTGAAGAGCTAGATGTTAAAATAAAATAAAACAGTAAATGTGGTAGTTTAAAAAAATCGTATCAGAAGGGGAAGGCTTTCTAAGCTTAAAGGCATCTTAGGAACAAGAACAGAGTAGTGAAAAAATAGTGAATACAGAAAGGTATTTAAATTAATACAACCTATTTTTATTTCATTAGGATGGCAATTACAGACAGTAATAAAAGTTTTGGAGGAAATATATTTTAAATCTCGACATAAATTATTTTACCAAAATGAATTTTAAATTGATACATATATGATATATATAATAATCTTTTATATATAATATATATACATATATATATATATATACATATATATATATATGAAGAGTTTCGTGAGGCGATCTGTGCATGTGGAGGGGTAGTTAGTGGTGTAGTTGTTATTTAGTCTGCCAAGTACCAGAAACGGCAAAGATTAAAGCTAAAGAACAATAATACGTTTCTTTATTTTTTAACCTAATAATATATTAACATGCAAGATGAGAAATAGATTTTGCATAGAAATAAGTATCATAAAGGAAGTTAAAAGGAAATTACTAATTAAGAATTTTTTTCACCACTTTAGATTCAACACTGATTACACTACTTAAAATATACTCTTATAGATAGAAATAGAACAAGTCAATTTTGAGAAATGATCAAAGGACATGACTCTGTGGTTCTCAGAAAAAAATTAAGAAGAATTCTAAATGACCTTAGGATTTATGAGTAGATGTTCAATCATACACATAATTAGGGGAATGAAAGTTAAAGCAGGATCACTTCTTTTACCTAGAATAAAAAGCTTGATAAAACCATTCTTAGCTAAAGAATAGGGAGACATACTCCGCAATGTCTAAGTAAAATTAGTATAATCGTAGTGAAGGGAAATTGAGCCATTCCTAATTTTTTGTTTTAAATAGGTACTAGGCTTAATAGCTGGTGATGAAATAATCTGCATAACAAACCCCCATGACACAAGTTTACCTATTTAACAAATCTGCACATGTACCCCTGAACTTAAAATAAAAGTTTAAAAAAATGCATACATGTCTTTTGACTCGGCAATTTCATTTTTAGAAATTTTGACTGCAGCTGTAACAGATGCGTTTACACATGTAAAAGATAAATTAACAAAGATGTTTATTGAAGTTTTGCATGAAATAGATGATAACTGACAACAATGTAAATGTCAATGAATAAAACAAATTGTGGTACATCCATAATACGTAATACTATACTGCTGTAAAAAAGAATGAAGTTTTAAAAAAATTAACATATGCCTGTCTTATGCTTATCATGTGACGTTTAATCTTCATAACAATTTTATGAAGTAGGTAGTATTATTATATCCATTTTAAAGATGAGCAAACTGAGGTTAAATAATATGCTCAAGGTTGCAAAAGCTATTATGTGTTGAATTCAGAATCCAATTCTGGCAGCCTATCTCTAGAATCTGTCCTAATCACAGAATATGCTGCCTATGACAATTATATTGCTCATGTATACTTTTTTATAACAGCGCAGAATATGATTATCATAAGCCCATTTGTATTAAATACATCCATAACATATATGTTTATGAAGCAATCGATATTTCTGGAAAGATACACAAGCAACTAGTCACAGCAGGTATCTCTAAGTACTATGTTGGTAACATTTGCATTTATTGTTATAGCAAAATATTGGTAATATCTCAACTCTGAAAGTATTTAGTCTATAATACAATGGAATTATTGTGGCCATTACATTTTTTGCTTAAAAGAATTCATAGCAGTGGGGAAAATGCTTGTATTACTATATTAACACAAAAACAACATATACAATATGTTCATGACCATATTATATTGAAAAAGTATACTTAAAATTATTACAGTAAAAAATGCACAAAAAAATGACATGGCCGGGTGCAGTGGCTCACGCCTGTAATCCCAGCACTTTGAGAGGCCGATGCGGGCAAATCACGAGTTCAGGAGATGGAGACCATCCTGGCTAACACGGTGAAACCCCGTCTCTACTAAAAATATGAAAAATTAGCCGGGCATGTTGGCACTTGCCTGTAGTCCCAGTTACTCGGGAGGCTGAAGCAGGAGAATTGTTTGAACCTGGGAGGCGGAGGTTGCAGTGAGCCGAGATCATGACACTGCCCTCCAGCCTGGGTGACAGAGCTAGACTCCGTCTCAAAAAGAAAGAAAGAAAAAAAAGACATTAGTTAGTCATTTGGGGGTAGTCTAAGGGTTTTCCAGCTTTCTACATTTTTATATTTCTGAATGTTTTGTATGTATTGCATGTAGTGTAAAATACATTTTATCTACAAAAATAATGTCACCAATTCTGGGAAAAGCAGACTTAGAAGGCTGAGGGTTGGGCTTGGGACTATAGCGATGTCATTAAGATCTATTAAAGATGGTATTTGGCCAGAGGATTTCAGCAATACCTGGCTCCCACTCCCCACTTTGGTCCTATTGTAAGAGACCCCTCCCCTTAAGGTCTTGGGGAGGAGAGGGGAATATATGTATAAGGAACTATGGCTATGCCATGAAACCCCTAATAAAAATCCATTAAATGGAAAAAGAAAACCCGGGGCTAACACAAAGCCTCACAGAAAATTCACACTAAATTAAAACCATATGTATTGGACGATATTGGTCTAGAGGATCATCAGAATAAAGGAAATGCCACTGCAAAAGAAGGTTGAAGAAGGAACTTTCTCCATGCTCCTTGTCAAAAGTTCTAAGATAGTTTCTGGCATCAATTGTGCCGCTTTGTTACATTACTTACTAGAGCAGCATATGGCTGTTTTGTTAAAGCCACATAGACACACGTCTGCTCAAATAAATTAATGTTCCCATCTCAACTGGATGATTTGGCAGGAATAGCACACTCTGCAGCCAATGTGTAGACTGACCCACACAGCTCCCCAACTGAAGGAGCTGAAGTGGAACATTATATATTATGCATATAAGCAGTTAAAGGCAGTATATTTTCTTTTAAAAATTTTTTCATAACAACGTCTACTGATTTTTGCCTAGCATGCGGTTTAATGCATTTGTGTTAGAATTTGAAAATGCAGGAGAGGCTCTGGGAAATGGTGCACAAATTGGGAAGGAGGACAAGATGCGTGTTTTAAATGAAGAGAATAAGATAATAGGCTTCTCACTACTTACTAAAAAATGATACTTTGTTCAAAAGATGAGATACAGGTGCACACACACACACATACACACATTACACTTTTACGTACATGTACCACTTTCTGACTGTCTGGCTACCCTGAAAGTTTAAAAAGCTTTCTAGATCTATATTATTGGAGAATGAACAAAACGTATGTTGCATTAGGACTAATTTATCCTTGTTTGAAGATTCCAGTTCTTTCTGTAATTATCACTGGACTAAACAACTTAGGGTATCCTCTATTCTCTTACTCAAGGGAGTATCAAAGTATTCTGTGGTGTCAGTATTTTCCAGTTATCTGTTCTACTATACTATGAGAAATTGCAGTGTGCTCCCTCTCTGATTTGCATGGAAACACTATATAACTATAACTAAATATATTTGCCATGTAGAGTGTATGAACTGAGAGGTATAGTTATATTTCAATAGGAGCACAAATTCTGGTATCAAACGTTTACTATTATAGCCCACTACAGGATAGCAAAGTGGTTAAAATAATGGGCTTTCAAGTCATTCAAATCTTGAGTTCAAATTCTCACACCTTTTCTTACCAGCTGTATGATTTTGGGTTGTCCCTTCATTCTCTGAGCCTGATTCCTCCTTGGTAAAAGGAGGATAAGTATCAAGGTTAAATGCAATGATATATATGGGCAATTATCAAAATGCCTGGCATATATTGATAATTCAGAGACGGGGTAAAAGGCCAGGGTGGTGGGCACAGCACACTGAAGAGTAGGGCTAGTGAGAGTCATATGAGCCTGGAAAGTTCATGACCATGTTCAGGATTCTCAACTTTAAGGATCTGACTATCCTTAAACTTGGTTAATAAACATATTAAGAATTATTAATGCAACCTTAAGGGCATTAAGAAGGTACCTTTAATATACAGACACATTCTTAAAAGGCTTTTTTCAAGGAATATTTAAAAGGTACCTAATGTGCAGTAATACTTTTCTAGGCACTATGGAATACAAGACAGTCAATCAGTCAGAGAATCTGCTCTCAAGCTGTCTGAACTTCAATTCTACTCAAAATTCCAGTTTTACACCATATTAAGCATTTTGATGCCAACTAAGACATCACTTCCCAAAAAGTTTAGATCTACATTTTAAAACTAGTTTTTAACTTCGGGAGGCTGAGGCAGGTGGGTCAAGAGGTCAAGAGATAGAGACCATTCTGGCCAACATGGTGAAACCTCGTCTCTACTAAAAATACAGAAATTAGCTGGGCGTGGTGGCATGTGCCTGTAGTCCCTGCTACTCGGGAGGCTGAGGCAGGAGAATTGCTTGAACCCAGAGGTTGACATTACAGTGAGCGAAGATCGCGCCACTGCACTCCAGCCTGGCAACAGAGCGAGACTCCGTCTCAAAAAAAAAAAAAAAAACAACAACAATAACAAAAAACCCTAGTTTTTAAAGTATTTTAAAGATAATACATCTTTCTGTCTCTCTGTCTCCATCTCTAACTCTGTCTCTGTCCTCCCTTTCAATCCCTACCACCTCATCAGCTACATGCAGTTTCCTGTCCTCCATGTAGTAAAACCAAATCTCTGCATGGTCTTTGGCTGTTGATAGTAATGTGTCTCTAGAATGTACTTATGTATCTGGTTCTGTCAACGTTATTTTGTTTGGATTACCATTTTGGTACTGGGGATCTGTGCGTGTGATTTAAAAAAAATCTTAGTTGTTGTTCTGATGCTTATATAATCTTTCATACCTTATGAACACTTTAGATTCCAAAAGGTAAAGCTCATGAAGAACTTGCAGTTATAATGATACAACTTCAGAGCTTCAGAAACAGCTACTAAAAAACAGTGATTCCACCCAAGTGAATGAAGCTCTATTCTACTGGGACTGAACAGAGAAACTTAAGAGAGGAAATATTTGGAATTTGGAAATACTTGAATTCTTTGGAACTTCAATTAAAATACCAATTTAATTTTTGAAATTTGCTTTCACTTTGGGAATTTAATAACTGATTCATATCATTCAGATTGGAGTACTTTTTGTATTCCAGGCAATGCATTAATTTAAGTATTTTTGTGTTGTCATTTGAGCCCTTTACATAACCTCTGGTGTACTGTATCAGGTAATGTGCCTCCATATAATTTGAAATGAGATTCAGAACAGACAATGAACTTCCAGCCCATGGTGCAAGGTGGCCTTTAGTCAACATAATTGATGTACCCTGCTGATCCATACCCAAAAACATATCCACATATCTACGATCCTTCTGGCTGGAGGGCTGTTGTGTGGGCTGTAGAGATTGGGGGTGGGGATCTCTGTTCACAGAGACGCTCATGTGAGTGACATTCCCTAGAGAAAAGCCTGAATGATCATTCCTGTTTTGGCGCTAAAAGCTGAATTACCCACCAACCATCCCAGCAGCAGGGGTTGCTTCTGGTGGGAGAATCCCTCTAAAATCATTGTCTTGCTAAACTTCAGACCTTTGCCTCAAGGTAGACAACCCACCATGAGTTGACTTGGGCTTGAGTTAAGATCAATAAGTTGAGGAATGGTATTGCCTAGGTTTTCTGCTAGGGTTTTTATGGTTTTAGGTCTGACATTTAAGTCTTTAATCCATCCTGAATTAATTTTTGTATAAGGTCCATGTCTAAAACACCAAAAGCAATGGTAACAAAAGCCAAAATTGACAAATGGGATCTAATTAAACTAAAGAGATTCTGCACAGCAAAAGAAACTACCATCAGCGTGAACAGGCAACCTACAGAATGGGAGAAACGTTTTGCAATCTACCCATCTGACAAAGGGCTAATATCCAGAATCTACAATGAACTCAAGCAAATTTACAAGAAAAAAACAAACAACCCCATCAACAAGTGGGTGAAGGATATGAACAGACACTTCTCAAAAGAAGACATTTATGCAGCCAACAGACACATGAAAAAATGCTCATCATCACTGGCCATCAGAGAAATGCAAATCAAAACCACAATGAAATACCATCTCACACCAGTTAGAATGGTGATCATTAAAAAGTCAGGAAACAACAGGTGCTGGAGAGGATGTGGAGAAATAGAAACGCTTTTACACTGTTCGTGGGACTGTAAACTAGTTCAACCATTGTGGAAGACAGTGTGGCCATTTCTCAAGGATCTAGAACTAGAATTACCATTTGACCCAGCCATCTCATTACTGGGTATATACCCAAAGGATTATAAATCATGCTGCTATGAAGACACATGCACACATATGTTTATGGTGGCACTATTCACAATAGCAAAGACTTGGAACCAACCCAAATGCCCATCAATGATAGACTGGATTAAGAAAATGTGGCACATATACACCATGGAATACTATGCAGCCATAAAAAATGATGAGTTCATGTCCTTTGTAGGGACATGGATGAAGCTGGAAACCATCATTCTGAGCAAACTATCGCCAGGACAGAAAACCAAACACCGCATGTTCTCACTCATAGTTGGGAATTGAACAATGAGAACACTAGGACACAGGGTGGGGAACACCACACACTGGGGCCTGTCATGGGGTCGGGGGAGTGGGGAAGGATAGCATTAGGAGGTATACCTAACATAAATGACGAGTTAATGGGTGCAGCACACCAACATGGTACATGTATGCATATGTAACAAACCTGCAAGTTGTGCACACGTACCCTAGAACTTAAAGTATAATAAATAATAATAATAATAGCACAATAGGGACTAGTGGTTAGAAGCAGCCAGAGCAGGCCAGCCATATGGGGGCTGCCACACTGCCTCCCACACCTGGCTGTGTCAGCACGGTAGATGGAGTTGAAAAGACCTGGGTTCAAACTCCAGTTCACCTACACAGAAGTGGGAATGCTGTGGTTATAAATTGAATTCAGTTGTCTTCATCAGAAAAGTGAGAATAATACCTAACTTATAGAATTTTCTAAGGACTAAATGAGATCTATGCATAATATTTAGCACAGTGTCAGGCACAAAGTAAACACTAAATGTTAACTATGATAGACTATTCATAATCATGTGTATGTGGCTATGTTATATAAAATTGGGATAAGCTGTTTTCTCCTGACTATTCCTCGACCTAGACAAGTATCAAATGTACCTCTCAACAAGGTTGTATCAATTTACATGATAATAAAGGTATGAGTAAGCCCCCCAGAGAAAATAAGTTGCGGAAACAAAAATTCAGGAATTGTAGGAAACAATGTTCTTTTTTTCTCTTTGTTCTTTCTTCAGCCCATAAAATAGAAATCCTTTCCCTCTCAGAAATACTGGCAAGCAGCCTCTGTCATCCTCCCCTCCCCCTCCACCCCATTTTGTCATCAGGGCCAAACCATTTTCTCCATTACAGCTTTATCTAATGACTGACATTTTGCTCATTAAAAATTAATGCATTTGCAAAAAGGTATACAATTTAAAAATTTAAAACTTCATTTTCCCCATCAAAATCCCAGACATAATCTTTCTAGAACATTTCTATGTAGATAAAAGTATTTTTGTACATGTAAAACAAACATCTTCTACCTTCAATGTATGAGAATCTTTGATCCTCAAATCCTCATCAAATATCATCAAGTTAGGATGATTATGAGAAACTGTTAGTTCTAAGAGAAGAGTTGAATTCTAAGGTTAGATGTTAACGTAAACTGGAAATTATCTAAGACTCGTGAAACAAGTTGCAGTGCTGTTGCCACTCTCACTCTATAGATGAGAAAACTGAGGACCGAGGAGGTTAAGCTCAAGGCTCATATGCCCGGTAGGTGGCTAGAACCCATGATTTCTAAAGCCAATTTTTTCTTTTAGCTCTGTCACCTTGCTTGCCTCACCTCTATACCTTTCCCTTGAATTCACAGAATAATCTGGGAGACACAAAAGGCATGATTCTGTTGTTACATTTCAGATTTGGCTAAATTGTTCTCCATGTGCTTTGGTTAGGTCTACCTTGAGAGGAAGCTGAAGGATAAAATGTGTTTGAAGCTATCTGCTCCCTTACATAAATCACCACACACAGGGGTCTTCCATCACAACCTCTCTAGCATATCATTAAAGGACTGGGATATTTATGAGAAGCTGTTATTTCTTCTAAAAAAGAGTTGTTCCCAGCATTTGAGGTGCATGTCTCCTCACCCAAATGCTTTATGCTAGAGCACCTGTTGGTGGCAGAGTAGGAAACAGTTGGCAGTGAACTATAAGTGTAAGAATTTGAAGGTAACTAGGTCTTATTACCGTATGCCTGCATACAAATATTATTTCCCTACTGTGGATGGAGGAACAGAAGCCTTGTGTCTGCAAAGATATGAACATTTGTTTGGGAAATTTATGTTGATATATAACAGCATATGGTCTTTTTCATCATGGATTTATGTACAGGAGGCAAGCTTCATGTTCACAATTAGAAGCATTAAGGCTAGAGCCACGTGAAGTGACCTCGCGTGTGACTGCCTTGGCTGCAATAAGAAGCACTGTGCTTGGCACACATAGACAATCAAGTGCTCTCCGAAAGAAAAATCGTAAACATGACTCATAAAGAATCTGATCTTCGAAATTATCAAAGGGACACTGACATTACCCTTAGATACTGACTCTAGAGAGAACCACATCCGCTTGGTGTAAAACAGCCACCATATTTCAGAGAGGTTTTCTAGTGCGTAGCCTAAACAAACCGCATAAAGCTAGGAGAAGCAAGAATACATTATGAGGTTTTGCCAATAACTGAAAAATACTCTTTATACTTGCTTTAAAAGACAGAAGGTGGGAACCAGAAGACCCCTAGAAAAATAAGATTGCTAATGCTTATGATTAATAAGCTTTAGGTTTGTTGTGTTAATTTACTGGTTTTCTATGGTTGATGTTATGTTTTATTGATTGATTTTTTTGGTTCATGTTACTAGCAAATTTAATATTTATTTCCTTTTTATTTTTCATACTTATACCATGCATTCCAGAAATACTAGTGGTGCTGAGAGAGACTGGTTACATTTAGAGGATGTTGGACTTGAAAAATTAGAAAACCTGTATTCAAATTCTAGCTCAGTTATTTCTAGTAGTATCTGTGAGTAACTTATGAACTCAGAACCTCAGTTGCTTTATCCATGTAGTGAAGTTAATTATTGGCCTGCCTTTTCAACAAAAGTGCTATCAAACTCAAATACAGTAATATGCATGAAAGTGCTTTTGAAATTGGCTTGAGGGAGGGAGGGAGGAAGGGAGGGAGAGATGGAGAGAATAAATGTGGGTATAAATATAAAAGTATGTGAGTATGCATTAGTTTGCTAGAACTGCAGTAACAAAATACCAGACTGGGTGACTTCAACAAGGGAAATTCGTTTCCTCATAGTCCTGAAGACTGGAAGGTGCCAGCAGGGTTGATTTCTTCTAGAGCTCTTCTAAGGCTCTCTTTGGCTTGTAGATGGACATCTCACTGTGTCTTCAAATGGTCTTTACTCTGTGCACACAGATCCCTGATGTTCCTTTTTGTGTCCAAATTTCCTCTTCATATAAGGATGCCAGACAGATTGGATTGTAGCCCATTCTAAAAGACTTGTGCTAACTTAATCACCTAATTAAAGGCCCTATCTCCAAGTACAATCATATTCTGAGGTACTGGAGGTTAAGACTATAACATATGAATTTTGGGGGTACATAATTTGGTCCATAATCATACTGCATTTTTATTTCCTTCACACACTGTATTTAGAGTTTCTGGTTTTGTGTGGACTTTTTGGCTTTCTGTTATCATCATTTATAACATAAAGGAACTAGGCCACATGCTCCTTCCAACAATTCCATTTATGACTATAGGATAATATATCAGTTTTGTTAAGAAATATCAATAAGCATGAAAAGAAGATGGTAGCTTCAGTTTGAAGCAAATAGAGAAAATGAATAAATACATTCACAATCTGTGTAAAATTTTTATTGTCCCATTGGTATGTTTTCTGTAAGTCCTATGAGGAAAGCCTATTTGGGGAAGCATACAAGAAATATTCCAGCAGAAATTTAACATTAACAATTTTAATGATAAAACACTCACTTTTTTACAGCTTCAATCTGTTTGATGTCACAAGGCTAACTCTCCTCTGGCTTTCATTCTTTGGCTGCATTCTTCTCGTTCTACAACTACGGGCTTCTACCTCTACCTCCCCCTACCCCCACCTCCCCTTCGTCACCTCACAGCACAGCTCCTCCATAGAAAGTGCAAAGCCAAAGACCTGCCCCATCTCTCTCTGTTCTTTCTTGGCACCTAGAATCTTCTGTGCACAGTCTGGCCCCAGATGTGAGTCTAAATAATTGTCTAATTTACTATCCATCTGCATTGATAGATCACCTATGTGGAAGGCTATCACCAGGTTTACATAGCACTCACTTGTCCTCTCCTAGGTCTTCTCTGACAACAATTTGTTCACCCACATAGCACCTGTACTTCTCCTTATATTTCCTCTATTGGAACCCTTGTCATATTGCATGTAATTACTGTTACAATCTCTGCCTTCCCTGCTGGACTGCAGTTCCTTGAAGACAGGAAGTGTATCTGCCTTCTTCTTGGAGGTTTCTATTTAATTTAGCACAGTCCCTGATGCAAAGTAGATATTAATTAACCTTCAAAACATAGGGTGATATAACAGTTTAGAGCATGTATCCTGCAGTCAAACTGCCTCCATTTCAGCCAACATGTGATCTTTGGTAAATTACTTAGCACCTTTGTTATACCTAAAGTGGAGATAATAATACTACTTACTTGGCTGAACATGGTGGCTTACGCCTGTAATCTCAGCAATTTGGGAGGCCGGGGTGAGCAGATCACTTGAGGTCAGGAGTTCCAGACTAGCCTGGCCAACATGTCAAAACCCCATCTCTACTAAAAATACAAAAAATTAGCCAGGCACGGTGGCAGGCACCTGTAATACCAGATACTCGGGAGGCTGAGGCACAAGAATCGTTTGAACCCAGGAGGTGGAGGTTGCAGTGAGCAGAAGTCATACCACTGCACTCCAGCCTGGGTGACAGAGCGAGACTCCATTTCAAAAGGATAATAATAATAGTACTTACAGACTTGTGAGGATTCCATAGGTTAGTACATTTAAGAATTTAGAACAGTGCCTGGCACATAGAAAATTTCAGAAAAGGTTAGCAGTTGGTATTGTTATTAGTAGTTAAATGACTGAACAATGGATTAGTGGGATGAGGGAATCAATGGATGAACAAGTTTTAAGTTGATGTTTGACAATAAGTCTCCAGATTTGTATCACTAATATAGTTTGGCATATATATTTTTTTTCCTTTCAAGGAAAAGACATCTAAAATGTCATTAAAACATGATACATTTGTGCTTCACTATCAAGTTTTTCTTGTCAACAATGATAATATGGGGTCTGTCAGAATCAATATTCTGGCATGAATTTTTAAGAGGGAATGGACTAGGATACAGTTTTCCCTTAGTATTTCTGACAGTATCTGGAATACATTCACATCAGAAGGTTCCCCTTCATTGTATGTTGACTTTTTATCTTTTAAAAACTGTCATTCCCTATGGTGCTGGCAAGTAGTAAGGAACTCAATGAACATTTGTGGAAGGAATGAGTAAATAAGAGAGGGCAAACAATTTGATGAATTATTACTGTTCATAAAGTTCACTGCTAGAAAAATACTGGAAAATTGCAACTGGAGAATCAATAGAGATTACCTTGGGCTCTAACTTTTTGGATGTATGAGGTTGAGGAGCTCATTTATATTCTATGAGCTTCCGTTTCTCTTTGATAAAATAAGTATAATTGTATTCATTTTATGGTGGTATGGAGATTAAATGATATTATTAAGTTGAAATACCTGCTACATAGTAGTATCTATAAAAATTTATATTTCATTTTCTCTGATTAGTCATCAGCAAAATCAGGACATATTTTTCAAATGTTTTTCAGTTTCTCATTGTCATGAAGGAATGGTGATAATTACTGAGACACCATAATTATTGGTGAGAAATGTTTTCCATTTCTTTGAGACTGTTTAACTTTTTAAAAAAATCCCAAATGTTTTCCATTTCTTTGAGACTGTTTAACTTTTTAAAAAAATCCCAAGTTAAAAATGTTAGTTTTATGATGGAAAATGAATGTCAGGAACAGAAAAGCATTTTTCAAAATATTAGAGTTTTGGCCAATTGTTGGGATTTGAACTCTTGATTAGTTCATAGATCTACAGATTAAAGAGCGTCTGTGAACCTGATCAAAACTTGGGGCCTTTAGCTTGAAACAGACTGTCACAAGATCAATACAACTACTTCTACAAAGTATATAGGCAAGAGGTAAAAAATGATTCTACTGCATTTGAAATTGTATTTACATTTTGACCTAGTTCCTCTTTAATTCTTACATACAAAAACAATGCTGTTATACATGTACGTCTGTCAGTTGATGATGGCTATCATTGCACATCAATCAGAGGAAGTGATGATATGGGAGAATGGAGATATGGGTTCTAGTTCTTGGCCTATCCTGCTTAGCTGTGCACATCAGTCAAGTCGCAGCCTCCACCTAATGGCCAGTATGAATCCAGGGCAGCCTTTCTCCCCCAAAGTCATGAGGTTTTATACAAGGAATACCCATCTTTTCCTAACATGTTCCAAAAGCTCTTGAGGTAGAGAAGCTCAAACAGGCAAAGGCTATGAAAACAGTGAAAATTTTAAAAATAAGATGGTTGAGTTCATTTGTTGATAACTGTCACAAGGAAGAAGCCATATTCATCAGCTATTAATCTGATTCTAAATTTTCATTTTATTGTTGAGCCTTTTTTTATTTTTAAAAAATTTCAGAGGCAACACAGTGAAATGCAAAAGGCACTAAGTTAGAAATCACAAGGAACGTTTTCTTGCTGAATTCAGCTTTACCATTTTCTTAACATATTTCTTTGGGCAAGTCATTTAGTCTCTCTCTCTTTTATTTTTTGGTAAAAATAAAAATAAATTTCCCATTCTAGGTAATTCATATGTCCTTTCTGATCACCAAATTTAATTTAACTTTACTTTGTCCATAAGGTGCTATTAGCCAGTGCCAGGCACTGTTCCTTTATGTGTAGTTTTATTGCTACATTCAACAAAGAGTGTTTGACATTCATCATTTGCAGAAGGCTATGCTGGATTCTGGACTACTGTTGTAGTAGTTATAATCTGATGAGGGATGGTGTGTAAAATATGCTGATGTGTAAAATACTACGCAAGAAGTGTGACTATATCACAATAGAAATACAGGAGAAAGGATGGTTAATTCTTCCTGGGATGGTGGCAATGTCACCAAAGGCCTCAGAAAGGTGATGACACATAGGCTGAGTCTTGAAGCATAAACAGGATTTTTCTAGATGGGGAAAGATTAGCAAAACAGAGAGCAGACATAAAAATACTTAGAAAAATGTGAAATTGTGAAATATTACTGGTATTATTTATAACACCCTTACAGTGGTCTGCTCTGGACCTTGCAAGCAGCAGTGACTGTAAGTCTATCTTAATTAATCAACTGGTCAGAATGACAAAATAGAAAAGCCAGCTCCTTTGACCATTCATTTTTCCTCTTGGTGGAGTATCCATGTGTGATCACTATTTTGGAACTGGCTATACCAATTGCTTCTCCATTGTTTTTACCAATTGCTTGTACCATTCCCTCATTAATATTTATGAGGCACCTGCTATGTATAGGCATAGGCTATGTGGATAGCCTCTGTGCTGAGTGCTTTGCATATATTATATCATCCTTTTACTTACTATGATCAAGTGATAGATATATTTTTATTGCATTTACAGAAATAAAATTGGGTGCCTTGTGAATTGATGTGACCTCACCGATGACATAGACTTAGTCAGTGGCGGGATTACAAAACTGGTGTGTCTGAGTCCAGTGCTCATGCAGCTTCCATATTTTGCTGATTCCCTAAAATTTGGTGTATAAGGCTATGGCATAACATATTGGGTATATATAAACATATATAATCTGTAGTGAAGTCTGGTAGATTAGATAACCCTTCTGTAGCTGATTGGTCTGCAATGATTTTTCCCATTTGTTTAGAGTCGTCCCATTCACAGAAGTGAGACTCCATTCCCAAGTCTGTTTAATGTGATCATGCCCCCTTGCCAGAAGCTGACTGGCGAAGTAACAGGTTTTTTCCCCTTTGGATGCATATTTTTTTCTGTTTGTTTGACCTGAATCTGGGAACTAGTCAGTCGCTGGTGGAGACACCCACAATATATGACACTTAGAATTTCCTAGAGGCCATTTGCCTCAACCTGGGAAGAAAACCATTCTTTTTTTTAAATACTAGCTTTGTTGAGATGTAATTCGTATGGTATAAAGTTCACCCTTTTAAGGAGTATAATTCAGTGGTTTTACTATATTCAGAGTTGTATAACTTTTATCAGAAATTCCAGAGCATTTTCATCACCCCAAAAGGAAACCCTGTACCCATTAGCAGGCCCTTTCCTTTCCTCCCTCCCCCTAGGCTAGGACAACTACCAATTTACTCTCTGTCTTTGTGATTTGGCCTATTCTAAACATTTTATATAAATTGAATCATATGAGTAAGCCATTCTTTAGTAGAAGTGACTAAAGTTGATATATAGAAAGAAGTACAGAGAAGAAATAAGTATAGATGAATATAGAGACATTTTAAGAAGCATCTGCCTCTCTAATTTCAGTTGCCCCGAAACACACTTGCATTCCTGTCCTTTCTAGAATTTTGTTGTTCAGACTGTCTTTTGACAGTCTGACGAAGATTAACTTGTTTAACTCAGATGTGCTGATAAAGTTGTTTTGTCTATAAGTAATTTGAACATCCTCCCTAGCCATTCATTATTAATCAAGAGTAAAAGCTGTCCAATACAGTGTAAAGTTTAGTCTAATGCAATAATGTGAAACAACAATTTAGCTACTACTCAGATTCTTTTGAAGAAACACGCAAATCCTTGAAAATGTGAATCCTTCTTTGGTTTGGTGGAGAGAGGATGGGCTTTGGAATCAGCTCGTGCCAGATTTAAATCCATGTTCTGTCATTAACCAGGTAATCATCTCGGGCAAGTCATATCATTTATTTGAGGCTCAGTTTCTTTTTCTGATAGTCAGGATAATGCTAAATAGAGCTTTTGGAAAGATTAGTAAGATAATATATGAGAAGAATCTAAGACAGTGCCTATAATCCTATAATAAGCCATAAATGCCATTTCCTTTGGGAGTCTAGGCATATCTGGGGAATGTATGAATGGCAGAGTCTACTAGAAAGTAGTATTTCCCCCTCAGTAGTGTGGAGTTGTTATTTGCAAACTGGTTATGAACTAACCATGAACTCTCTGGTGAAATGTGAATGAAAGTGTATTACCCAGGGCCAGGGTTTAAAAGAAGCGGGTGTATCTTTGTTCTCTCTCTTTCACCTTAACTGGCTCAAAAGTCCTTTGGGATGGCAGAGCTGCAAGACTGTGGGAACTGAGTCCCTGAATTTCTACAAAGAGAAAAACTGCATGCCAAAAGGGAAGAGAAGTGTTGGACTCTCATATGAGTGAGGAATAAATTTTATTGTGTTAGGCCATTGAAATTTGCGATGTATTGATTATAGCAGCTAGCATTACCATAATTAATACAACATTCATTAAGCCCCTATCCTCAGGATCCCATTGAGAGAGCACAAATTATAATGTCCTAGGGTCCATGGCCTTGTTTCTTCATGGAACACCAAATTTTATTCATCTGAATACAATGGCATTTATGTTGTCTTTATGAGAGTGTTTTCAGAAAGATCAATGAAATAAAACTGTAAAATTCATGAGGCTATTCCATGACCCTTGAATTATTTTTTTCTACCTTTATTCAACATTCATTCAACAAATATTTATTCAGCACTTTGGATAAGAGATAAGAAATAGTGAAGTTATATTTAAAAAAATATATAGAAATACCATACTGGGTAATTGGAGGGTAGTGCTCAAGGTAAGTTGTAGATCATAGGTGTATTATAACAGCCCTTTGGAAAAATCCTCTGACTTCAAGATATGTTTGATTATTGTGTCCACCTTTAAGTTTTTAGCTGTTGCTCATCAGATATAATATGTCTAATTTTTAAAAACTTTTTTTCTCCCCAACATCTTAAACCTGTGAAAGTCCATTGCCAGAGGATTTCCAGGCACCACAAGTGATGTAATTGTTGAGGAAACAGAGACTTCCCCCATCAATTGAGTTTTATAGAAAGAGTGAGGCCTTGGAGCCACTAAATCCTAGGTTCAAATCCCATCTTCAACCTTTCTGAGACTCATGTTTCTTCTCTGTAAAATGGGGAAATTAAGGGCTATTTCATAGGGCCTTAGAGAGGATTTTGAGTCATTTACTTATAATGAACATAGCCTAGTTAATGCCCAGTGAATGGTAGGAGGTATGGTATTGCTCCAAGAAGTCCCATTTAATTCACTACTCCAGATTCTCTGGTGACCTCATGACTCACAAGCATTCTTGTGCAATTTGGCTCCTCTCTGTTTTTCAGATAAACAGAGGACTCTCTGACCAAGTCTGACACCAGTATATGGATGTATACACAGATGTGTGCATGACTGCACATACATATACGCATACATGTGCACATATAAACACACATGTGTGTGCACATACAAACAGGTACACATCAGTGCATGGTATGCACTCAGACACATTTTTCTTCTGTCAGGACATTCATGATGAAGGGTTTAATTTCTATGGCCTGAAGGTTCTAAAGATTCTGCTATTTCTGCCTACACATAAAAGTCTCTACTCAGCTTCCTGAAAGATATTTATTTGTTTTCCTGGTACCTGCTTTAGGTTTTTTATTTTTATCGTTTAGTCCCACAGAGGGGCAAAAACTCTGTGTATCAAAGGTCTAGAATATTTAAAAAGTTGTCTTGATCAACACTCTATAAATAAGCTAAATTAGAATCCTTTAAATATGATATGATATTTCCGGGAACTTAAAAGCCCTGGTGTGAATTGAATGTTCCTTGGTTTTCTGTAAAAACACTTGAGCTGGTGAAGTGCTTAATAAACTTTGACCTTTGCTCTGAAAGTATGCGTTTTCCCTGGGTATGCTGTTAGCTTTTTGTACCCATGTTACTGAAAGAGAAAAATAAAGGAGGAGAGGATTTAATGGGAACGTTTGTCTGTACATGGTTCTCAGATGAGAAAGCCCAATCTAAAACATAAAATAGTGGGGACAGCATTCAATCTGCCTCTTCTCTGACTGCCTCTATGCGTGAGTATAACATGAATCTGCATGAATCTGATGCTACTTTCAGATTTAGGAAAGTTAAAAATTCAGTCCACTAAATGTGCACGAGAAAAACCACCCTCCCTTTTCTGGTTTTTATGAGTTCCCACCCCCATTAGAACATTCAACAAAACCAGTTTCAGAGGAAAGAAAAATCATTGCCTAAGGATCAGGGGTAGCATTTATGTAACACTTACTAAGTGAGCATCTATACATTTTGAGCATCTAATTTAACTCCCAATATCATAAAAACACTCTGAGGAAGGTACTATTATTATTATGCATATTAATAGGTA
This sequence comes from Homo sapiens, assembly GCF_000001405.40. Taxonomy (NCBI): domain Eukaryota; kingdom Metazoa; phylum Chordata; class Mammalia; order Primates; family Hominidae; genus Homo; species Homo sapiens. The sequence goes on along the minus strand of NC_000001.11, from coordinate 60,344,722 downwards.
AAGCAACAGAGACACACATTAAATATGTTGTTTAATAGTGGGGTCAAGGCTTGAACCCAGGCAATCTGGCTCTTGACAACTTGGCTTTAATGACCGTGAAAAGCATGTGTCAAGTATCTGTCAAATTATTAGTGAGAGGCTGTATGATACTTGTTAAGAGGATGCATTATGGTGTTAGATACATATAAATTGTAATGCAGGGTCTGCCATGTAGAAATAATTTTGTGTGACCTTGAGCAAATTATCCAAGCTACCTGAAGTTCTTTACCAGTAAAAGATATAGATAATACCATTTATCTGATAGGGTTCCTTATAGATTTAAGGAAGTACAAATGCTAGGCACTCAGTAAATGTTAGCTATTATGATTATTTCTCTGTCACTAGTTTGTGAGCTCCTTAAAGGCAAATTGCCGTCATCACTATTGTACTGTTCGGTGCCCTGCACCATGCATGGCACATAGCAGATAATCAATAGAGTTGGAATGACTGAAGAAAATGATACTTTTGTTTTGAAGGGCATTGACTCGCTTCTGAATGTGTACCTTCTATCCCAAAGGGTCTTCTGTGTTTGTCTTTGAGAATAAGGTCACTGGGATGTAGAAGACCCTAAGTATAGGGACCTTTATGAAAAGATAAGCCCTTTGCTTAAATAGCTCAGGTTATTTTCCTTCCAGGAAGCTCTGTACACTGACACAACATCCCCTTATGGCCAAATCTCATGAAAAGTTGTATGCTGTTTGGTATCACAGAGAGCCATCCTGACAAAAATACACACAGATCGCTCCGGGCTATTTGTTCATTCACCAAGTATTTATTGAATAACTTCTGTGTGTCTGACTCTTGAATACCAGGGGTGGAAAATCAAGCAACATCAGTTCTCACTCCTGAATTACCCTATAACCCAAGTTAAACATGACAAATATATTGTCCCCATGCTCTTCTAAACCATACCCAGGATGAGGTATCACTGGTTGCCTTCTGCTACTCTGCTTGGGCCGAGAAGTTACTAGAATGAAAGTCCTTAGCAGGAGGCTCTCTGATTTGGTCACTGTATAATTCCCAGGACATGGCCATAATACATGTTCAATAAATATTTGTTGGGGAAAGGGATTGAATGCAGCTGGCGCCAATGGTGAATCTTTTTGACTCCTTTGATTTTGGAGAAGTTATCATTTTAATTATATAAATTATCAGTTTAGCCAAGCAAAACTGGTCTTATCTCCTGGATTGTAAGGAAGGTAAATTCTTCCAATGAAGACCTTTATGCAATTGGTTTAGGATGGTTTTATCCCTTTTCCCTCTCCACATGCTCCTTAGGGATACATGTGTTATAGATGACAGGTGGTATGTGCTACTGCCCTTCCTTCACAATTAGTATTTAGGAAAATAATACAGAAAACTGCCTCAATGTGTGACAAATATAAAAGCTACAGATTACGTTAGTCTGGCACTCACAGTCACTGAGTAATCATCAAAGTGACAGAGACTCTACAGCTTCAAATTCTAAAACATTTGTGTATCTTGCTTGCAAATCCAACTTCTGCTGTGGGGCAGCCCTCTACTCTTAAAAAGAAGCTTCAGATTCAACTCTATGATGACCGTTGTCTTGTTCCTAATTTCAGTGGTTCTTCCTTCCAGATGGGATACAACCTCATTGCATTCTAGATATTTTCATCTCCTCTCACCCCAATCAACCTACCCTCATAACTGTGGAATGCTGTGGCCTATCTCTGTGACTTAAATGGGGAAGGTTACTTTTGATCTCAGTTCTTTTAGAAAATTCTCTTACCCATCAATCTAGGGAACTAAACAATGCAAATGCCTCTGAAAGTTGTTAGCCTCTTTGATGCACCAACAGTGGTTCACTACTTACTCCTGCTCACTCCTCACCACACCCAGCATCAGGCAACTAAAGTTCTAAAGGCTTGATATTTTATTGCTCTTTGTATTTGTATTTATGAGTCAGAGTGACTGCCTATGAAAATATGTAGCTTGTTAATAAATAAATGAAAGGATAAATGAAAGGTGATTAAACCACATGGATGAGACTAGAGATACTACACTTCTCATATTTATATTCACAGGTGAAACAGAAAAGTGGCTTAGTCAGTGCTCTTCCTTCAGGTCCTCAGCTTGTATCATCCATGAAGACGTGGCCAGTGTTCCACTACTGGAAGCCCTTTCTCAGCCCTGGATGACTGAAAATCCCTCCCAAGCCAAAGGAGCCCCGACTGTAGCAGATCAAAAGAGAGAAGAGAGAACATAGTACCAAGAAGACATACACCTCATGGTGGACGGTATGTTCAGCCTCCCAGACTGCACTTCAGTACAGAAAGACTTCCTCCAAATACTGTCAACCTCTCTTGGCTGAAGACAGCTGCCTTGACGAGGGTTTTGCTTCTTCCCAGTGCCAGCCTGCATCCAACGAGTAGTTGATGGGGACAGGGTATATCGCCCCTGCTCAAAAGGGCCATTCAATGTCAGAGTTCCCCAAAGTTGATTACAAACTGAACTTCTCCTCTAGCTAATCTGGTTTTCTTCCATTTCTGTACAGGTATTGATCCCAAGTAGTTCTAATGCCTTCCTGCACCTGCTCCCTTTCCCAGAGACTGCTTTCTAGGTAATCCAGTTTACAATAGATTTCTTCATTCTTTTCACTGGTGATCTTAAAATCTTGATATAGGAAACAGCTTCATCCCACTGGTCCCATTGTGTTCATGACTGTTTCACCAGAGGAAGGGTGCTAGGCTAGGTAGGTAATACTCACAATGTAGACTGTTGAAAAAAATGAAATGGTAGTGAAAAAACAGAGACACAAAAGGCTTTAAAATCATGTAGACAAAGGGTACTTCCTACTGGTGCTATGTGGTCTTGAGCAAAGTACTAAGCCTCTCTGGGCCTATCTTACATACTTCATAAGGTTGTTGTGATAATTATACAAGATCATGCAAAATGAGAGCCTAGGGCAGTAAAAGGCAAAATTATTGGTAATTTCTACTAGTAACCATTGTTTGTGTGATTCATCTTTTACATTAAATGTAGCCAGAATAAGACGATGTACTTAAAGTGTGTACTATTTTTCTAATTATCTGCTGGAATGTGATGTCAGTTTAATGAGTTTTAATTAAACTGCAGTGGAATTACAGGAGGGTCAGAGAATTGAATTCTAATCAGCCAGAGCACATAGTTTCAATCAGTGTATGTCTATGACCTGGAATTTCCTGTGCTCTTATCTCAGATGCTTCAACTGGCCAGAGTTGATTTCCTTTGCTTCCAGCCCCTTGCACTAAGACTTAGTTATCTTAGACAGTATCCTTGCAGCAGTAGGGTAAGGGACATTGTAGTAGAATGGGAAAATCCCAGACTTCTCAGTTATAAAAATATGGTTTCAAATTCTGCCTCTGTTACCAGCTATACAGATTTGGAAAGTCATGTAACATCACTGAGCATCAATTTCTAATCTCTAAAGAGTGGAGGATCTCCTTGGCTTTGGTCCTTAGCCCTTCAGATTCCTGTTCCAGTCTCTTCCTGGAATGATTTTCTAAAGTATAGATTAGACCATGTTTTTTTCTTTGTTAAAACTCTTCAAAGACTGGCTGTATCAGTATTAGTTGTTGGTGGTGATTGTGGGGGATGTTGAAAATACAGGTTCTCTGTCCCATCTCAGACTTAGTAAATCATAATCTCCTAGAATGAGGCCAGTTATCTATAATTTCATTCAGCTGCCCTGTGAAACCAAGTTTGCAATTATTACTGTTACCTCTGCATGGTCTGACCCCAGCCTACTGTCAGCATTATCTCACCTCCTTCAGGTCACTGGCTATCTGTGGCCAAACCAACGGCTGACAGCTTTTGATACAGTATATTCCTGTCCTTGCTGGTGCAGCTTCCTCTGCTGGAATGACTTTTGTATCTCACTTTTCTACTTGGTAATCCCTTACACATTTTACAAGACTTCACAGAAGAGATCTTCCGTGAGGATTTTCCTGCCCCACATCCAGGAAGAATTGATTATGTACTCTTTACAGGCTCCCCAATAGGCTACACAGAATCTGAAAATTAAGTGCATAACTCCCTAATATAAACATTTCACTTCTTGCTTGTGAACCTGTAAATGGCTGGATATAAGTAGTATTATTTGTCTTTATATCATCAGACCCTGCACATAGCATATGGCCAAGAAAATCCTGATGAAGAAATACAGTCCACCTTTTGAAATTATGAACCCTCTTATAGAGATGTGTAACTGTGATGATTGAGGGCACAGAGCCACAAGTTGTAAAAGATCCCTTTGCCTTTGTTATGGTAAGAAACAAATCAGTCACTCTCTTTGGATCATTAAACTTGGCCCATTTCATCTGGGGCTTTGGACAAGCTGTTTCTATTGAATGCTGCCTTCTCCTCTTCAGGGAAATTAGCAGTTTCAGTCTGCAGCTGTGGCATTAATACAGGTGCTGACATATCAGGATGCTCAAAGAGCAAAAGTTTTTTGCGTGGGAAGGTTACCAAAGCTTTTCATTTTAATCCAACCCACAGGCACAGGGATGATCTAAATGGCACACTATTTTATCCATCTGCGATTGCCCAGGGAAGTGTGCTGTATTTTATGGACAATCTCTTGGCAGGAGATATATCATCCAGTGGTTTTTCTACCTGCTGTCTGAATCACAGTTAAAGGTCAGATATATTATGGCTCACCTGCCAATGCTAACTACCTTTCATAAAATTATGGTCCTGCTGAATGGATGAATGTCCCTTAGTACACACTTTCCGTCAGAGTTTTGGAGGTAACGGTTACTGATGCCAGTTGGTTCTTGGCAACAGCAATAAACTTCAAGCCATAGACAATGAGAACCCTTGGACCTTCTGATGTGTGGCTCATGCCTTAAGATCTTTACAGAGAATACAAATGGTGATGCTAAATCAGACTGAACTTTCTCCTACTCTCCTTAAGCCTCTTTTTCTCTCCAGTGTCATTTTCCACTGCTATAAAAAAGTTAAGGTCTGTCAAACAGATATTTATTCTTTGCTGAGTCAGAAACTCACTCTATAGCTACATAATTTTTACTCTTTTTCCATGTAGGAACAGTGATTTTGGACTCTAGTTGGGTGATGAATTCTGCTGAGACATCCTCATATGAAGAGGGTACATGCAAATTAAAATTGAAGTATAAACTTGGGTATTACTTGGGGAATGAGGTACATAGGTTCACAGCCCAGCAACTGTCACATTTCTATAGTTCTTGACCTCTTATTAATTTTTACCATGTGTATTCTGAAAGTGATGCAGTAGAATGTTGCCAGTGTGTACTCTAAGCTAATCAGAACTGGGTTGAAGTCCTACCATTGCCACTATAAATGCATGGCCTTGAGTGAGTTATTCTATGTTCCTGAGAGACAATGGTGGCAAAGTACCATATAGAGCATATAGTAAGCACTGAGTAAATATTAGTTGTTTTTAATCATTTTATCAATGCCTACCTTCTTTTATGGTTATTAGTAATATATTAATCCTTAATATATGTCTCTGCCTCAACATTATAACAAGACAAGAGCTCTATACTGATCATTTCACCTACAGTTCTCCAAAAGTATGCATATTGGAATTTTGATTATATTACTATACATAAAAATTTTTATTACACTTTAATATAACTCTAGTATTTTTTCTAGAAATACAAGTTTCCTGGAAGTGACTTATCCAGATGTGTTATATGAAAATGCATATATAATAATAATTTTCTACTAGGAAGACTTTGTGTTGCACCTAACCTATAGCAAGATCCAGGAAAGATCAAAAACGTGAGTTTGGGTTACACTGCGACTAAAAGCATGGTGGCCACACCTTGGCTCCTTTAATTACATTCTGTATAAGTTTGGGCCAATGAACCTCTCTAAGTTTCAGTTTCCCTTTTCACAAAATGAGAACAATAAAATGTACCTACTTCTTAGATATTTTGTGAGAATAGTTTAAGAAAAACACAGGTGAAACACTTAGAATAGTGTCTGGCACATAGTAATTAATGAATACATGCTCACATCCAAATAGTAGACTTGACCTGTCTGAAATCTAGTACCTAAAGACATAGACAAAATAGGAACAAAAACAATTAAAGCCTTCTTAGCAATAAGTGGAAATCTATAGGAAATATTCGCTATTATTTTCTGGTGTCATTTCAAAGAACTTTCAGATTCACCAGTGTTTTGGGGAAATAGCATTTGAAAGATGTGCAACAAAGTGTATGTGGAGTACAAAATATGACCTATTTGAAATATTTTTTCATTTACAGGCTTCCTAATAGTGACCCTCCAGGGAGAAAGTGAGGCAGCACAGCTCAGTGTTGTGGTGATCTGATCCTTATCCTTCCACAGCCATTGCTGACTGATAAAGAAATGAAAACTGAAATGTGGTAACTGACAGGAAGGATTTCTCAGGCATATGTTAAAAAGTCGCTGAGTGACATAACCAGGTAGTGACATTGAAAGTGAGCACTCCAAGGTTTTTAATTTAGTGGGACTAATGATCAAGTCCCAGACTACCCTTTAGTACTTCTTTGGCTTAGCATAGCAGAACACAAGGCTTGAAAGTGCTAATGAATTAATAGATGAATGAGTAAATAAGATGTGGAGATATTCAACAAAAGCTACTTTTATCATATGCTTTGCAGAGGACAAGAGCTCAAGAAATAGTTAATTCATTAATTAGTTAATTAATTGGGAGATAGGGGCAGGTGACTCATGAACCCCAATGACTCAGGGATAATTGTAATTTTCCTTCAATATTTAAAAGCATTTCTCAAATAACCTTTGCTTTTTTACTAAATAATTTTGAGATTTTTCCAAATATTTACTGGCAAAAAAAGTCAGCACCTTTTCTATGACTTGGCCATTCCTATAATGTGCAGGGAGAAGGGCAGGCTAATTTTTGAGATGGAATGTGAGATGTTCCCTGTGGGAGACTGAATCACCCCATAGTTCTTGATTCTTAGTGATTGATGTAAAAATCTATTTGAAGTTGAAAAACTATATAGTTATGTTTCAGCTCTCACTCTTACCAGTAGTCACAACAATATCTCTATTTTTTTTTTTTTGCATGTAGTCCTTTAAGAAAAGTATCTCTATCTAAAATAGACCAATAGTATTTTGACTCATTGTTCTGTCTCTTTTTAGCTTCAGATTTTTAAAGGTTGGGGCATTGGGGCTTCTTAGTACAGACCTTAGGGTTTTTTTTTTTTTTTTTTTTTAGACGGAGTCTCACTCTGTTGCCCAGGATGCAGTGCAATGGCATGATCTTTCCTCACTGCAACCTCTGCCTCCCAGATTCAAGTGATTCTCCTGCCTCAGCCTCCCAAATAGCTGGGATTACAGGCACCCGCCACCACACCCAGCTAATTTTGTGTCTTTTTAGTAGAGACAGGGTTTCACCATGTTGGGCAGGCTGGTCTCAAACTCCTGACCTCAGGTGATCCACCCGCCTTAGCCTCCCAAAGTGCTAGGATTACAGATGTGAGCCACCGCGCCCAGCCCCTTAGGTTATTTTTAAGACATGGCATTCTTTTAGCTATTAGAAAGGGTCAGAACCTTTTGTGCTATCTTCAAGCATCTGTGGGAATATTGGCTATCATATCTGAAAGTGAAGTTCACATGCCTAGCAAGGGTTTATTTATTTGTCTAATTAACACATTGAAAATGATTACTGGAATGAGGCATAAAACTACAATACAGGCCATCCCAGGAATGGTAACTCCCAAAGAAGCATACTTTCTTTTAAGTCCAGTCATTTTAGCCATGAAACTTCAAGGGTATAATTGCGTTTTTATATAATAGGTAGGAATGTTTTCTAAGAGAATATTATTAAACAAAGATTACTGAAACTTTGAATTGGTTTCTGCTATTGGAGTTTGATATGTACTTTGATTCACTTAGGTTTTCCCACCCTTATTAAGAAAGTCCTATTGGCTAACTTTTTAATATCAAGAATGCATTATGCTGCATTATAAAGGTCCACATGCTTTTTAAGAGTTAGCTAAATACAGGATGTTATGACTCTTTCATCCCATAGGCATCTAGAGTTGCACTGTCCAATGTGGTAGACCCTAGCCAAATGTGGCTATTTAAATTTAAACTTAATTTAGTTAAAAGTAAGCAAAATTGGCCAGGCACAGTGGCTCACACCTGTAATCCCAGCACTTTGGGAGGCCGAGGCTGGTAGATCACGAGGTCAGGTGATCGAGACCATCCTGGCTAACATGGTGAAACCCTGTCTCTACTAAAAATACAAAGAAAAATTAGCGGGTATCATGGCGGGCACCTGTAGTCCCAGCTACTCGGGAGGCTGAGGCAGGAGAATGGCATGAACCTGGGAGGCGGAGCTTGCAGTGAGCCGAGATTGTGCCATTGCACTCCAGCCTGGGTGACAGAGGGAGACTCCGTCTCAAAAAACAAACAAAAAAAAAGTGAGCAAAATTATAAATTCAGTTTCTCAATCACAGTAGTCACATTTCAAGCACTCTAGAGGTGTAAATGGCTACGGTATTGGATGTCATAGTTTCCATCAGCATTGAATATTCCATTGAACAGCACTAATCTAGGGTGACCAACAAAGGTATCTCAAATATAAGAGACTTAATGGAGATCTGCAGCGTAAGTCACATGATGGTGCACTCATCACCATTAGCTCAGGAAATTGGAAGAAAATGTATTTATCCTGAATGACATAGAGTTTTCCATAGTCAATTACTTGCACGTCGCTATTTTTGTCCCCTGTGCTACTCCCATTTCTTCAATTAACTTTTTGTTTCTCAAATATTTCTTTAAGAATGGTGGCACACTGTCTGGTAGGGGGTAAGGAGAGAAAGGAAAAAGGATTAGAGGGCACACTGATGTCTAAGCAATAAAACCCTGGTATTTTGGGTTGAGAAGTTCTCACATTGTAAGAAGTTCTAAAGTTTCATTTTAGAAAAAAAGGACTCTTTACAGCATTTATTTCTGCTTTTTCTGGCAAACCTTAACTTCCTGGTTCAAAGAAAAGACGTGTATAAATGAGACCCACAAGGCTTCTTTGACATCAAATCTCTCTTACAGCAGAACATTTTGATAAGTTAAGTGTAAATGAACCAGAAACATATGGATTAAATTTCCCCATGATAGTAAGAGGTTAGAAAAATTGTGGGGGGAATGTACCTGGGAAAATGCATTTGGGGGCTTGCTGGGCCCTTGATGCTTAAAAATCAGAGCATATTATTTTGCTGGAAGCAAAATGTAAAGTAGAACCAGTCACCTCAGTTCTGTTCCTTTTGCAAAGCTTCTGAGGAAAATTAGAAATGACAGTTGCATTTCCCTTTTAGCTGATAGGACTGTGATGATGTAGGTTGAGAGGGAGCTGGTGCCCATACCTGGCACAGCGGTGGGAAAAACGGAGTGTGGAGTGGGGTAGAGTGGAGTGGGGTGCTCCCTTCCTGTGCCAGTGCACAAGAGTCAGCTGATAAGGTGGGGTGGCTACTGAGAAGAAGCAATGTTTTGTGAAAAGCAGTCCTCTTTGTACTTGGATACACCAACAGGGTCTTTCTGCCTTCTTGGGTGCACTTGAAAGGTTTTAAACTAGGGAAGTGACATGATCATATCACTCAGTGGCCCTGGGGAGCGTGGCTACAGAAAGACTTAAGTAAAGGAAAACAAGTCAGGAATGTTAGGCAAGAGATCATGGGGTCCAAAATTTAGGGGAAAATAGAAAGCATTTAGATAAAAAAGAATGTTAGGGCTCTGTGATCCACTTGATATGGAAGATGAAATAAAAACCTAAGGCAAGAATTAAGGAATCTGCTCCAACTCCCACAACTTTTTTCACATCCAGCTCTTTTCACTCCAAAGTTTCTGACATATAAATCAAACAAGCAATTCGTTCCTTCACTCATTCATTTGATTATTGGTAAGTATTTTTACCAAGTACATCCTATGTGCCAGACAGTGTGAGGTGTTTGAGATGATGATGCTCAGCTTTGGGCTGATTATGATTGTTGCAGGAAGATCAGCTCACTAGTATCTTACGATATTGTTATCCAAAATCATTCGTGGAGACAGACCAGATAATTGGTAAAACTTAAACCATTCACATTTCAGCTAGACTCATTCAGAACTTTTGCTGTTATAGTTTGGCTGAAGGTCTGAAAATGAAGCTGCTTGCTTTTCAAAATCAGTTTGTCTATCTCTAATGAGCCCTTGGTTAGAGTCACTTGTCAGGCAGTGATATCCTGCGTTAGAGGAAATTGCCATGTTAATACTTATAGTCCCTTATAATCACTTTCTCCATGCAAGATCTTAGACCCCAATGCACCAAGTCAAGCCATTGCCCCAAAGAAGCAACCCATTTTTTCAAAAAGGCAACACATCCCCTTATGTTGTCAACAGAAGTTACAACACTTCCACCCAAAGCTGGCCTTGGCCAAGAAGAAAAGCATCTATGTTTTCCTTTTGATTCAAGATCATACAGTTTGATGAGATCTCCTTTAATTAAAACTTGTTTAAAACAAGGGCTAGAGGGATGAAAGGAGGAAATGTTAGGATGATCTTCAGAATTTATTGCACTGACCCTTGTACTAACACCATGAGAAGTGATAGAGCTGGAATTTAAACTATCTACTTTTCAAACCCTTGTTCTTTCCACACCACCACAATTTGTCGATTTGAGGATATATAAGCTGAATTAATCAAGTTATTCACCTCTCCTCCAAATTGTCTTGACCAACAGGTGCTACAGTGAGAGTGGCAGAGAACAGACAGTCTGCAGACCAAGAAGTTAAAAAAAAAAAACAGTTGGCAAGTCACTCCTGAAAGCTAAAGACTTCTTTACTCTGCTACAGTATTTCTCACACAGGTGAAGCTTAGACATAAAAGACATGAAAGTCTCCTAATATATAATATATTGGCTGAAAATGTGATGATGTGGAGATTCTTGTATTCTTGACTGTGACTCTCTATGTGTTCCATGTTTTGTGAAAGATTGTTACTTTTGTGTCATTGTCAACTATCAATCGCTGTGTTCATGTATTGGGTTCATGTTACCCACCTATCTTCTGTGAGGAGAATAAACTATGTTTTTTTAATTTATAAAAAAGGAATGCAGCTGCCCTCTTGGTACCCAAGTTCTTGTCCAGCATCTAGGAAGAATCAGGTCACAGGAATGAATGGAAGGGTGGTGAATGTGGAGGATTTTATTGAGCAGTGGAAGTGGCTCTCAGTGGGGTGGGGAGCTAGAAAGGGGCTGGAGTGGGAAGATGATCTTTACCTGGAGTTTGGCCATCCTTAGCCAAACTGTTCTCCAAAGTCCTGCTATCAAGCCGTCCCTCTGAAGTCAAGCTGCTTCTCTCTGATGTCCAGTTGCTTCTTCTCTTCTCTCCTTCTCTGTTGCTCTGCTCTGCCACTCAGCTGCTCTGCTTCTCTGCCACCCCTCTGCCAGGGGAGACTGGGGTTCTTATGGGTACAGGATTGGGGGGGCGGGTGGGCCAAAAACAACATTTGAGCAGGAAAATAGTAATGCATGTTCTCACTTTGGGCCACAGTCCCAGGCTTCAGGGTGTGGCCCTCACTGGGGACTGCCCTTTTCTAGTCAGTATTTCCATGCCTCCTGTCCATATCACTAATATTTTGGGGATTTATTCAAAATGCATGGATAGGAGACCCTCTTTAACTATTACAGGTTAATACAAATGCTCTCTTGGCAGGTTTAGGTGAGAGAAATGCCTTATTTTCTACTGTCTTGGAGATCTCAAGATCATCATGCAGACTTCAGAGATAAAAAGAAAAGAGGCTACTCTAGTGTGAAATCTTATATTTACATTCCTCATCACTCACTGAGAACCTTAGCAAATATGATTTAACACGTAATATTTATCTGAATATTTCTCCATCTCAGGAGATTAGAAGTAGCAAGCTATGTGAGAAAAGGGAAAGGAAGAAGTGATAAGCAGATTAGGGAAAGTTTGAGAAAACCTATTAAGGAAGATGAAGAGAGTGAGTTAACGTGATATTTGCAATATGTATCACTTATAAACAATAACTACTGCTTGATTAATTAAAAACATATAAACCAAAAAAAGGAATGCTAATGAACATTAAAGATATATTTACACTGATAAGATCTCGCTATTTTCTCTTTTCTAAAACTTCCAAAGACTAGCCATTGTTTCATAAACAAAAAATGTAAGTACCTTAGAGAGACACAGCTCCTCAGGACTAGCCCATATAATAGAGATAAAGCAGGGCCCAGTACTTAAGAGCAAGCTGTGAAAATAGCCCCAGTTTGAGCCTAGGCGCTACCAGTTTCCTACTGAGTAAACTTGGCCAAGTCACAGGATCTTTCTGCATCTCAGTTTCCTCATCTGTATAATGGGAAAAGTAATAGTACTATGACATAAAGTTATGTGAAGATTAAATGATTTATTATACTTAAGGTCTTAGACCAGTGTTGGGTGCATAGTTAATATTCAAATGTCAGCTACTACTCTTTCCTCTCCTGTAAGAACTCCCAGCTGCCTCATCTACTACTCTATGTGTGAGCCCGAACTGCTTTTCATCAGTGCTAGTCTGTACTTATCATTTCTTTCTGACACACATGTATTATTTTAAAACTCAGTAAAAATATAGACTTTTCTAAAAAGGCTTTATTTGATTAAATCTTCATCTCTATAATGGAAACTTTATCTGCATTTTTTGAATCTTATGTCTTTTCTATATTTTTCACATTTTTTTACAGTATAAAGAAACCCTTCTAATACATTTCTTGCTCAACTACTATTGTTTCTGCTATTACTAACTCCTGCTGCTGCTTGCTGCTGGCTACCATTTCTTGGGAGCTTACTCTGTCAGGCACTGTGCCAAGTGCTTCATATGCATTATCCACTTTAAATCTTATAAAAACTTCAGGAGGTTAGTACTATTCATTCATTTAAATCATGTTTATTCAGGGCTTACTTTGTGCATGTCAATGTTCTGGACACCGAGGATATATTAATACTAGTGAGCAAAACAAAGTTCCTATCTTTGTAGAAACTTCATTCTGTTGCTCCCATTTTAAGAAGGTATCTGAGTCTTGCGCAGTTCACAGAGTGAAAGAGGTATTAGCCAGGCCCAAGGCTATTGATTCTAGGTCCCATACACAGCCACCCTTTCAAGGTGTCATTGTGAAATTTTAGTTTTCTTTCCGTTTCTATTTTCTCCTTTTCCTTCCCAACATCTTCCATTTCCTGTTTGGAGATCCATAGGGTTCCAAGGAAATTGATTCTATCTTAGCTCCAGGGATGGAGAATGTGACCTAGTCTAAGGGAAAATACCCCATGACTTTAACTCTGCAGACCACAGGGACTGGTTCAGGGGTACAAATGTGACCCAAGCTGGTCAGTGAATCCACTTTCCTTGGATTGAGGGACAAAAGTACTCTTTCTTCCGGTGGATAGCGTAACGTTTGTATATGAAGCCTGAAACTTCTATAGTCAATTTTGCCTCTATGAGAGAAGCCAGTGTGAAAATCAAGTCAATTCATGGAGGAAGGCAAAACCAAGAGAATTTCAGAGAAAAGAAATTAGAGCTCTAATGACATTATGAACTTCTCGTTCAAACTATGCCTAAAGCTCCTGTATTTCTGTACTTGTAAGAATCACAAGGCAATAAACTCCTTTTATTTTTAACCAGTTTTATTTTAGATGCCTGTGTTTTAACTGTTGTTTTTCTTTGTAACTGAAAACATCTTAAATGATAGACAAAACAAAGGTCAGTGCCTGTTCTTCCTCTTGGCTCCACTCATTACTTTCATCTCTCCTTCATCTCATCTTTACTTATCTTTTTTTACTCCACTTTCTTCTATTCTCTTTCCTACTTCCCCACCCTTCCATTCTCCCAAAATTCATATGGCTTCTATCAACACTACTTGTAGGCACATTAACAGATGTAATAATGAACTCACAAAATATTTATTTCATAAAAAAAATACATAGGGCCAGAAGGGACTTTGAGAGATAATGTGTTCCAGCTCCTTCCTTCACGTAGGTAAGCTATTATTAGTCTCACAAGGCAGATGAAGCCCAGAAATATTAAACAACTTGTTCAAGCTGGTTAACAACAGACTGGGAAATCAACCCTAAATCAGAGGGTCAGAGAATCATGGCATTCAAAATCTCTAAGTATCTCAGAGAGTCTCTGGGTTCAACCCACTCATTTTATACTTTGGGAAACTGAGTATTGATGAGGTTTAGTGACATGCTTAAATTCACATTGCAAATCTGAGGTAGATCTAGGACAAACATAAACTTTCTGAAGCCCTCTCCAGTGTTATTTCCACTACATTAAACTGGTTCTGCCTTTTAAAGTCATTTTTAAAATATGTTGGGTAATTATTGAAATTAATCTGCCATACTTGAGGAGATTCAGTGCTTTATCCAAATGGCTTGTTAAATCCCCTCTATTGCCTTGATCTCTGTTGGAGGCAGATTCATTCATAACACATGACCCAAGCACTCAGAAACAACTTTAACCATAAATCCATAATACTCTTTTACCCTTTGTTGAAATCAGTTACTTTACTCAAAAAGTGTTCTTAATTAATTTTTAATACACAATTTTCTTCCTTTCTTAAAATTAACTCCAGTGTTTGTGGTGGAGCAGGGGTTTGTGTAGTAAAAGCTGACTTCCCACCACCACCGCACTGACATGAAACAGTCTGGATTTTTGTTATAAAAAAACTTCCCCAAGTAAAAAACAATGACTTAGGGGAATTTTCTATCATTACAGCTGTTGAAACCTTTTTTCCATTTCTTTTAGCTTTAGTGCCCAGAAACAATATAATCTCATGACTCCCAAACAAGTAAGAGTTTTTCCAGCCCAGTGGACTAGGCCTGATGCCACCAAATTGCTGAAGCTCCCTTCTTAACTGTTTACACAATTCCTCCAGGTTCAAACATAACTGTTCTTCTCTCCATTCTCCCTTCATCTGCAACTAACACCACTGCGGATCAAAAGCTCTTATTCAGTTTCCCTTCCAAGTCCACAACTCTCAATTTTCTGAGTGGAGAGCTGGGAGTGGGAGGGAGACTCCATTCCTCACTAGTCTTCTTAAGCATTCTTCACACTTGATTATCTTCTCTAATGAAATAGGTTCTAATACACACAATTGTATCTGCCAGGACTTTTATGTTATGACTGCATACCAATAAACTCCAACTTCTCACTTGAATAAAGCAAGCAAGGTTTTTGTTTCATTTTGTTTTCCTCTCATTCATGTTGCATATGCAATGTCATCATCTGGAGATGCCCCTGTGTGTCCTCATTGTATGTGTTCACTACACAGACTGAAAAAGAAACTTGATGTTGCTGTGGCAGAGGGAAAAGAGCATTCTGGAAGGTCTAACTTCAGCTGATACTCCAGCCCAAAAGTAATACATACATCACTTGTGTTCAAATTCATCGGTCAAATAAATTCAAATTATCATCCCTAATTACAACCAGAGTATGAGAGAGAGAAAGCCACAATATGTGTGTGTGGCCCTAAAGAACCAAAGACTACCATATGACATTTAAATGACAATGTTTTTTGAAAAAATATGAATTGACTAAGGAAGGCAGAGAAGGAGGAAGAGGAGAAGGAAGGTGAGTGAACTTTAAGAATTTTCTTATGGTGCTTAAATACTGTTTTTCTACGCCTAGACCCTTGAATTGCAGCCATATGACATTGACAGAGGCAGAGCCAAATATCAGTCTCACAACTAGAATATGGACTCTTGTTTTTACTGGGAGATGGAGAGGGTTTGGGAGCCCACAGGGTAACTTTCAAACATCGTTAAGTTGCCAATAAGAAAAATTATGATCTGGGTCCTATTTACCTCGTTTTTTTTTTTTTTTCTGTTCACTGCTACACTCTGTCCAAATGAAGATTCTTGAGTCCCTTTTACTTTATTAGTGTTATATTTTGTTATTATTATTTAAAATTTTCCCTGATCATTTTCTTAAGTAAACATTTAAAAAAACTTATCAACTGAATGATTACCTTAGATCAGCCTTCTGTAAATAAAGTTGTTCTTTTTAACTTAATGCTGTTTTGTTTCATAAATTTGCATTCAATAAAGTACTTTAGAACTGTCTAGATTATTTTCAATCTATCATACTTACCAAAAAAACATGTTTGGAATGTAATTATTTTTATATGAAAAAGACCTAAAGATTATAGATAAAACCCAATACTTTTCCATCACTAATAAATGGGACAATCTTAAAAAAGCTCTTTCTGTCATTTTCTTGTGTTAATATAGGCCTCTTAATCTTTGGAGATCTGTTAAAATTAAAAACAGTTGTGCAAATCATAGCCTCAGGGACAAATCAGAAGTAGGCTTGACAAGGTGGTTAATAACAAACTCCTCCGAGCTAAAGGAGCATGTTTTAACCCAATGCAAGGAAGCTAGGAACATTGAAAAAAGGCTAGAAGAATTGCTAACTAGAATAACCAGTTTAGAGAAGAACATAAATGACCTGATGGAGTTGAAAAACACAGCATGAGAACTTTGTGAAGCATACACAAGTATCAATAGCTGAATCAATCAAGCAGAAGAAAGGATATCAGAGATTGAAGATCAACTTAATGAAATAAAGCGTGAAGAAGGTTAGAGAAAAAAAGAATGAAAAGGAATGAACAAAGCCTCCAAGAAATATACGACTATGTGAAAAGACCAAATCTACATTTGATTGGTGTACCTGAAAGTGAAGGGGAGAATAGAACCAAGTTGGACAACACTTTTCAGGATATTACCCAAAAGAACTTCCCCAACCTAGCAAGACAGGCCAACATTTAAATTCAAGAACTATAGAGAACACCACAAAGATACTCCTTGAGAAGAGCAACTCCAGGACACATAATTGTCAGATTCACCAAGGTTGAAACGAAGGAAAAAATGTTAAGGGCAGCCAGAGAGAAAGGTCAGGTTACCCACAAAGGGAAGCCCATCAGACTAACAGAAGATCTTTCTCAGGAACCCTGCAAGCCAGAAGAGAGTGGGGGCCAATGTTCAACATTCTGAAAGAAAAGAATTTTCAACCCAGAATTTCATATCCAGTCAAACTAAGCTTCAAAAGCAAAGGAGAAATAAAATCCTTTAAAGACAAGCAAATGCTGGGAGATTTTGTCACCACCAGGCCCGCCTTACAAGAGCTCCTGAAGGAAGCATTCAATGTGGAAAGGAAAAACCAGTACCAGCCACTGCAAAAACATACCAAATTGTAAAGACCATCGACACTATGAAGAAACTGCATCAACTAACAGGCAAAAGAACCAGCTAGCATCATAATGACAGGATCAAATTCACACGTAACAATATTGATCTTAAATGTAAATAGGCTAAATGCCCCAATTAAAAGACACAGACTGGCAAATTGGATAGAGTCAAGACCCATCAGTGTGCTATATTCAGGAGACTCATCTGATGTGAAAGGACACACATAGGCTCAAAATAAAGGGATGGAGGAATATTTACCCAGCAAATGGAAGCAAAAAAAAGCACGGGTTGCAATCCTAATCTCTGATAAAACAGACTTTAAATCAACAAAGATCAAAAAAGACAAAGAAGGGCATTACATAATGGTAAAGGGATCAATGCAACAAGAAGAGCTAACTATCCTAAACATATATGCACCTAATACAGGAGCACCCAGATTCATAAAGCAAGTATTTAGCGACCTTGAAAGAGACTTAGACTCCCACACAATAATAGTGGTAGACTTTAACACCCCACTGTCAATATAAGACAAATCAACAAGACAGAAAATTAACAAGGATATTCAAGTCTTGAACTAAGCTCTGGACCAAGTGGACCTAATAGACATCTACAGAACTCTTCACCCCAAATCAACGGAATATACATTCTTCTTGGCACCACATTGCACTTAATCTAAAATTGACCACATAATTCAAAGTAAAACACTCCTCAGCAAATGCAAAAGAATGGAAATCATAACAAACGGTCTCTCAGAGCACAGTGCAATCAAATTAGAACTCAGGATTAAGAAACTCACTCAAAACCACACAACTACATGGAAATGGAACATCCTGCTCCTGAATGACTACTGGGTAAATAACAAAATTAAGGCAGAAATAAATAAGTTCTTTGAAACCAATAAGAACAAAGACACAACGTACCAGAATCTCTGGGACACAGCTAAAGCAGTATCGAGAGGGAAATTTATAGCACTAAATGCCCACAGGAGAAAGCAGGAAAGATCTAAAATCGACACCCTAACATCACAATGAAAAGAATTAGAGAAGCAAGAGCAAACAAATTCAAAAGCTAGCAGAAGACAAGAAATAACTAATATCTAAGCAGAACTGATGGAGATAGAGACATGAAAAGCCCTTCAAAAAATTAGTGAATCCCAGAGCTGTTTTTTTTTTGAAAAGACTAACAAAATAGATAGACCACTAGCCAGAAAATAAAGAATAAAAGAGAGAAGAATCAATTGGACACAATAAAAAACAATAACGGGGATATCATCACTGATCCCAGAGAAATACAGACCACCATCACTTTGTGAATATTGTAAACACCTCTATGCAAATCAACTAGAAAATCTAGAAGAAATGGATAAATTCCTGGACACATACACCCTCCCAAGACTAAACCAGGAAGAAGTCAAATCCCTGAATAGACCAAAAACAAGTTCTGAAATTGAGGCAGTAATTAATAGCCTACCAACCAAAAAAAGACCCAGGAACAAATGGATTCACAGCCGAATTTTACCAGAGGTACAAAGAGGAGCTGGTACCAATCCTTCTGAAACTATTCCAAGCAGTAGAAAAAGAGGTAATCCTCCCTAACTCATTTTATGAGGCCAGAATCATCCTGATACCCAAACCTGTCAGAGACACAGTAAAAAAAGAAAATTTCAGGCCAATATCCCTGATAAATATCGATGCGAAAATCCTCAATAAAATACTGGCAAACCAAATCCAGCAGCACACAAAAAGCTTATCCACCATGATCCATTGGCCTCATCCCTTGGATGCAAGGCTGGTTCAACATATGCAAATCAATAAACGTAATCCATCACATAAACAGAACCAGTGACAAAAACCACATGATTATCTCAATAGATGTAGAAAAGGCCTTGGATAAAATTCAACACCCATTCATGCTAAAAACTCTCAATAAACTAGGTATTGAAGTAACATATCTCAAAATAATAAGAGCTATTTTTGACAAACCCACAGCCAACATCATGCTGAATGGGCAAAAGCTGGAAGCATTCCTTTGAAAACTGGCACAACACAAGGATGCCTTGTCTCACCTCTCCTATTCAACATAGTATTGGAAGTTCTGGCCAGGGCAATCAGGCAAGATAAATAAATAAATGGCATCCAAATAGGAAGAGAGGAAGTCAAATTGTCTCTGCTTGAGGATGACATGATTGTATATTTAGAAAACACCATCATCTCAGCCCCAAATCTCCTTAAGCTGATAAGCAACTTCAGAAAAGTCTCAGGATACAAAATCAATGTGCAAAGATCACAAGCACAATAATAGACAAAATAGCAAAATCATGAGTGAAGTCCCATTCAAAATTGCTACAAATAGAATAAAATACCTAGGAATCCAACTTACAAGGGATGTGAAGGACCTCTTCAAGGAGAACTACAAATCACTGCTCAAAGAAATAAAAGAGGACACAAACAAATGGAAAAACATTCCATGCTCATGGATAGGAAGAATCAGTATCATGAAAATGGCCACACTGCTCAAAGTAATTTATAGATTCAATGCTATCCTCATCAAGCTACCGCTGACTTTCTTCAAAGAATTAGAAAAAAACTACTTTAAATTTCATATGGCACCAAAAAAGAGCCCGTATAGCCATGACAATCCTAAGCAAAAAGATCAAAGCTGGAGGCATCACGCTACCTGACTTCAAACTACACTACAAGGCTCCAGTAACCAGAACAGCATGGTGCTGGTACCAAAACAGATATATAGACCAATGGAACAGAATCAAGGCCTCATAAATAACCCCACACGTCTACAACCATCTGATCTTTGACAAACCTGACAAAAACAAGCAATGGGAAAAGGGTTCCCTATTTAATAAATGATGTTGAGAAAACTGGCTAGCCATATGCAGAAAACTGTAACTGGATCCATTCCTTACACCTTATACAAAAATTAACTCAAGATAGATTAAAGACTTAAATGTAAGACCTAAAACCATAAAAACCCTAGAAAAATACCTAGGCAATATGATTCAGGACATAGGCATGGGCAAAGACTTCACGACTAAAACACCAAAAGCAATCACGACAAAAGCCAAAATTGACAAATGGGATCTAATTAAACTAAAGTGCTTCTGCACAGCAAAAGAAACCATCATCAGAGTGAACAGGCAATGTACAGAATGGGAGAAAATGTTTGCAATCTATCCATTTGGCAAAAGGCTAATATCTAGAATCTACAAAGAAGGTAAATTGACAAAAACAACCCCATCAAAATGTGGGTGAAGTATATGAACAGACACTTCTCAAAAGAAGACATTTATGCAACTAGTAAACATATGAAAAAAAGCTCATCATCACTGGTCACTAGAGAAATGCAAATCAAAACCACAATGAGATACCATCTCACACCAGTTATAATGGTGATCATTAAAAAGTCAGGAAACAACAGATGCTAGAGAGGATGTGGAGAAATAGGAAAGCTTTTATACTGTTGGTGGGAGTGTAAATTAGTTCAACCATTGTGGAAGACAGCGTGGCGATTCCTCAAGGATCTAGAATCAGAAATACCATTTGACTCAGCAATTCCATTACGCAAAGGATTATAAAGAATTCTACTGGCTGGGCATGGTGGCTCACGCCTGTAATCCCAGCACTTTGGGAGGCCGAGGTGGGCGGATCACCTGAGGTCCGGAGTTCGAGACCAGCCTGACCAATATGGAGAAACCCCGTCTATACTAAAAATACAAAATTAGCCAGGCGTGGTGGCGCATGCCTGTAATCCCAGCTACTCTGGAGGCTGAGGCAGGAGAATGGCTTGAACCCAGGAGGCGGAGGTTGCTGTGAGCCGAGATCGTGCTATTGCACTCCAGCCTGGGCAACAAGAGCGAAACTCTGTCTCAAAAAAAAAAAAAAAAAAGAATTCTACTATAAAGACACATGCACACATATGTTTATTGCAGCACTGTTCACAATAGCAAAGACTTGGAACCAACCCAAATGCCCATCAATGATAGACTGGATAAAGAAAATGTGGCACGTATACACCATAGAATACTATGCAGCCATAAAAAAGGATGAGTTCATGTCCTTTGCAGAGACATGGATCAAGCTGGAAACCATCATTCTCAGCAAACTAACATGAGAACAGAAAACCAACACCACATGTTTTCACTCGTAAGTGGGAGGTGAACAATGAGAACACGTGGATACAGGGAGGAGAACATCAGACACTGGAGCCTGTTGGGGGTTGCAGGGCTGGGGTACGGATAGCTTTAGGAGAAATACCTAATGTAGACGACGAGTTGATGGGTGCAGCAAACCACTATGGCAAGTGTATACCTGTGTAACAAAACTGCACATTCTGCACATCTATCCCAGAACTTAAAGTATAATAATACTAATAATACTATTTTGAAATAATCTATCATGTTAGTTTTTGTTTTGTAATGGAAATTTCTCTACTAATGTAAATAAAGCATTTTGATATGATTTTTAAAAGAGCTCTTGTTACTGTGGCATTGAAGAGAAATTTTAAGTTTTTGTGGGTGTTAAAGAAAAATGAACAGGAGAAGAAACAAGGCTATACCCTTGGATCAACAGATTGACTATAAATAGGAATAGGACAACTTCTCAGGGCCTTTTATGAGGACAACTCCCTTAGGCCTTATAAGTTAGGAACCTCCTTTCTGTAAAGAAAGACCATTGATTAGAAATGCCCCATGTAAGGGAAGAGTCAGTGGTATCACTACCTGGTACAGGAAAAGCTTCATGAAGGCAGAAACAATCAGTGGTATTTCTTTAAAGTATAAGCCCAATACTGAACACATAGTAAGTCCCACATAAATGTTTGTGGATTGGTTAAAAAAAAAACTTAAATTAAAAAATGAGGGAGGCCCCAGGAATGCTTTAAATAGACATGTCTAAAAATAGAAATAAATATTTCCCAAAAAGTATTGACATTGGCCAACTAGGAAGCAGGAGGTAAGACTCTGTGGCATCTGATTACATAGTTAACATAGCATCACTTAGGTTAAATAATTGATTTTTTCTAATGAGTGGAAAAGTCAGATAATTCCATTATCTCTAGGCATATTCTTGTGTATATTATTTTATTTTAAATATTAAGCTTACTTTATATCACCTTGAAAAGTAGAACTTGAGACAATGAATAGCAGTTAAAAGAGGCCTGCTTTCACTTTAATTTTTACAAAGAAATTTCTAACAGCCAGAGATTTTCAAAAATGAAATCAGTATTTTAAGAGTAGAGTGTCTATCTTCAGAGGACTTCAGTGGAGGTCCCCCTGGCATATTTATTGTGAAGTGAATTCCAGCATCAAATGACTTTTAGGGTTCCTGACCTTCAGTGGCTCATTTTCTTTTATTCATATTCATATGCTTTTTGTCTAGATCAATAATGGCAAATACCTGGCTCAAGTATTATCAATCCCTTTCCCATACCCATGCCAGACATCAGTAATCAATTACAGCCACTGTCAGTTAAGTGGAGTTAGCACTGAGGATGAAAATTCTTTGATATTGACCTCAGCCTTAGCTCATACCTGATTCTGTAGCCTCATTGTTTCAAATTCAGGATTTGGTAATGTTGGGTGTTTTTTGCCAAGATGCTACGGTCTCAAATATCTCAAATTAGCATTTAACATGAAGTCTTTAGTCTTGGTCAATTTCCTAATTCAATTATTTTACATTTTGACTTGTTTTTCCTCACCTATTTGGTGGAGTATCTCTCTCTTGCTCTCTTTTTTTTCAGGATTAATCTATAGATTTCCTAGCTAAATTAAAATTCATGTCCAAACCTCTGGAACTCAGGCTTATTCCCTAGACTGTGCATTTTTTAAATTGCAGGAATCAAATACCGTATAGTTGAAAATGTCATTTAGCACAAATACTAAAGGAGTATTTCTGTTCAGCCATGAATCAAGTGCAAAAAATAAATTGACCGGGAAATGCACTCAGCTGATCATCAATAAAAAAGAGAACCACCTATGTAAAAGGCATCTACTCACTAGGCAGGGAATTTCCATAATCCCCAACCTGATCATCTCTGCTGGTCTGCTGATTTCACACACACACGAGCATGTACGCACATGCATGCACGCGTGCGCGCACGCACACACACACACATCTGCTGGTTATCTCCATCTGCATGTTTTACAAGAATTTCCAACCTAACAGGCTCAATATGGAATTCATCATCCTCCCTTCTAAACCATCTCATCTTCCCACATCTTCTATTATTCATTAATTCAACAAGCATTTATAGAGCATTCATATGTGCTAGAAATTATACAAAATGTTGTAAATATAGCAAGGGATGTGTAGATCTATTCCCTGCCCCCATGAAGCTTGTTGCATGTAGAATATACAGAGTAAGCAATTACAGAAGTGATCAATTGATCCCTAAAGCTAGAAACTGAGAGTCATGCACACTTCTGTCTTGCTCTCATCCCTAACATCTAATAAATCACTAAGTTCCTCCAGATTATATCACCTAAATCTCTTTTAAGTCAGAACTTTCCTATGCAGTTCTATTTCCCCTACCAGGGTTTTGTTTCTTACCATCTCTCACCTGCATCGATATAATGGCCACTGGTATTTTCTTCCTCAAATGAATTGCTCACATCTTCATCTCCAAAATGCTGTTTCTAAAATGCAAAGCCCATCTTGAAAACCTCTAATGATTTCTTATTCCTAGAGTATAATTTCCAAATTTTTAACTAAATTTACAAGGCCTTTTAAGATTGTCTAAGATACTTGCTTCTAACCTATCACTTATCTCTTATTTTATGTTCACACAAGAAACATTTTCCGTGTGTATATAATGCATGACACTTTGATTTTGCTCATGGTGTCCTCTCTGCCTAAATGCCTCCCTCTGTTTGACTTCATTAACTCTTAACTCTCTCTAAAACTCAAAATTTATTTCTGAAACTTGTTCTGATTCTCCACGGATGAACCTGGAGTTTCCTCTTTGCACTTCCTGAGCATCTAGAGATGTTTCAATCATTGCACTCACTCCTTTATATTAAAATTGTCTTTTTACAAATTTAACACCCTAACATGACCTTGAAATCCTTCAGAACAGGGACCCTACCTTTATCATCTCTGAGCCCCAAGACCCATTTAAAAAATAAAAAAATAAAAAAAATAAAGTTTAACAGCTAGCAGGCACCCTATAAATATGTTTGATATATGGTAGAATTAATAGGATGTACAAAGAAGACATTCGTATTTTGGAGATAAAGTATTTGTTGGTTGAAAACTACCCATTTTTTAGCACAACATCTGTCTGTCTGTCCTGCTCACATGCATAACAAATCAAGACTTAATGGCTAGGTTTCATGTAATCCAATTCAGAGTAGTTACGCAGGCAGGGCTGTTCTTTGGTTAATACAAACACTGTACCTGACTAAACAATCACCGTTGATCTTTAAAAAAAAATGCACTTTTACATCTGTTCTAATGTACTGTCAAGCTGCAGGCTATCCCACTTTATACTGACTGATTTGATCCATTTCTGTGCACTTATTTAAGTACATTGACTTCATCCTGCTCTGAATCCCTTCACCAACCAGTCCAAGTTGTGCCCCCTCTTGAGTTGGTCTTGAGATCTACTTTGTCACTCAAACATATGCTATTTTGATATCTACATATAAATCTGTCATTCATAGAACAGACCAAGTAAGAAGGTCAGAGATGGTTGTAACAGGGCCAACTTTCTTCCAGGTTTGTGACATGTACTATTTCCAATCTTCCCAGTGACAGAGATGCATCCCTTCTACTTATCTTTGGCTTATCTTTGGCTGTCTTCACACCTAATTATGTCTTTGATGATTAAGCTGCCAGGCCAACAGGCAGCCCTTTTAGAGACAACCTTAAAAATTATGTAGAGAAGTCACTAGACCATCCCTTAGTAATCATCCACCCATAACTCTAAGATGTAAATATCTACTTATTTTCATTTACATAATTTCTCCCAAGTAAACAGCAAAATGGCTGAAGTGATTGGAACCAACTTATTTGCTTAAAGAGAGCAGTAGTCACCATTTCTTTTTTATTTTTTTCTCTTTTGTTTTTATGGTTTTATTTCAATCTTAGGTCTGTGCTCAGAATTTCATGTGGATTATATTATTATGTCTTAAAATGAACACTATGTGTTATACACTATTTACTCATTTTACAAATGAGAGAACTGAGCTTTACTTTAGCAAGGTTAATCTACCTTACTGATGAGACACACAGTACTCATCAGGTGGTAATTCACAGGCTTTGGTAAAGAAAATATTATGCAATTCTAGCCCTGCTGAATGGAGGCAAAAGAAACAGACAATAAATTAATTTATTTTAAAATACACATGCTTCTATTGGCTTAATATCTAGCATGTATAAAAGTTCAAAGGCATAGAATACAGAAAATGTAAACTATGAAAAAATATTCTTTTGAAAAACTACATTTTAAAAAACTATTAAACATTTGGAAAAGAATAGAAATTGTGTAGTTGATGTAAAGTAGTGTATTAAGTAATTCATCCCAGTAGAAATTTTATGAACAATTTGGCAGTCAGCAGAGAATCTTACCAAAATTACCTAATGAATTATGATTTTATTTTAAGCCTATTACTCATCTGTCAACAAAAATTATTTCAATTATATATATATATGTCTGTGTGCCCATTTCTATACTGTATTATATATCAATCTATCTGTCATCTAATGATGTCTTCATGATATTCGTATAGTCATCTGATATGGTTAATATAAAGACAGAAAAGCTTCACATTTGAATCGTCATTGTTTGTAATACTTTTCCAACAGAATTTTACAAATTAAGGTCTTAAGGGCAGTTTCTTTCTGAGTAGTAACAAGTTTATCACACTCTCGCAGTCCAAGTGATGCGATACCCAAGCCAGCAAGGGAAGATGAGGGAAAATGAGATGGATTCTAAAAACAGAGTGAAAGCCAGGTTGAGCAAAGTGTCAGATACTATGGATCGGGATTGAAGACTTCCTATTGTCAGTCTCAGATTTTCAATTGCTGAGACTGGCTTTTCTAAAGTATGTTCTCTATTTGAAGACTTCTCTTCATAGTTAATTTTTTTATATTTAAAATTAACTTTTTAATACACCTAATATTAATACATTGTGTACAGATGCTATGTACCATATTATAAATTCTGAATGAACAAAGATGATATTTTATTCATTTCTTTACTCAGTAATTCATTTAACAAAGCATTTTTTTAAAAATCACCTTCTCTGTGTCAGTCAAAGTTACAGACTTCAAATAACTTGCAATCAAACGGGGGAGACTGAAAAGCAAATTTACCCAACAAAACTTTATCCATTCTCAGATCCGAGCTGCATGATTGGGAGGGCCCATAGGGGAGAATGCTAACTTAGTGTTAAAATGGATTGTGCTCAAGAAAGAGATTTCCAGGCAAGAAGGCTAGTCCTCATAAACACTGGGGAATTAGACTACACTGCACATTTCAAAAAGTTATTTCAATAGAGTTCACAGGGTAGGATATATGTAAGGAAATGCAGTCAGAAACAGAACTGGAAAGAGTCAGTAATAGATCCTGGACAGATATAGATATCATGCTAAGAGTTTGTATTTTAACACAAATGAGGTAAAGCCACTGAAAATACAAGGAAAGAGACAGAATGCAACTTGATTTAGAATGATCTCTCTTACATCAGAGCAGAATGTGTACTGGAAGAGGTTAGACTAGAATTGAGGAGACCACTAAGAGTCTCTGGAAACACTGCAGGAAAAACACAGATATATATATTTTTAAAAGGATTGGTGGAAGGATATTAGAAATTATGTAGCTCACACATGGTGGTAGGAGGTTGAGAGCCAAGGATGTCTGATCTCATGTTTGACACACAGAAATCACCCAGGAAAATGTTTGTAGAATAAGTCAGTAGAAAAGTAAATGAAGCCTAAACACCATCATTATGGTCTCGTTATCATCAATATCATTGACTGAATGCTGATTAGGCACCATGGTCTTATTAAGTTACTTGGACCTATTAACACATTGAATATTCACAATAACCCTAAGCGATGGGTTCTATTATGCTTCCCATTCATAGAATAGGAAACTGAAATTTGCCAAAGATACTTAGTAAGTGGAGTCATAATTCCATACTCAAAAGTGCAACTAGAAAATCCTGTCTTCTATAGCATTCCAGGAGGTTGACATTTATCCACTGTCTTTTGAATGTTCAACAATGCTATGAAAAGCTAGTTTCAATTTTTTAAGGAAATTGCCATCAATTTTTTTACTATGAAATTTGTATTTGTTTTTTATTTTTAATTTCCAACTTTTATTTTAAGTTCAGGAGTACATGTGCAGGATGTGCAAGTTTGTTACATAGGTAAAATTGTGCCATAGTGGTTTGCTACACAGATCATCCCATCACCCAGGTATTAAGCCCAGCATCCATTAACTATTCTTTCTGATCCTCTCCCTCCTCCCACCCTCCACCCTCCAACAGGCCCCAGTGCATGTTGTTCCCCCAACGATATGTCCATGTGTTATCATCATTCAGCTCCCACTTATAAGTGAGAACACGCGGTATTTGGTTTTCTGTTCTTGAGTTAGTTTGCTAAAGATAATGACCTCCAGCTCTATCCACATCCCTTCAAAGGACATGATCTCATTCCTTCTTATGTCTGCATAGTATTTTCATATG
Source organism: Homo sapiens (assembly GCF_000001405.40). Lineage (NCBI taxonomy): Eukaryota > Metazoa > Chordata > Mammalia > Primates > Hominidae > Homo > Homo sapiens. The sequence goes on along the minus strand of NC_000001.11, from coordinate 60,316,768 downwards.
TTCATTAGAGTACTATTCACAATAGCAAAGACATGGAATCAACCTAAATGACCATCAGTAATAGACTGGATAAAGAAAATGTGGTACATATACACCTTCAATATTTTACAAAGTACCCTAGATTTTCCTGTCACAGAAGTTGTCAGGATGGAATGCCATGGAATATGGATGGAACTCTGCCTTGGTACAAGCCTAGAAACTTGGGAAAATATAAGATGCATATGAAAGATAGCCGCGTTTCTTTTCTTATGTGAAAATCAACTCACAGGAAAAAAACTAGGAAAAAAGTAAAATGGTGCTTTGTATTCAGTTGCTCCACTGGCACTAAAAATAACACAAGTGATGCTGCATTTTTCTTTTCTCCATAACGTATGACCTAACTGCATTTGGTTATTGCATAAGACTAAAAATAATTTAATTGAAAATGAACTGTGGCTTTGCTTTTTGCAAATGCAGGCAATTGGTTTTCGAATTAGTTTCTTATGCTTCTACCAGGCCTTGCCCTTGTTTTAATAAAAGGAGAGCCCTCAACCCTTTGGACATCCATGGGACAATAACTGTCACCATGAATGTCAACAAGCCAAACTGTTGAGAGAGTTTAATGTTTTCTGTTGAGCTTTTTCATTTCCCTATTAACTGAAAAACAATTCATCATCATCATCATCATCATCATCATAGAATCATCATCATAACGATTCCTGTACCCTGTATAATGTTTGAGAATCTACAAAGCAGTTCCATTTAGAGTATCTCACTTGATACTTTCAAAAATATATCACGTGAGTAAAACAGATATTTCTTTATTGCTTATGAGAAAACAAAATTCAGTTAAGTGACTTCCCTAGATGGCATATTTGAAGAGCCAAAACATAGAACTAACAATCTAAATACAATATTTTTCTAGTGATTAAGGGCCTACCCAAAGATTAAATAATAAGGAACACTCATAATACACATGCCTTTAAGATAGGTAAGGAAAGTAGCCAAGAGGAATAGGCTTTATTATAATAAAAACATTTTGATTTAAATATTGAGAGATATTTCTGGGTTAAGAAGACAGAATAAAACTAGATCAGGATTTTTATTTTCCAGAATACACAATAAATGCAATAAAAATAACAAACAAAAAATTTGAAAATAGCCAACGAAATCATCATCATCACCAAGAACAGCCAACAACAAGAAGGATAAGAAAGTTAAACTAAGAATCAAAAGGTGGTGGCCAAGGGAAGATACAGAAGATTCAGTACAGCAGGCTGAATGGTGCATCTTTTCTGCTCCAAACATTATAAGCAATACTGAAGATAGAAGTTGAACAGATATAGTTGTGAGAATTCACACTCTACACCCTCCAAATTGGAAAGAAAACCAGATGGATGGAGAACTAGTGAACAGGCAGCCCTGGAAGATGTGAAGTAGCATTTCACTTAGGTATATAGCATGCATTTTTTCCCATTTAAAAAGATTTTGGTAAAATATGTGTAACATAAAATTTACCATCTCAGTCATTGTTAGGTGTGCAGTTCACCAGTACATTCATATTATTGAGCAACCATCACCACCATCCATCTCCAGAACTCTTTTCATCTCACAAAACTGAAACTCTATACACATTAAACAACTCCTTATTCCCCCTCCCCACAAACCTTGAAACAACCATTCTATTCTCTCTATGATTTTGATACTCTAGTTACCTCATTTAAGTGTAATCATACAGAATTTTTTTTTCAATTGCTCATTTCACTAAACATGTCTTCAAGGTTCATCCATGTAGTAGCATATTCCAGAACTGAATTTCCTCGCCTTTTAAGGCCTAGTAATATTCCATTGTGTGGTGTGCGTGTGTGTGTGTGTGTGTGTGTGTGTGTGTGCATGTGTGTGTATTATACAGATACACAAGACATTTTGCTTATCCATTCTTCTGTCAAGAAACACTTGGGTTGCTTCCACATTTTAGCCATTGTGAATGATGCTGATATGAACAGGGACTCAAATATAGGTTTGAGTTCCGACGAACAGAAACTCAAATATATGTTTCAGTTCTGACGAACAGAAACTCAAATATACGTTTGAGTTCTGACATTTAATTCCTCGGTATATATACCCAGAAATAGAATTGCTTAATCATATGGTAATTCTATTTTTAATCTTTTGAAGAAGTGTTAAAAATTTCCACAGTGGCTGTATTGTGTTACATTCCCTCCAAAAGTGCACAAAAGTTCTAATTTCTCCACATTCTCACCAACACTTGTTATTTTCTGTTTTTTGTTTGTTTGTTTGTTTGTTTTTGTTTTTTTACAGTGGGCTATTCTAATGGATACAAGGTGGCATCTTGTGGTTTTGATTTGTACTTACCTAATTATTAGTGATATCAAGCAGTTTAAAATGTGCTATTGGTCATTCATGTATCTTCTTTAGAGAAATATCTATTGAAATCCTTTGTCCATGTTTGAATCAGGTTGTGGTTGTTGTCGTTGAGCTTTAGGAGTTCTGCATTATTAATCCCTTACCAGATATATGATTTGCAAATATTTTCTCACATATCATAGGTTGCTTTTTTACTCTATTAGTAGTGTCCATTGGCTGAGAGTGGTGGCTCATGCCTGTAATCCCAGCACTTTGGGAGACCAAGGCAGGTGGATTACCTGAGTTCAGGAGTTCAAGACCAGCCTGGTCAACATGGTGAAACCCCGTCTCAACTGAAAATACAAAAATTAGCCGGGTGTAGTGGCGGGCACCTGTAATCTCAGCTACTCCAGAGGCTGAGGCAGGAGAATCGCTTGAACCCCACAGGCAGAGGTTGCAGTGAGCTGAGATTGCACCATTGCACTCCAGCCTGGACGACAAGAGTGAAACTCCATCTTAAATAAATAAATAAATAATGTCCATTAATGTGCAAAAGTTTTTAATTTTCATGAAGTCTAATTTGTCTATTTTTTCTTTATTTCCTGTTCTTTGATGGCATATCCAAGAAATCATCATCAAATCCAATGTTGTGAAATTTTTGCTCTATGTTTTCTTCTGAGAGTTTTATAGTTTTAGCTTATATTTAGGTATTTGATGCATTTTGAATTAATTTTTATATATGGTGTTCACTAAAAATCTAACCACTTTTTTTCCATGTGAATCTCTTGTTTCCCAGCACCATTTGTTGAAAAGACAAATCTTCAAACTTTCCCAAGTTTCAAAACTTTCCCCACTGAGTAGTTTTGGCACCCTTCTCAAAAATCAAATCTGTGAGGATTTATTTCTGAGTTTTCTATCCTATTCCATTTTTCTATATGTATTTCTTTATCCCAGTACCACATTGTTTTGATTACTATACACTTGTAGTAAGTTTTAAGATCAGAAAGTGTGATACCTCTAGCTTTGCTCTTTTTTTTTTTTCAATATTACCTTGCCTATTTAGGGTCCATTGAGATTTAATATGAAGTGTTGGATGGATTTTTCTATTTCTGCAAAAAAAAATCACTGGGATTTTTTATAGGGATGGCATTAAATTTGCTTTTGGTAGTATGGACATTTTAACAATATTAAGTCTTAACAACCCATGAACATGGGGTATCCTTGCATTTATTTGTGTTTGCTTCATTTCAGTAATATTTTGTAGTCTTTAATGTACAAGTCTTTCACCTCCTTGGTTAAATTAATTCTCAAGGATTTTTTATGAGATTATAAATGCAGGGGGCACATATACATACTTGTGCATGTGTATACACACACACACAAACACACACACAACACACACACACTCACACTGGGACAATTTAGACATGCTATTTAACGTGATGTGCACATATTTGGGATGTGGGGGGAAAGCAGAGTACCCAGAGAAATCCCACTCAGATTTGGAGAGAATGTGTAAACTCCCACAGACAGTGGTCCCAGTCAGGAACTAATTTTTTTTCCTTCTAATCAATGTTATAATGAGAACCTGCTGTATAATCCTTTTAACATGCTGCTGAATTCACGTTGCTAGTACTCTTTTGAGGATTTTCACATCAACATTCACAAGAATATTAGTCTGTAGTTTTCTTTTCTTATAATGTCTTTACCTGGCATTGATATCAGGGGAATGTTGGCCTCATATAAAGAAATAGAACGTGTTCCCTTCTTTTCAACTTTCTGGAAAAGTTTGAGAATAATCATTATTAGTTCTCTTTTAAGTGTGTGGTGGAATTCACCAGCAAAGAAATCAAGTCCAGGCTTTTCTTTTGTTGGGAAATTTCAATTACTGATTACATTACTGATGGTTATTTTTTAGAGATGAGTCTTGCTCTGTCACCCAGTCTAGAGTGCAGTGGTTACTACAATAACAGCTTACTGCAGCATCAAACTCCTGGGCTCCAGAGATTCTTTTGCATCAGCCTTTTGAGTAGCTGGAACTACAGGTGCTGCCACACCCAGCTATTTTTTATTTTTTAATATTTTAGACATGGGGTTCTCCCTATATTGCTCAGTCTGGTCTCAAACTCCTGGCCTCAAACTGTCCTGCCACCCTAGTCTCCTGAGTATCCGTGATTACAGGCACTTGCCATCACTCCCCTGATTCAATCTTTTTCTGAGTTATAGATTTATTCAGATTTCTATTTCTTTGTAATACAGTCTTGGTAGGTTTTGTGTTTCTAGGAACTTGTCCATTTCATCTAGGTCATCCAATTTGTTGGTGTACAGTTGGTTATAATGCTCTCTTACAATGTGTTTTATTTCTGTAGAATCAGCAATAATGTCCCCACTTTCAGTTATTTAAGCAATTTTAATCTTCCATTTTGTAAGCCAAGTAGCTAAAGATTTGTCCATTTTGCTGATCTTTTCAAAGAACTAACTTTTGGCTTTGTTGATTTTCTCTTTGTTGTTTTGTTTACTTTCTATTTTATTTATCCCTGCTCTCATATTTATTATTTTCTTTCATCTGCTAGCTTTGGGTTCAGTTCGTTTTCTTTTTTCTAGTTCCTTGGATTGTAAAGTTAGGTTGTTTGAGATCTTTCTTTTTTAATGTAAGCATTTATCACAATAAATTTCTTCCCTGGCACTGCTTTTGCTGAGTCCCATAAGCTTTGTTATGTTGTGTTTTCATTTTCATTTATCTCTAAGTGTTTTCTAAATTTCCTTGTGATTTCCTCTTTGATTCATTAGTTATTTAAGAATATGTGCTTTAATTTCCACAGATTTGTTAATTTTCCAGTTTTCCTTCTGCGATTGATTTTTACCATCATCTTGGTGTGGTCAAAGAATATACTTTGCGTGATACCTATCTTCTAAAATCTACTGAGGATTTGTGATCTAACCTATGGTTTGTCATGGAGAATGTTTCATGAGCACTTGAGAAAAATGTATTCTATTTTTACTGGGTAAAGTGTTCTATACATGTCTGTTAGATATATTTTGTTTATTGTGTTATTTAAGTCCTCTATTTCCTTACTTATCTTCTGCCAAGCTTTTTCTATCTCTTATTGAGAAGGGGATATCAAAGTTTCCAATAATCGTTGTAGAACTGCTTATTTCTCCCTTCAATTCTGTTAATTTTTGCTTCAAATATTTTGATGTCTGTTATTAGATGTATAAATGTTTATAATAATCATATCTTTTTGTTGTATTTAACTTTTTGTTAATATATAATTTCATTCTTTGTCTCACTCTTCTTTTTTGTTTACTGTTTATATGAAATATATTTTTCCATACTTCATTTTTAACTTACCTGTGTCTTTCAATCTAAAGTTAGTCTCTTACAGACAGCATAGAGCTGAGTCATTTAAAAATATTTCTACCAATCTCTGTCTTTGATTAGAGAGTTTAATTCATTTCTATTTAAAGTAACTAGTGACAAAGAGAGATTCACTTAGGTTATTTTGCTTTGTTTCTATATGTCTTACAGATTTTCGTTCTTCATTTCTTGCTTTAACTGCCTTTTGTGTTTAGTTCATTTTCTTGTGATGAAAGGTTCAATTCCCTTCTCATTCCCTTGTATGTATATTCTACAACTATTGTTTTTTGTGTTACTATAGGGATTACATTTAACATCCTAAAGTTATAACACTCTAATTTAAATTTATACCAGCATAATTTCAATAATAAAAACTCTGCTTTTTTCAGTTCCATTCCCAACCCTTTCCGTTATCAATATCATAAAATTACATCTTTACAGGCTTTGTGTCCAAAAACATAAAGAATTTTTATTGTACTAGTTTCTTAAATGATTTAGAAAACAAATATGGTGTTATAAACTACAGTTACAATAATACTAGCTTTGTAATTGCCTGTGCATTTACCTTTACTGAAACATTTATTTTTTCATATGATTTTGAGTTACAGTCATCTTTTCATTTCAACCTGCAGGACTTCCTTCAACATTTCTTGCAAAGCTGATCTAATGGTAACAGACTTCCTCAGCTTTTATTTGTCTTGGAATGTCTTAAGTTTTCTCTCAATTTTTAAGAAGGTTTAAATATAGAATCCTGGTTGAAAGTTTTATTTTTTTTTTAGCACTGTAGATGTCAGTCCACTGTCTTCTGGCCTCCAAAGCTTCTGATGAGAAATCTATGGATAACATCATTGAAAGTCCTTCATATGAGACAAGTCACTTCTCTGTCATTGCTTTTGAGATTCTTGGTGTCTCAGATGAGTATAGCAGGAGGGGAAAAAAAGATTCTCAATGTGGATCTCTTTGAATTTATCCTGCTTTGAGTCCATTGAGTTTCTTAGATATTTATATTCATATCTTTCATCAAATTTGAGCAGTTTTCAGCCATTATTTCTTCAGATAATCTCTGTCACTTTCTTTTTCTCTTCTCCTTCTAGGATCCCCAAAATGCGTGTGTTGGTCCACTTGATAGTGCCCCACAGGTCCCTTAGGCTCTGTTAAATTTTCTTCAATATTTTTTTTCCTGTTTTTCAAATTTGATAATTTCGGTTTCTTTCAAATTGTTAATTTCAAATGGTCAAGTTTTTTAATTCTTCTGCCTGCTCTAATCTTCCTTTAAATATCTCTAGTAAAACTTTCATCTTAGTTATTATACTTTTAAGCTCTAAAATTTATTTTTAGGGTTTTTAAGATTTTCTATCTCTTTATGGACATTTCCATTTTCTTCATACATTGTTTGCTTGACTTCCTCCACATTTTTCTTTAATTCTTTAAGCACCTTTATGACAGTTGTTTTAAAGTCTTTGTTTAGCTAGGTCCACCTAACTAGTCTTTCTCTGGGACAATGTCTATTGGTTTAGTTTTCTCTCTGAATGAGCTATTATTTCCTGTTTCTTTGTATGTCTTATAATTTTTGGTTGAAAACTGGGCATTTTGAATCTATGAAGTAATTTTGGAAATCAGATTCTCCCTTTTCCTCAGAGTTTGCTCGTTTTTGTTTTGCTTTTTAAAAAATAATGTTACAGGCCATCTCTATTCTGAAGATAAGCCTGAGGTATAAACTTAAGATCTTCAAAGGTATTTTCTGAGCCTATACTTTTCCCTGGGCATGTATGGTGCTTTTCTAATTTCTCCTGTATATGCAGTTTATTTTTGAATGCCCTAGTCTTCAACATCTGTCTCCCAAGAGGGGGGAAAAGAGCAAGATAATGGTGGAGGAAAAGCATCAGCCCTTTAAATCTCATGGAAGTTACTTCAGCTATAAAGGGTGAGGTTTGCAACAATATGGGGCAGGAAGGCAATAATGGCTACCTGCTTTTGTGTCTGCTCCCCCATGAAGCAGCAATCAGTAATCAGAACATAGAATGCCTGTTTTTTGAGGACAGGATTCTTTTTGCCCACCTTGGCTCCCACAACCTGCATGCAAGATGCGCCTGGAATACATGCACTGCTGATTGCCACAGGGATGGGGAATGGTAAATGGGTAGGTGCTGCTGAGCTAAGAGGTAAAATTAACTGAAATTAACCACCATTTACTATTCAAGGCTTTCCCTAGAAGTTGAAAGACTTCAATAGATTCCAGAGTTCCAAAATAGTTACATCAGACAGATTTTGTCAGTGCAATTGTTCTCTAGTTGGGGGTAGAAATTCCTGGTGATTCCTACTCTGCCATCTTCCTAGAATCTTTCTATAGCATAAATCCATTAATTTGTTAATGATTGTTTGGATTGTTTACAATTTATAGCTAACACGGATGAATGCTATGAATATTCTTATGAACAACTTCTTGACAGAATATATTTTCATTTACCTTGTTTAAATATCTAGAGTGTGGTTTTTGAGTAAAGTCATGTATGTTTAACTCCAAAATAAACTGCAAATAAAAGTTCTGGAAAGTAATTATACACACTATCATAATGTACAAAAGATCTTGCTCAAAAAATTGTTGATGTTATGTTTTCATTTCTGTTTATGAGAAACATTTTGTTTTCTCTTGTGATTTTTTTAATCCATGGGTTATTTTAATTTGCAAGCATTTTGAAGGTTTAAAGATACCTTGTTATTTATTTATAATTTAATACTGGTGTATAGGAAACTTTCCCTTTGTTTCAATCTCCTAAAATTTATTGAGACTAATTTTATGGCCAAGCCTATGCTATTTCTGGGTGAACATAATATGTACACTTAAAAAGAATATGTATTCTTCAGTTTTAGAGTGTAGTCTTCTAAACATGTCAATAAGATGAAATTGGTGGATAATGCTGTTTAGATCTTCTAACAGCTGAGTCTTTGATCCAATTTTTTCCCCATTTTTTTCTATAAATTACTGAGAAAAGGGTTTTAAAATCACGAACTATACTTGTAGATTTTCTATTATTCTTTTTCTGTCTGTCAGTTTCTGTTTCATGTAATTTGAAGCACTGTTATTAGATGAATACATACTTAGAATGGTTATATCTTTGTGATACATTATTCCTTTTATCAATATGAATGTCTTTTATTTTCTGAGACTACTTTTCCTCTTGCCAGTTGACTTAGTCTGGTCATTAATATAACCACACTGGCTTCCTTGCACATAATTTTGCATTGTTCTTTATCCTTTAGTTTTCAACCACTAAATCTTTAGAGCAGCATATAATTTAGTCTTATTTTTTATGCAGTATGGCAATCTGTTCTTTTAGTTGAAATGTTTCGTCCATTTACATTTAATAAAATTATTTAGATGCTTGGGTTTGAGTCTATGCTTCAGAATTTTTGTTCATTTGTTTTTGGTTATTCTATCTATTATGTTAATCTGTTTTTAATTTCCTTTTGTATTGATGAGTTATACTGTTTTAATATTTCATTTCATCTTTTCTTCTTGCCTTTTAATATACTTCTTTGTGTATGTGACTTTTAGTTATTGCTATAGAGATTACATTATCCTTGTATATATTCAAATAATATTATATGACTTTAAAATTAGTTTAAAACCTATAATAATATAAATGTTTTTTCCAATTGTCTTATCATTTGCGATTTTATCATATATTTCACTTCCACATATACTATAAGCCACACTATGTATTATTATTATTATATTAAATACATTCTCTTTTATAGAATTTAAAATATACTGCTCTACCTTCCTTCCTGAAATTTGGAGTATTTATATGATATTATTTCTCCTCATCATGATAAACATCTTCTAGCATTTCCTCTAGTGCAGGTCCGTAAGAGACAAATTCTTTCAAATTTTCCTTGTCTCAAAATGACTTTATTGTTGCCTTTATTTTTGAAAAATATTTTTACCAAATATGTGTAGTTCCCTTTCTTTCTCCTTTTTTTGCTTTCTACTTGTGTTAAGCATTGGAATGAAGTATTTTAAAATAAGTCATATTGACTTTGGTGTTGGAAGGAAGATAAAAATCATTGGATTTCTAATGTAAGGTTTATAGAGAAGATGGGGTTTAAACTGTATTTAAAAACAACAACAACTAGAAACTAGTGGCAACAGAATACATTGGAGAAGCTTGTTTCTTCTCTTAGTTCCATTCCTAAGCTGTGGCTCTCTACCCCTTATTTCCCTCTTTCTAAGGGAGGAGGAGAAATAGATCTGACTGGGAAGACATCATATCAGGAGATACATCAGGTAAGAGACTGGTGTTTATTGAGTCATATCGAAGTCGCTGCATTGAAAAAGACAGTATAAATCCTATTTCACTCTCTTCTGAACACTCTGACATCTTGCATTCTTACCAAGATTTTGTTTCTAGGTCAAGACACAATTGTTTACCTCCACAAGAGTAGCTACTGTAGGATAAGTATACTTAGTCTTTGCAGAATAAATTCTCTCCAAAGATTCAATGTCTGGACTTGAGGTAAGATGCTAAGAGTTGCTCTTTCTGGCATCAGGTAATTCCTCAGTTCTCCAATTCAGTCCTAGTAGGGATGCATGGAGAGAAAATGTTACCAAGGTCTATTAATAAAGACTGTTGTTCACTATTTACCATATATTATATTTTTATTACTTGTTGGAATCTGGTTAGGGGGAAAGGGAATGGGATAAGATGTTGCTGTTCCAAAAAAGAACTCCAAAACCAGTGAAAAAATAGAGGAGGAGAAGGAAGAACCCACATATTATATTCGCTATATAGCAACACTAAAGTATGAGGGACAGGTAGAAAGGTAAGAAAGATTTCAGTGATCAGGCATGGTGGACCATGCCTATAATCCTAGCACTTTGGGAGGCCAAGGCAGGAGGAATCCTTGAGCCTAGGAGTTTGAGACCAGCCTGAGCAACAAAGGAAGGCCTCATCTCTACAAAAAATAAACAAAATAAGCTGGGTATGGTGGCATGCACCTGTAGTCCTACTCAGGAGACTGAGGTAGGAGAATCACTTGAGCCCAGGAGGCTGAGGCTGCAGTGAGCCAAAATCACACCACTGTACTCCAGTCTGGGTGATAGAGTAAGACCCTGCCTCAAGAGAAAAAAAAAAAGAGAGAGAGGGAGAGATTCTATATTTATATAACACATACACACATATATATGTATACATATGCATATGTGTGTATGTATATATGTATGTGTGTGTATTATGTATATGTGTGTGTGTGTGTGTGTGTGTGTGTGTGTGTAGAGAGAGAGAGCCTCTATAAAGTGCTTGGCCCAGTTCCTGAAATGTAGTGTTCAATAAAATGTGTCTTAAACAAAGATAAAGACTTACCATTTATTCCTTCATCATGTTGAACTTTTTGAGTAGAGGAAGAAATAAGGGTAAAGAGGTGATATGAAATATTAGATCCAAGGAGGTAAAAGGTCTTAAATATACCTAATGTTAGCCTACCATATTAAATTTGAGAAGTGTAAGGCAGACCAGGGGGAAAAAGACTCCCATAAGATTATATGACAAGCTACAGGCAGAGCTGGTTAGAGGACAAGAGTATATCTCATATTGGGAGCAGAAAATGTAAATGTTAGGAAAATTTTTATGTTTAATACAGTTTATGTTATCAGTGACCAACCAAATGCTTGACATATATTCAGTGTTAAATAAATTATTGTAAAAATAAAAAAAGATGCCAGGCATTGTGGCTCATGCCTATAATCTCAACACTTTGGGAGGCCATGGTAGGTGGGTCACTTGAGCCCAGGATTTTGAGAACAGCTTGGGCAACATGGTGAAACCCTGTCTCTACAAAAAATACATACACACACACACACACACACACACACACACACACACACACACACACACACACACACAAATCAGCTGGGCTTGGTGGTGTGTGCCTATAATCCCAGCTAGTCAGGAGGCTGAGGAAGGAGGATCACTTGAGCCCAGGAGATTGTTGAGGCTGCAGTGAGTCGGGATTGCACCACTGCACTCCAACCTGGGCAACAGAGTGAGACTTTGTCTCAAAAAAATAAAAATAAAAAAAGAATAGAAAAAAAGTCAAGTATTTAGAATATTGATAGGATATAAAATAGATACAAAAACTAGAGACAGCATTGTCCGCCCAGAAATAACTAAAGTCCCTTGTCTCCTGAGGAGCTTCACCTTTGGCTTGATACCTTAAGTTCTTAATATACTGTCCTGGGTGGGGAAAGGGAGAGAAGGGCTTAATTTGAACTTTTTGAAATTGAGAAGGATGTTTCATTCCAGCAACTATAACTTAGGAATCCTTCAAGCTGGCCACTCAGAACCAACAGACTACAGAAAAATTCATTTTAAAAAGAGTCAAGTGAGGTTTATGAATAACAGAGGGTGTTGAGGAAAATAGGGCTGCAAGAAATTACGGACATTCCTCTGCTCTCCCAAACCTGTCTTTAGAGGGCCTCATGTTTAATCTATAACCCAGTTTAGATTCTAAAGGTAATGAAAGCTGGACCCAAGTAAAAGTGTATCTGTTTAGAATAATTCAACCTTGAGAGAACCAAATAGGAACTTAGTCCCAAACATCCAAGAATTATTTGGCATCAAGTAGGTGCCAGTGGCAATGTAGTAGGAGATCTATTGCAAAAGTACATGATAGAAAGTGGCATTTACAGAACAGTAGAGTAAGGCTCCAAAAATATGCTTCTTCAAATAAGCAATGTCAATACTGGCAAAAATGTCAGAAACAAAGTTTTCTGCACTCTGGAAATTAATAAAAGGTTTGTAACAACCTGAGGAGGGTTATTTCAAGAAAATTGATATGTCTTAATAAGAACAGTAAGCCTATTGGTGTTTTTACTTACCCTATTCCCATCTCTCTTTCCTCAACCTTGAAAACCAACAGACTTTCAACTACAGTAGCTGTGAAAAGCAGCAGTCCAGCAGACTTTGGAAAGTTCAGCATTTTCTTAAAAGCTCCATCTCCAGCAAATCGTCACTCTTTAACCTATCAGAAAATACCTGAAGAGCTATATTTAACTCAGGTCTTGATCTGTCTTAACATCCCTGTATTCAGTACATTTGTCAAAAATAATCATTGGCAATTGGTTAACATTGCAGCTTTTTGAGGTGGCAGTATCAGCTGTAGCTAAAAGAGGCTGGCCAAAAGAACTCAGAGAAATTAGAGAATGAGATGTCCCTAGGGTGCTCTGAAAAGGTCTGACATATTCCCGGGAATCTAGAAAGACACATGCATAAGCAGAGCTGTGTGCATGCACAGGAAAAGCCATAGAAGACTCCACTTTCTCACTTCTGGCTTACCTTGAAGCTTTGCACAGCAGAAGGTGAAGATTAAGACAATTATCAATTGCTTACCAGAGCCTTGAAGGCATGTCCCAACACAAACACACACACAGCCTCTCAACAAAAGTTAATTGGTTCCAAATAGTTAGGGATCTTGGTTCAATCATTAGCTGACCACTAAGCTAATTAAACACACATGACAAAGAATACAAACTTTACAAAATTAGACCAGGAAAGTTACCAAACAAACAGCAGGAGCAACAACAACAAAAACAGCCCTAAGGAGGAGAAAATCTGCTTTATCTACTTACCAAATTGTATTACTTAGCATGCCCAGTTTCAACACAAAAATCATGCAACATGCAAAAAAACAAGAAAATGTGGCCAATACACAGGGGTAAAAACAAAATCAAACCCAAAAACTGTCAATGGAAACTATTTCTGAGAAAGCCCAGATGCTGAACTTAATCGATAAAGATTTAAGTCAGCTACTATTAACATGTTTAAAGAAAAAGGAAATCATGTCTAATGCATTAAAGAAAAGTATGAGAACCATGTGTCATCACATATAAATATCAATTAAGACATAGAAATTATTTACAAAAAAGGAGAAGAAAAAAATTCTGGAGTTGAAAAGTAAAATAATTTAAATAAAATGTGTGTTAGTGGGGCTCAAGTGCAGGTTTGAGCTGACAGAGGAAAGAATCAGTGAATTTCAGTAAAACCAACCTCCAAATATTAAAAAGAAATTTCAAAAATTTTGAGATTTATCCAGTCAGAGGAACAGAAAGAAAAATAAATGAAAAAAATGAGCAGAGCTTCAGAGACTTGTGGGACACCACCAAGCATATCAACAAACATATAATGAGAGGCTCCGAAGAATAGAAAGAGGCAGAAATAATATTTTTTAAAATAATGGCCATAAACTTCCTAAATTTGATGAAAAACAATCTGTCCATCCAAGAAAATCAATTAACTCCAAGTAGGATAAACAAAGAGATGGATACCTCAGTGATGGATGGATAGTCAAACTGCTGAGAAATAAAGATAGAGAGAGTCTTGGAAGCAGCAAGACAAAAGTAATTTATTTATTACAAACAAGGGATCTTCAATAATATTAAAAACTTACTTCTTATCAGAAACTAGGAAGGACAGAAAGCAATGGGAAGACATATTTGATGTGCTTTGTCAACCAAGAACCCTATATTCAGTAAAACTAACCTCCAAATATAAAGAAAAATTAAGCCATTTCCAGATAAACAAAAACTGAGAGAACTCATCACTAGTACATCTGCCCTACAAAAAATACTAAAATAAAAATAAAAATAAACAATATCCTTTGGAATAAAATAAAAGAATACTAGATGGTAATTTGAATCCACATAAAGACAGAAAGAACACCAGGTTAAGATAACTACATAGCTAAATACAAAACACAGTATAAACTTATTTTTTACTTATAACCCTTTTATTATCAAGTTTAAAAGATACACAGATAAAGCAATAATAATAAAACTGTGTTGATAGGCATATAAAGTATAAAGATGTAATCTGTATGACAATAAAAGCACAAAGGAAGTGGTTAATGGAGCTACATTGAAACAAAGTTTTTTGTAGTACACTGAAATTAAGCTGGTGTTAACATGAAGTAGATTATTTTAAGTTAAGATGTTAGATGGTGTACTAGAAAATATATGTTTAACATAAAAGAAAAGAGTAATGGAGAAATAGAGAAACAAAAAAGTAAGATGTATAGAAAACAAACAGTAAAATGTCAAATGTCTTACCTTAGCAGTAGTTATATTAAAAGTAATTGGATTAAAGCATTTCAATCAAAAGGTAGAGACTGATAGAATGAAACTCAAAAACCTAATGCTATCATACTTTTTAGATTCAAAGTCACAATTTAAAATCTAAAGAGACTCACTTTAGTTTCAAAGACACAAATAGCTGAAAGTAAAAGGATGGAAAATTATATATATACCTTGCACATAGCAACCAAAAGAGAAATTGAGTGTTATACTAATATCAGACAAAATAAACTCTAAGAAAAAATGTTATTAGAGTATTAAAAAGACCTTATAATGATAAAAGACTCAATCTATTAGGAAGATATAACTATTATATATATATATATGCATCTAGCAACAAAGCCCCAAAATACATTAAACAAAATCCAAAAAAATTGAAGGGAGAAGTAGACAATTCAACAATGGAAGTTGAAGACTTAAATACTTCACTTTCAGTAATGGATACAACAATTAGGCAAAAGATTAATAAGGAAAAATAAAACTTGTACAAAAGTATAAATCAACTAGACCTAACAGAAATCTGTAGTTCACTTCAACCAACAACAGCAAAATGCATGTTCTTTTTACATGCACATGGAATATTCAGGACCTTTCATGACACATACACACACACACACACACACACACACACACACACACACAAAGTAGGAATAAAAAGCAACATCTTCAGCTTGATAAAGTCTACCAAACTCCCACACTTAACATTACACTTAATGGCAAAAGGAATGAAAAATGTCCCTCTAAGCTTAGAAATAAAATAAAGATGTCCACTTCTATTCAACATTGCACTGGACCTTCTAGCCAGGGAAATTTGGAAAGAAAAAGAAATAAATGCATCCCAATTGGAAAGGAAAAAGTAAAAATGTTTTTGCAGTTCTTTTATATAGACAATCCTAAGGAATCTACAATACAACTGTTAGAAGTAATAAATGAGTTCAGCAAGGCTGCAAGATACAAGATCAATATCCAAAAATCCACTGTATTTCTAAACACTGGTGATGAACAATCTGAAAATGAAATTTAGGAATATTTTATTTATGATGGCATCAGAAAGACAAAATGCACAGGAACAAATTTAACTAAAGAAGTGTAAGATAAGTACTATAAAACATTACTGAAAGAAATTTTAAAACTCTAAATAAATGGAAAGATATCTCATGTTCATGGATCAGAAGGCTTAATTGATGTACACACTCAGCACAGTCCCTATTAAAGTCTCATCTCCCTTTTCTGAAGGCATTGACAAGCTAGAACTAAAACTTTTACAGAAATCCAAAAGACCCAGAATATCTAAACAAATCTTGAAAAATTGAATTAGGGGAATTCACATTACCTGATTTCAAAACTGACTGCAAACCTACAGTGATCAAGATCATGTAGTACTGAAGAATAAACATATAGATAAATGGAAAAGAATCGAGAATCCAGAAATAAACCCAGATATTGTAAACTTCCATTTATATAAAATGTTCATAATAGGGAAATTCATAGAGACAGAAAGTAGATTGAGAAAGTAGATTAAGGACTGTGGATGAGAAAGGAGTTTCAGGCAGTGACTGCTAATGGGTACAGAGTTTCTTCTGAGGGGGACAAAAATGCTATAAAATTAAATAGTAATGATGGTTACACAACCCTGTTAATATACTAAATAATACTGGAGTTCATACTTGGAATGGCTGAATTTTGTGCTATGTAAATTATATCTCAATAAAGCTATTATTTAAAAGATAAGTAGAATAATCATCTCTTTAGGTTATAAATATTTTTAAAGAAGCTGTATATGCAATATAGGATAGTTTCATATAAAATGTAATATTTCTCTAAATTTAATATAGAAATCACAATACACTTTATTGAAAAAAGGTTTTATTTTCTTCTTCCATATTCCTCACTCTTTTTTCATCCCGTCAGCGAGTGTCCATTGTACTCTACTGTACAAGCCATCTCTACTCATTTCTACCATCTTACTTTCGGTCCCTTTCCTTTTTCATGTGTATCTACTTACTTTTATAAAAAAAAAAAAAGGCAAGGAAATAGCTTTTCTTTTTTTTTAAGTCTTAGTTTGCTTTTTCCCAAACTTTCCTCCAAGAACATTCTCTGAAGTGACTCATTTGTCAGGAATAACGGCTCACCTGCTAGAATGAGAGGAGGCTGAGAGCAAGGGGAATGATGGAAAACGCATTCACAGTTTATCAAGGTGAAAGCATCGACACTTCATGTTCCTTTTAGAAAGATAGAGAATTAAAAAAGGAAAGAAAGCACTCTCATTGACATTCACATGCCCGTTTTTGAATTATGAAAGTGGAGACAGAGATAGAGATGTGGGTGGGAAAGAGTCTCCTACAACACTGAGGTTGAAAGGATCTCGGAATTATTTCCTTCAACTCCTCACTTAAAAATGAAGAAACCGAGGACTAAATGACTTTCCATAGCGACTGGGCAAGTTACTGAGCTCTTCCGGTTTCTTTTTCAGTGTCTCTTCCACTTTGTCCTTACAGCAAAGATTCCAACTGTCCCCAGTCTTTGTTCTTTTCCCTTTACATTTGGAAAAAGGATACTCTGGATTTTACAGAATACATGACCTATCACTGCAGATATTCCAGTTCTCAGTAGGGATGGCTGGGAAATATGCAATTTATGCATCTCTTCCCTGAGGGAAATCAGGGGCCTTCCAATGCTTTTGTTTTAGTTATCTTCAACTGTGATGAGGAAGAAAACTTCCTAGGAAATGACAAATACATAGTTAGCAAAAACTGCATTTTGGTACAATTTTATGGTGCAGAGGATCCCCAACAAAACTCTCCAAACTGTTGCATGAAAAAAGGAAAAGAAAAAAACACCTCTATCTTACATAACTCAACTGTATTTTGGGGTCTTTTGTAGGAACTTAACCTGTACTTAACAAGTAAAAACATGAAAGAGGATTTCTTTCTTCATGGAAGAAGTGCAATGGTTCACACCTGTAATGCCAGTGCTTTGGGAGGCTGAGGTGGGAGGACCTTTTGGGGCCAGGACTTTGAGATCAGCCTGGGCAACACAGCAAGAGCCCATCTCTACAAATATTTTCAAAATTAGTTGGGCATGGTAGCACATGCCTGTAGTCCCAGATACTCAGGGGGCTGAGGGGATTGCCTGAACCCAGGAGTTTGAGGTTATAGTGAGCTATGACCATGCCACTGCACTCCAGCCTGGGCAACAGAGGGAGACCTCATCTCTACAAAGAATAATTTTAAAGAAAAATGTCCGTGGGAACAAGGAATGCACATTACCTGTCTGTCTTAGTCTTTTCTGCTGCTATAACGAAAATACCATAAACTGGGCGGTTTATAAACAATAAACATTTGTTTCTCACAGTTCTGGAGGATGAGAAGTCTAAGACATAAGTGCTGGTAGATTCAGTGTCTGGTGAGGGCTTTTTCCTCACAGAGAGCAACTTCTTCATGTCCTCACATGTTGGAAGTGGTAATGCAGTTCTCTGCGGTTTCTTTTACAAGGGCATTAATTTCATTCATGAAGGCAGATCTCTTATGACCTGTTTTCCTCCCAAAGGCCTCACCTTCAAATACCATCACCTTGGTGGTTAGAATTCAACCTATGAATTTTAGGGGGACACATTCAGACCATAGCACCATCTTTGCACTCCCAGTGTTTAGCAGAGTGTCTGCTGCATGACATGCATTCAATAAAGGGCTGCTCAATAAAGACAAAAGTGAAATAGGGAACAAATAAGAAAGCTAGAAAAGGGAAAATGTCTGTGGTAGGCAAAATAACAAAATTACTAGTTTGTGAAAACTAAAACTGCTTTTAGGGGAACATTTCCACAGGACCTTTTATCTTTCTTTGCTAATTCTCACAATTTAGAGTCCACAGGGTTAGCTAGACTGAGATGCAGAGGCATTTTGTTATTGAGGCTTCCCCTAGAGGTTCCAGATTGCTTGCTTGGCCCTGATTCTGGATTTGAATCTTATCTTTTAATGAAAGGATACATTTGTAGTTAGTTTTTAAGAGTACTGTGGTCGGCATTATTCCAAACCACCTGAATCTCAGGAAAAGATCCATCTACTCCCCACAAAACTCATGATTTCCTTCAGCCTGTGACCAAAGTTGCATCTGAATATAGATAAATCGGACAGCCAGGCCAGGTCAATGAACTGATGAGTGAAGCCAGTAATACCTTCAGTCCTTTCAAGGCTCCCCAAAGGGGGCTGATAAAGACGTTTGAATGCCCTCCATCATCTCAATAGAAGACATGTAATATACGAGAGACAGACCAGAGCAGAGTGTTTTACTCTGACCCTGAAGAGATCTATTTTCACTCTAGACAGCACTTTCTGTATTAATACTCAGCCAGTGAAAGGCAGTGCTTTGAAGAAAATAAAACTAGTAAGAAAATAATTATTTTAAAGAAGGCAACGATCAAAACTTAATGCCCCAGAAGTTGTGCTATGGAAAGTAGGACTTTAAGGGACATATCAATTTATCTTGCACATCCTTGGCCACTAATGGATTGTTCCCTGGAGCACATTTCCAATTATTTTAACCAGGCTACTTTTAAATGACTCAGGTGGAGAGGATTTTTACAGCTTCCATTGGGGGAGAGTATTCTGCGGTCTGATACACATCACTGTTTCGAACTGGTTGGTTTGGTAGGAAAATTTCCTTTTTAAATTTATTTGTTTTGTTATTTTCCACTGAGAACCTCCTATATTGGGAAGAATTGGGTTACCACATGCTGGTTTCGTATCCTTTTCATTTCACTGTGAATCTCTGTTCTCATGAAGTTTCAATCACACTTCTGGTTATCACAGCCTGCTGCATCAATTCTATCCAGTCTCAAGATCCTTGGGTGAAACCCCCTGGGGAGGGCCTCACAGTTGCCATCAGGAATGATTTCGACCAACACCTGCAGGCATCCTTCTGGCTGATCCATTCAGTTGCCCCCTCCTCCTTCTCTAAGGGCTGTTCCCTTCAGACATTCCCCCCGCCCATACACAGAAACTAGTCATTCTCCTCAAAGTGTTTGTGTGACAGTGTTCTTGAACTTTCAAAGACAATGAAAATATTGGGAATTATGAAACACTTTGTAATAACATTTAATAAAATACTGCTACTCAGATGTCTGTCCTATAGTATTTACTTATTCTCTCCAATACAGATATCATGGGCAAGAATCATGTCTTCTACTTTCTTGTATCTCAAGTTTTGTATCTCTCAGAGCTTGTGTGCCTGCATGTAGCAGGCACTTAAGATGTAGTTTTTAAAAATGTAACTGAAAGAATGTGATTATCTGGATGTTTTAAACATTGCTGTGAGACTCAGGAGATATATATGTATATATATATATATATAATATAAATATATATATATATATAAAATATATATTTGAACCGTGTCACCTTAATAAAATAGCTAGTATGTTGCTGTCTTCATAACTAGTTAATATATCTTCTAATTAAATTTGCATTTATACCACAGTCTCTCTCCAGTGAGTTGTCATAGTATAATTAAAAAATGAATGGACCTTGGATTCAAACAGTCTTTGGTTTGTTATCTACTTAAGGTTGCGTGGATCATCTAACCTCTCTGAGCTTCTGTTTCCTTGTCTTCAAAATTAGCTTAGCAATAATTATCCCATGACCTTGTCTTGGAGATTAAATGGGATCACTTATTCGAAGGTACTTAGTCTGGTGCCTGGCGTGTCGTTTTTAAGTTGAATCAATTAAGATGCTTTAGTACATGGCACAGAAAGTCAAACTAAAAGTGGATTAAATGGTAAGGAAAATTTATCTCGTATTGTAAGAAGTGTGCAGGAGGGCAGCTTCAAGGCTGGTAAATTTAATGGCTCAACAGTGCTCATGAATGTGCTTTGTACCTTTCTACTCCACCATCCTTCATGTGATAGCAATGTGTCTGCTCAGAATTACAGAATGGCTGCCACATATGTGCTTGCAGAGACAACAAATAGGAGAGTCATTTCATCTCATGTATCTCTTCTTTATAAGAGAATAATTTTTTTTCCAAAGCCATCAGCATATATTTTCTTCATATCCCGTTGGTCAATATTGGGTTATATGTCATGTCCCAGCAGCAAGAAATCCTGGAAAAAGAAGTTTCTGTCATTTTCAACCTTTCTGAAGGAAGTAGAATCTGCCAGGCAGGAAAAAACTGCAGAAAGCCTAGTGAGGGGCAAGGCTAGTGAGTTGTCAACCTCTTACCCTCTCCAGGTCAATGACATGTCCTATTTGGTAGGCATACAGTAGCTTGATAGTTGCTTTAATGTTTACCAATTTTATTCTATACCTGGGGAAATGAAGCAGATGATTATATAGAAACACATAGTCAACCTGAATTGTAAACTAATCCCAACTCTGTAATGCAGAAAAGAACTCTGGAGCTATACATTTGAATTATTTATGTGCCTACACATCTTCTTACCAGCTATGTAACACTGGGAGCAAGTCCTTTAATCTCCCTGATCCTCTGTTTCCCAATCTACATGAATAATTAAATAAAGCCCTTGTCTCATAAGCTTAGGATGAGCTTTAAAGAAGATAATATTCACATTGGCATCAAAATTGTAACTGACATATTGTAGGCTTGCCCTCACCATGGATTCAAACCAAATCTAAGTGGTCTGTTTAAAGGCATTTGCCTTTTCTCCTATCATAGCTATTCTGACAATCAAAATACATCATAGAAAGATGACTACTGAGACTGAGGATCCAAATCCTGTTTCTAGCTCCACTGTTTGTTTGTTTGTTTTCTGTGATCTTAGCAGGTAGATTTTCTTGTCTGCCTGTTTCATAGGGTTGTCACAAGAAATTACATGGGCGAGTCACTGTGCCTTCTCATGTAGTAGGCACTTGACTAGTGAACAGATGACATCTTTGAAGTTTTTATTTTCTTTTAGTAAGAAAGATGGAAAGATACCAGGTGCTGGTGATGTAGAAAAATGAGAATGCTCATACACTGCTGCTGGGAATGTAAAACTGTACAAGTTTGGAAAATAATCTGAGTTTCTAAAAAAAAACCATATATACCATATTATTCAGCCTTTCTATTCCTAGATGTTTATTCAAGAGAAAAGGAAATACGTATCAACACAAAGACTTGCATGCAGTATTCATAGAAGCTTTATTTTTAATTGCCCCAAACTGAAAACAACTCAAATACCCATCAACAGGCACAAGGATAAACAAATTATAATATATATCTACACAATGAAATGCTACTCTGCAATATAAAAAGAGACTATTAATCCATGCAACAACATGTATAAATCTCAAAATAATTATGCTGAAAGGATTCAGTCAAAGAAAGAACACATAATATACGATTCCATTTATATAAGCAAGAAGAAGATGTAAACTAATTGCTAGTGACAGAAAGCAGATCAGGGGTTACTGGAGGTGGGGGTCAGGGAAGGACAGGATGGAAAGATTGCCAAGGGACATGATGAAACTTTAGGAGGTGGCAGGTATATTCACTCTCTTGATTGCTGTGATGGTTTCACAGTTGTATACATACATCAATAAATATATGTTGTATACTTTAAAATGGGCAGTTTATTGCATGTAAATTATACAGCAAAAGGTGTTTTTTCTTAAAAGATGTTAAAAGTCATAACCCAGTAGGTGCAATCTTCTGAAGCATAGAGACACAATCAAATGATTAAGTTAAGTGGACCAGGAGCAATTACCATGTAACTGCATTTATAGGTCAATGACTAACAAAAGTCTAATGAGTTATTTTAACCTACATGAGAACTTTAAAGGAAAAGTGGCTTTGAAGATAGGATGTGGGTCTCAATTAGAATCTTAAGCAAAATAGGGCGTGTCTAGACTCACAATTCTTACCTTGCTTAATTGAAGTGAGTCTTGCCTTTGCTGTGGAGCTGGGAGCTTGTGCTTTCCATTGTCCCCATTTTACTTGATCCAAAGATCTTGATTTACTGTTAATCCCTCTACCCCCTTGCAATTTGATGGCCATGTTCTACTTCTCAAGCACGTCTCTAGCTTATTATTTCTTTAATTGCACCCCTTACGCATGCTGCTCTCCTTGGTCACATTTGCTCAATTAGTTTCTTAATTCTAGACCAGGGACATCACAGCCTTGTATATCACGGTTTTCTAACTACCCTGCACACTCATGATAAATGATGAATGTTAAATACCTTTAACAGAAGGAGTTGCTCCCATTCCAATGCCAAGGCAGACTTGTAATTTTGTAGAGGGTCTTGTAAACTGGTATCTTATTTTACAGGGGGAAAATCAAAAACTAGTAAGGTGCTAGAACAGAGGAGACATATAGTTTTCAGCATGTCCCACATGGAAATACAGGACAGAAGGAAAGCCGAGATTTCAACTGCAGAAACATGCAGTCTGCATTGAGTTGCCTACTTTGTGCTCATAATTGCAAAAGCCCTCTCTGTTTGGAAATCCTGGGCATGACATTCTATTCCCAATGTGCTTTACATTCCCCATATCATTTGAAAACAATCATCATTCTTTCCTCTCCTGGCAATGAATTGTGATAAAGAGAAGAATGCCAAGGTTCTGAGGAGAGAGAAGACAGATTATGCAGAAGCCAGAAATAGGAGGTAACCCATAGCAGCGGTGTCTAATCCCAGCTCCAGGATATCTTTCTATTCTGCAGGCACCATTTTCTGCTCTTCAAAACTCTTGGGGCAGGAAATGTGTTTCATGAGCTCAGAGTGTGGTCTTGAATTCTATTTGAAATCAGATAATATTAGATATGTAAGAGTTTTTACTTAATCCAACCTTTTTATTTTATGGGTGAAAAAAAACTGAAGTTTAGGGAACGAAAATTACTTGTCTTATGTCCCACTGTTACTAGGAAGAGTTGGAAAAATTGGGAGAAAGGAAACTTTTTTGACAATATAAAGGTAAGACAGCAAGCTGGGCCCATGACAGCAGGATGCATAACCAGCAGCTGAAGTCTAAAAGAGAGTGGACAAGGAGCATAGGCTAATACTTAAAGCAAGGACAGCAGAGGCTGAGAGGGTTTGACTGGTTCAACCCACTGCCGGATGGGTCTCTTGTTGAATGTGGTATCTTAATCAACCATCTCTAGTAGACTACACAACGAGGGCAAACACTCAAAATTCAAATTGAAAATTGTTTCCTCTGGGTTGGCAAGGCACAAAATTAAAAAAAAATCCCCATAAACCTGGACTCCCATATGTGGTTCTCAGCTGGTGTGAACCCCTGAATGAATTACATGCAGCCAGATAAATTAATGGTACACACATGGGGGACCAACTTGAAAGGAAGAATTGCGTCTGAGAAGACTGCCAGGCATTAAGGAACTCTGGAAAGCAGACAGAGTCCACATTGATATGGCATGCTACAGAGGACCCCCAGTGACATTATGATCAAGCACAGGAATAATGTATAATAAATGAGAAATGACACAAATTGAAAGAAGAGCAAAAAAGCAATAGCAGAATGCCTTAATATTCAGCCTCTATTAGTTGGATGGAACTAGGTGGGTGTTAACTCTCACTTTCCTGCCTGTCGGAAATGCTGCCATGTTTGTGTGAATTTAGTGCTCTTTATACCAGTTAAAGCCTGGAGCCAAATGATTTAGGATGACCCCTTTTCCTCCTGGCCTCATACTAATTGACTTGAGAGTGAGTTACAGTCCCTGCAGAATAGTAGCCATACACTGGGTATATTTTTAATGTCAATTTCTGCAGGAGCTTTTACCCAAGGAAATTGTTGTAACAAAGATTCTCTCTATCCTACATCCTAGGATAGATATTGATTTTTAGCCCATTAGATGGGGGAAAGAGTAGATGGGAATATGTAAATGGAAAGTGGGATGGCAGTCAGTCACTTAGGTCTTTATGTAAAAGGGTGATACCCAGATATTTGAGTGGTTGTGATTTTTGACCCCCCTTTAGAGAGTCCTATAGATTTGGAAAGCTGGAAAACAAGAAGTTTAAATGATTTTTGTGGCTATAATCACAGGGCTGGCAGGTAGAATTAAGGTTAGCAAACTCAGAAATAAGGAATATCAACAAGTGATTGTAGAGATGCTTTCTTTCTGTCATTGATGGCAGCTTTCTGTATTTATGTCTAAAACCTAAAAGTTAAGATTATTTAGATGCCCAGGAGACAGAATTGCTGTGGTGCACAACTCAAAGGACACAATTCACTAGCAAGACTGGCTGGAGCAACCACAGATGGGTGAAGACCATGTCCTGTAGTACCTTATAGGTCAGAATAAGGCAGGGAAGGCATTTGTAAGATGCAATCCAATGATGTGTTAAAAAATTGAAATGAAAACTCCAAAGTTCAAAACTAATTTACTTAAAAAGAGAACTAAAGTTAATTAAAGGTTTTCTCTATTGTGATATATTTTCATTTGTTTTTTTTTTCAAGCAGACAGAAGTGAAAAGGTGAAATATATTATGCAAGAGAGAGACATCTTATGTAAGTTTTGGTCAGAGGACACCGAAAAAGCTCTAAGTTACTAAAGGAGGCAACTTGAACAATACTGGCTGAAGAAGTATGGGCTCTGATTAATGGAAACAGACTTCCATGGTACAGAGAGAAAACCAGAACATGTTCACATTTTACCCAATGTCTATGTCCTAAAGTGGGTGAAGGGCCAGGTCTTAGAAGTCAATCAAAAACAACCTTTTGGTCAGGTGTGGTGGCTCATGCTTGTAATCCCAACACTTTGGGAGGCTGAGGCAGGCAGATCGCTTGAATCCAGGAGTTCAAGACCAGCCTGGGCAACATGGCAAAATCCTGTCTCTACACGAAATACAAAAATTAGTTGGACGTGGTGGCATGTGCCTGTAGTCCCAGCTGCTCGGGAGGCTGAGGCGGAAGGATCACCTGAGCCCAGGAGGTTGAGGCTGCTGTGAGCCGTGATTGCATCATTGTACCCCAGCCTGCATGACAAAGTGAGGCCCTGTCTCAAAACAAAACAATAATACCAACAAACCAAAGAAACCACAGAACCACACTGACCTTTAAATAAAAAACTCAGTGTTACCAGTAATTCCTAAAATCTAAGTGAAATGCCAATCCTTTTCATTGTGAGATAGCACTAGATACCTCATTTGGAAATGAGGAGATACAGTGTTTTTGTCCAAGGTCACAAACATAGTAATTGTCAGAACCAAATGAAGAATCAAGACCATCTAGCTTTGAACCCACATGATTTCTTCTGATCCAGCACAGCCTTCTTCCTACTTCGGAGGGGGCAAATCCCTGGCATATTAATTTCACATTCGCCTTCAGGAGGTAGCTATTTCTTAACAATCATGGTAGATATTTCTTATCAATCAGGATCCTCTGACTCACCCCTGATGTCTTTTCAGAGCAGGCTTTCAGCAGCTGCTGTCATCTGATGGGAGGCGGCATAGGCGAAGAAAACTCTTTTTTTTTTTTTTTAATTTTGCCTTAGACTAAGATGCGTTCATAATTTAAAGCCAGGTTAATTTTTTTACCCTTTTCACTTTCCACTTTGTTGGGATAATAGAACTCGATTGGTCAGCATCATTCTTGCTGATTTTACTTTATACTACTCTTACCAGCCTGGGGTTTTGCTAGAATCTATGATGCAATGGGGAAACATTTTGCTCTTAAGTAGTGTTTCATACATCCTGGAGGGAAACCTGAAAAAGGGCATGGGAGGGGAAGGGAGCTTCATCTAAAATCATTTCCCTTTAAGAGGAACCAAATTTCCTTTTAAAGTATCAAATTGTAAACATGGGGCCTGCATCCTCTGAGATTTTATTCTGAATCTTTTAATACGGTGTAAAATAATAACTGCCCATACCTTGTATCTGTCTGTCTGAAAGTTACCTCCACTGGTCTCTTCATTGACAAATGAGTACTTCTGAAGAATAGGTTTTATTTACAAATAAGGTAAATAATAGCTGATAAAGTCTTATGAAGAGAGGCAGAACAATGTAATAGAAAGAAAACAGAGTAAAGAACTGGTGTTTACACTAGCAACAGAGTCAGCTTTGTGCATCTGAATAATGGGAAAGGCAGTGAGGATCAAAGAGAAGGTACTTTTATACTATATATAAATGCTTATCATAGTTATCATCACTATTATTTACTAAACTTTCTCTGTATCAAAATTATGTGATAATGGGGGATGATGATTTTCCTGCAAATACTGCGAGCCAGGCAGAGCTGGCATTTTCCCCACCACTGAGATGAGGAAACATAGGCTTAAAGACATTAAGTTATGTGGTTAGTAACTTGGGGAGCTGGAATGAGAATCTAAATTTTCTAACTCACAGTCAGGGCTCTATCCATTTTGTGTTGGTATTTTAGCATACCTGATCATAAGAACCACCTGGAGCTCTTTTTTGTTTTTTTGTTTTTTTTGAGACGGAGTCTCCCTCTGTCGCCCAGGCCGGACTGCGGACTGCAGTGGCGGAATCTCGGCTCACTGCAAGCTCCGCTTCCCGGGTTCACGCCATTCTCCTGCCTCAGCCTCCCGAGTAGCTGGGACTACAGGCGCCCGCCACCGCGCCCGGCTAATTTTTTTTTGTATTTTTAGTAGAGACGGGGTTTCACCTTGTTAGCCAGGATGGTCTCGATCTCCTGACCTCATGATCCACCCGCCTCGGCCTCCCAAAGTGCTGAGATTACAGGCGTGAGCCACCGCGCCCGGCCGAGCTCTTTTTAAAGTAGAGATTTCTGGGCTCAACGCCTAAGCTTCCAAATCAGCATCTCCTAGAGTGGGATTTGTGTATCTGGTTTTTATCTAGTTCAAATAATGGTTAGCCAGGTTTAGGTACCCAAGCTGGAGAATTTCTGTTAGTGACTTAATTACTACCACAAGATATTCTCATGCTGTTTGCATTCATACAGTTTGGAGCAGCCAGATAGAGGAGGATGTATGTGACCTGTGAGGCCCACTAGACTGTATACAAAGCCCTTAAGTTCTGCCTCCTAACAGGCTGGACAACCACAGGCAATTCCACACCTCCTCCTGGGCCTCTGTTTCTTAATCTGTGAGTTGGGTAGTTAAACTAGATATTTTCTTGAGGACTCTTCCCACTCTTGATCCAAGATTTTCTGAAAATAAATAAGGGACCAATTGTTAATTTTATTTAGTATGCTCTAATATGACTAGATGCACACTCTGTTGGGGTCTTTGAGGAATGCCTGAAAATGATACCCTTCTTCCAACTTATACTCCGTTACCATGCTCTAGCTGGAGCGATTGTTTCCTTCAGCTACACGAGCATAAAAGCTCCTTCTTGCTCTATGAACTCTGCAATCTTTGACCGCTTCCAAAATATAGTGTTCCATGATCTTTGCATGGCTGGCTCCTCCTCATCATTAAACTCTCATCTCAACAGCTACCTAATCAGAAACAGTTTCCCTGATCACCTTATTCTCTGTAGCCCCCTTTCAGCGAAACTGTGTCATCTTGTTTTATTTTTTTCCAGAAAATTTACCTCTACAGGAAATTATCATGATTTTGTATGTGCTTCTTTTTTTTTGATACTTAATCTATTGAAAATTAAACTAAAACAGGTATCTTCACCAATGTATTCTCACCATCTAGAAGAACCTAGCACATAGTAGGTATTCATTACATATTTGTTAAATCAGTGACAAATAAGTATAATCTTCTTAAATGTACTCGAATATGTTAATTAGCATATTACTCATTCTGACTGGCCTTTTCATTTTTCTGGTTCTTCTTACTTTTTGGTATCTCATTGTCCACTGAGGTTTAAACTGGAAGGCCTAGGGAACACATATGCATTTCCTCTGCTATTTTACAACTATATCTGCTTGACTAGGTGTCTCAGCTGAGCAGAATTTTTGGACTGACATTCTGAGAGGCAGTGCAGGGCTACCAGATGGCCAGCTTCTCTCTCAGATGATGTGGAACCTGGCTTTGGCCTGCAGAACCCCCTCTACCTTCCAACCACAGCAAACACCTCAATGAGGACAGCATTGTACTGAGATGTCAATGCATAAAGCTTTCTCCTAACATTCTACTCTGTTTCTTTAGAGAAGTACTGTCTAGCATTTTGAAAGTGAGAAATGCAGTTGTCTATGCTCTTTTCAGAGACAGAAGGAGTAGGAGTAGGAGGAGGAGGACAAGGAGCAGTTTGTCTTACTGCATATTCCTCCTCCCTGCTGCCATTTAAAGACCTTAACAATACCCATATTGTCAGCCACACCTCTCCCATCCTCTTCTAACTTATGATCCAGACCTTCGGGGCTGCTGATAGACAGAATGGCTCCCACTTTATGTTAGAGTATCCATGCTAGCTATATTAGTCATTCTCACACTGCTATAAAGATATTACCCAAGAGTAGGTAATTTATAAAGGAAAGAGGTTTAATTGACTCACAGTTCTGCATGGCTGGGAGGCCTAAGGAAACTTATAATCATGGCGGAAGAGGAAGCAGGCATGTCTTACATGGTGGCAGGCAAGAGAGAGTGTGGGTTAGTGCAGGAAAAACTACTATTTATAAAACCATCAGATCTCGTGAGAATTTACTCAGTATTATGAGAACAGCATGGGGAAAACACCCCTATAATCTAATCACTTCCCTCCCTTGACACATGAGGATTACAACTTGAGATGACGTTTGGATGGGGACACAGAGCCAAATCATATCACTAGCTGTTTATAAAATCCCAGTGGCTAAACAAAGTAAACATCGATAGCTGTTCACCTCACAGTCCAATTCCAGTCAGTGGCTCTTCTCCAAGAGTGATTGGATCCACATTCCTTCCATCATGTGGCTCCTCCACATCCAGGATCTCCAGGATTTTCTGCACTTAGAAAGTGGGCAAAAAAGAGAACCCATGAAGGATTGCTCAGGGTGCTTCAGGGCCAGGCTGGAAAGTGGCAAACCTCACTTCTGCCCACACTCTCTTGGCCAGAACTCAGCCAATCTCACCAAAAACGAGAGAAACAAAATATTCCAACATGCCAGGAAGTAGAAATATGCTTGGCGATCACCTGGCCAGTCTAGATACTACTTCATTTGTATTCCCAGAGTACTATATTGCAAGCAGCAGCATTTCCATTTGCAATATTCACCAAACTTCTCTTAATTTTTTTGACTCAGAAATTTGTTGAAATATCTTATTTCATTTTGCTCTCCTGTAATGACTTTGTTCCTTTTCAAACTTAGGTGTTTTAATCTAAGTGGGATAAGCAGTAAAAGAAATGTTTGGTCTGTGCCATCATCTTAAATTGAAATAAAATATCTCAATTTTTAAAGCCATTCAGCCCTTCCCAACAATGAGGATTTCTCATTGACTATATTTCACTCTTAAGCCTCTAGCTCAAAAATTTTGACTTTCTCTATCTCTACAGAATATTTTTTTCACATGCACTTACTTAACCCTTCCATGTTTTTCTCTTTCCTTTCTTTCTTTTCTTTCTTGCTTTCTTGCTTTCTTTCTTATCTCTTTCTTTCTCTCTCCCTCTTTCTTTTTTCTTTCTTTCTTTTTTACGTAACCTGGAAAACCACAACATTTTTCTTAGTTTATTAACAAGGACAATTTTGTTTCTTCCTCATAACTCTACTTTCCAGCCCATCGTCTTGGGGCTTATGTTTTTACAATCAAAATGCATTTCTTCCACAGCACTTCCTCCTTAGTGAAAGTATGCAACTGCATGCACAGGTAAGAAAATTGAATATGTAAAGGCTCTGGAAGTAAATCACAGAGAACTCATGTTTGTACCAGACAGGTGACAAGGCTGGAGAGAAGAGGTTGGAAGCAGTGGCCTTAGTTCCTGGACAACTTTTATTCTCTAGTTCTAGTGACAGGGTGACCAAAATAAATACACCAAAATGCAATATTTGGAACTTAGAATATGCACAGGAATTATATATTATGAAATATTATAAATTAGGCATTTACCTATTTTCTCATTTAATCCTTCAGCTTTATGAGATAGATATCATTAAATGTTACGCACATAAGGAATTAACACTCAAATAATTTATCTAATTTTTAAAAACACACAGATAGCCAATTACAGTTTTCCTGTTTTAATGCCTGTGGACACTTTCTTCAACACACTTAAACATGTTGCTTAGAGTCTGCAGTCTGACATTCTAGACTAGTATTGAAATGTGGTAAGAATAAATACTAGAATCCTGCAGCCAGAGAGACCTTGGAGCAAGGCCTGGGCTTGTAACTTACTATGTGACTTTGGGTAAGTGAGTCAAACTCTTCAGTTTCTTCATATATAAAATGGTGAGGATTTTAACGACTTCGTAGGCTTGGGATGGGGATTAAATAAGATGTAGAAAGGCTAGCATAATGTTTAGGTCAAGAAAGCACCCAATAAATGTTAGATATTATTACTATTTTTTTCATCCAAGTATGAATTTTTTGGCTCAAAGAATGGAAACATCCTGGTCAAGGTCATAACACAGCCAACTAAATGACTGACCTGGGATGTGCAGCATTGTCTTCAAACACCAGAGAAACCCCAATCTGTCTTCCATGCCACTTTCTGCTATACAGGCCTTCAGCCAGCATTTTAACAAATAAAAGAGAATTGCCTGGCATAGTTATAGATATTGAGCCACAAGAAATTTGTAGACACCATTTTTTTCCCATGGACTCATCCTTGGAAGTACTTTAACATAATAGTTTTTCTCCTCTGTCCAGAAGAGTTTAAATGTAGACCTTTTTAGAAACATGAAGACATGGTAAATGAATTCTCAAGTGCATCTGCAGATACAGGAACATGAGCCTAGATTCACAACAGACATGTTGTGATTTAAAATTAGAATGGAGAGGCCTATTTGTTGAGCTTCAAGGACTAATAACTGGAGCACTTTATCTTGATCAAAAGATTTTTCACGGGCCTGGAAGAATAGAAGTACCAACCGCCGTACCCCATACTTTCTTTTTCTA
Source organism: Homo sapiens (assembly GCF_000001405.40). Classification (NCBI taxonomy): domain Eukaryota; kingdom Metazoa; phylum Chordata; class Mammalia; order Primates; family Hominidae; genus Homo; species Homo sapiens. The sequence goes on along the minus strand of NC_000001.11, from coordinate 60,285,026 downwards.
ATAACCCAAGGTACACACACACCACACACACATGTGCATGTGCACAAGCCCTGCCTGCCCACACTCACCAGTGCCCATCCTCAAGCCACCTACGCACATTCTTGGCAAAACAAAACAAAACAAAACAAAGCAAAAAACAACTATTTAAATCTTTTTATTCATCTTTGTTGAATAGCTTTCTCCCTCTGGTTTCCAGAATTCTTGCCTAAAAATTATGGTTTCAGCCTTATCATTAAAAAAAAAACTTGTCAAATTCTGCCATACTTCAGAATTGAGAAACTTGTGAAGTAAAAATAAGAGTATAAATTAGAATGATTTAACTGACCTCAACTCACTGAGTTAACAGTGTGTCAAAAAAATGAGTATTGGAAAGGGAATCATATATTTGAGATTCTGGACATTCTTTGACTCAAATTAGCCACTGTGGGGCAATTCACATCTTCTTTGTGCTTCAATTTCCTCATCTGTTAACCGAGTATCCTATTAATACTTCCTTCCCCTTAGAGTTTATTCATTCATTCTACAGTTTTGTTATTTTCTTTCAGCACCTTCTTTATTCTAGTTGCTATACTGAGTTCTACAGATACAACATGAAGTAAGACACAAATAGTTCTCTGAAGTAGCCCACATTCTATGGGAAGAAAGCACACAAAGTAAAAAGTGCTGTGATAGAGGTATGTCCAGAGTCCCAATGGGATCAAATACATCTCAAGGGATGTGTATAATATGAGTGCACAGAGTGCTAGATAAGAGGAGGGTGGGAGATGTGTCCCACTGGTGTCTGAGCTCCTAATAGAGCTTCAGTTTCTCTGGTCCAGTTCTCCTTTGCCCTAGCAAGTTGACTCATCCTTCTATGTCCAGGGCCCCACAACAGATTCCAGAGGCTTAACAGTGCTCTGGACCATTGAAAATGGGTGGAAAACTCTCCATGGGACGGAGAGACAGGGAACTGACATGTTGCTGGGCAATGGGCAATGATCTAGATATAGTCAGCAGGTCATCCTTATCAGGCTACAGTGAGAAGGATCACCTAATTTTCCAAGCGATGTACCGTGCTTTCTCAAACAGAAAATCTGCTATCCCAGAAAGGCCTTCCATGGCCTTGTGCTGCTCCCTGGCACCAGCAGCTGCAGGACATTTGCTCCCAATGAGTCAGCATTCTCCCTTTGTAGACTCTATGCCTGCCTGATTATCAGCTTTACTGTGGAACCTTCAGATAGTCAAGGGAAGGAACAGATCTCTTGCTCCTAACACCTTGACCATAGATCTTTAAATTGAACAACAAAAAATTTCTCATATGGTACTCTGCTTCTGATCTAAAAACTTGCTTTGGGATGAGGAATACAGGAAGAATGGTAATTCTTATTTACCCTACCAAGGGAGATATGGTAAATAAGAATTGGACACAGTGGTTAATTCCAAATATCATTCCATCATATGAGCTGTTGTTATTTGTGATGTTACTAGCAGCCAGATCACACCATCTTCTTTAGCAATCCATTCTGCCCCTAGCATCACAGCTTTAAAATGGAATAGGGTACATTTCATAGACTCACAAAAATCCAGCTTTATTTATGTAGCAAGTTCAGATAAGTGATATGATTTGTTCAAATTCATACAGCAGAACCAAGGGTAGATGTCACTTTCAAGTTCAGGCTTCCTCCCAGACCAATTGCTATTTTATTTTATTTTTCCAGACCAACATTTTGTTAACTGCTGATATCTTGTTTGTTGCACAATCCTTAAAGTCAGATTGTTTTCTTATCCTGGCCTTACTGTTTGCTAGCTGGATGTACTTGAGCAAGTCACTTTACTCCGCTGAGACTTATATTCTAATCTGTTAGATAGAGACTCTCATCTGGGGGAAATAATATATGCCCCTTATAATCAATGTGATGATTATATAATTTAATTCATATAAAGGTTTTAGGACAGTGACTTGTATATGATAATTTCTCCATAATTTTTTTAACATTTTAGATAAAGTTGTTTTTTAGATGCTCACCTGGCTCTTGTTTTTTTCCCCTCCTTTATAATTATAATTATTATGCAACAAATGTTACTGTGTTTTAAACACTATGTAAGGTAGATATTTTTAAAATAAGATTGATTATTCTCTAGGTTTTGTGAATAAGAAAGTAAATAAAATCCATCACTTTCTACACATGTACCCCATAAGTATATACAAATATGTAACAATGAAAACATTTTAAAATCCATAACTTCATAATTAATTTACTATATTTTATTAAGTTTTTGAGGTTATGTCTATTTTAAGCATATGGTAGAAACGTTATGTAATGATATACTACTATGAATCTCTTTTCAATTTCGTGTTCAATGACATTACCTTGATTTTGAAATCAACCATGGTGGAAATATTTATACCATGAAAATTGGCAAATGCTGTAAGTCAGGGCTTGATGTATTGTTTTGATGATTTCGCTAGACTTGATAGGTTAATAATGCTGTATTCTGTCTGTGACTATTGAGTCATAAACAACATAAATAACAGGAAATATTTTTCAGTATTAGTGGATTTAACACTATTAGTGAATTTAACAAAGATTCGGCTAATACCATTAACAAACAAGTGAAGTTTTAATATATGCCTTTGTCCATTCACTTTTTTGCTCCCAGTTAACATAAATGAAAATATCAAGCACCATTCATTTCACAATCACACTTGTTGATCAGTGAAGTAAGAGACATTTTTGCTGAACCAGACAGTATTTAAACGTTTATTTGCAGGCTGATATTGTCAAATAATGGTTGGATTGCAATAATAGCTTGGCCATGAATACAAGAGTTCAACAGAAATTAACTAATGTATTCTATGAGAATCAATTAGCTATATGGAATTTATAATAAAGATTATTGTATATTTTATATATATAACATGTAAATTGTGTGCTACTTGTCCTGTATATGAGTGAAATGTATAATAAACTTATGTACATGTACATATGCACATATTTTTCCCCCAGGGAGCTGGTTGTTAAATATTTATCAGCACACCACTGTCCCCAATTCATATCTACCTTCTAGTCATCACCTCTCTGGCTTTGGAGCAGATCATAAACTCTAGAATCCAGACACCAGCCAGTGCAGTACTTCACAAGCTCTGCAGTACTTCTCAGGATCTGTTTTCCCAGGATGACCTTGTGTGAGCTGTAAGTCATCAAAACCTGGTTCCTTTGATCTGCCCTGGGGAGAAAGGAATTATGTCCCTTTAACATGGACAAAACTCCACGGGACCTCAGCTTGCAAATTCAGGATTAAGAGAACTTGAAATTCATTGACATTCTACAAACTCAGAGCTAACGAAGCCTGTGAGGGTCATCCCTTCCAGAACTTTCGTCTTTATGGAATGAGTATCAGAACAGGCCAGTCTCAGGCTCATGTCTGAGTGATTTATCATTTTCATTCATCACCTCTAAGGCTGAGCTGGCCCCAGTTTCCCTTGTCTGGGCTATGGATGTCCCCTGCTGGAATCCAGAGCTCACTGCAGCTCAGGGAATTAGAACAAATGCTGCGGCCGTAGATGCATTGTGTGTATGTGTAAGAACACACTCGCTGTCTGCGTGCCTCTCGACAGGAAACCACTCCGGAAATTCACTCTCTTGTCCTGGTTTTACAGGTCTGCCCTCATTTACTGATTTCATGTCCCAAATGATTGAGAATCATTATTTATCAAGTCTTTTGAATAATGTCTACCACATGGTAAGCTCTCAATAAACATTTACTGAAAAAAATGAGCATAGCCTTGTAAGGTACATTATGCGTGATCTAATTTCATCCTCACAACAATCAAATAAATTAGGAACTATGGTTAACTCCTTCTTGTTTTCAGGTGTTGGAACTCAGGCCTAGAGGTTAGGTCACTTACATAAGGTCACTTAGCTTGGATGTGGCAGCATCAGCCTTAGGGCATAAGTGTCCCTGTCTGCAGGCTCGCTGCTCTGCTACAGCCTGCCATGCAGTCTCCAAAGGGTTCCTTCTCCACAGCTTCTCCAAACAGAAATACCTGCTCCTTTTTGCTTTCGTATTTCCCCACTCCCAGTATTCACCCAGGGTGAATCTCGTCCTTTGTCCTGCTTGCTGTGTACCCTGGCCAAATCCCTTCGCCTTTCAGAGCCTGAGTTTCTTCATCAGATAAATAAAGGGGATGGATTAGCTGACTCTTAATTTTAAAATGCCAATTCTAAAATGCTGACGCTTTCTGAATTTAATTTCAGGATAGACATGCTGAGGTCCAAATTGCTAGGGATTTCCTCTCTGGCCAAGGAAACAAAACTCAGTCATATACTACTTGTGAGTTTGTATCAGGAGGATGAAATTAAGCCCCAAAGTCTGCACTGCCCTTTGGGAACGTACTTTTTCAGATCAGAAGCCAACGATCACTTACATGAGAGGTTATCAGTAGATGGACAAAAAGCACCATTTCTCTCTTCTCTCCAGTGAGCCAAAGCATGGTTGCCAATTCAGACAGCCAGTTGGGAGTTTTCAACATGTGACAAGCCCAAAGGCATTTCTGAAGCTGCCAGCACAGAGGCCTGTCGAATCTGCTAAGGAACCAGATGCAGCAGATAAATATCTTCCACAGCTTGGCATCTGGGGCCTGTGCTTGCCAGCTGAGAGAAGGGGCTGTGTTGCACAGTGCTGGGGGTGGGGATGGCAGAGAGACAGCAGCTGAACAAATCACACATATTTCTCATTGAAGTAGAAAAAAAGGCAATTCTAGAGAGCATTTCAAAATTCTAAAAGGACCAGATTAAATACGGATGGTTATATGTAGGTTATTATTATATGATGGACTGGATTATAAATAGGTAAGTTATATATTGTGGTCTTTGATACCATTGTTTCATTCAGTCTGTTGATATTATTTTGCATTTCTAGAATGCAATAGTCTTTATGCAATTCATTTAGTGCAATTACATTTACAAGACAATCTCTCTCTCTCTCTCACACACACACACATACACACACAAATCTTGTATATCTAGCTCTGCACCAAATAAAAATTACAGAAATAAAGCATTCTTTTCATCATGAGGCAAAAAATGACTATGTGTTGAGTCATGTGTCCAGACTTTGTTTTTTCAAAAATATATTTCCCTTTTAGATTCTTCAAAAGAATTGATGAAATTTCATCAATTTCCTCTCAATATAATTCATAATTATTTATTGAATGCCTACTATGTGCAAGAGATTGCTTGGTGCAATTATTATGAAGAGAAAGAGACAAAGTGTCTTCAAGGAGCTTATTAACAATTCCTGGCATACTAATAATCAATGGGATTTTCCTCAACTTCAACCTGATTAAGGGCATCTTGAAAAACCTTCTGCTAACATCACAATTGGTGGGGAAAAACTGAAGCCTTTTTTCTTAAGCTCAAGTGTAAGGCTGTCCAATCTCACCACTTCAATGTCCTATGAAGGTATTAGCCAATGCAAGAAGGTCGGACAAGAAATGAAACCCATTCAGATTGAAGAGAAAGAAGCAAAACTCTATTTGCAGACAGCCTGGTTGTCTAAGTAAAAAATTCTTTTTTTTTTTTTTAAAATTTTTTTTTTTTATTATACTCTAAGTTTTAGGGTACATGTGCACATTGTGCAGGTTAGTTACATATGTATACATGTGCCACGCTGGTGCGCTGCACCCACTAACGTGTCATCTAGCATTAGGTATATCTCCCAATGCTATCCCTCCCCCCTCCCCCGACCCCACCACAGTCCCCAGAGTGTGATATTCCCCTTCCTGTGTCCATGTGATCTCATTGTTCAATTCCCACCTATGAGTGAGAATATGCGGTGTTTGGTTTTTTGTTCTTGCGATAGTTTACTGAGAATGATGGTTTCCAATTTCATCCATGTCCCTACAAAGGACATGAACTCATCGTTTTTTATGGCTGCATAGTATTCCATGGTGTATATGTGCCACATTTTCTTAATCCAGTCTATCATTGTTGGACATTTGGGTTGGTTCCAAGTCTTTGCTATTATGAATAGTGCCGCAATAAACATACGTGTGCATGTGTCTTTATAGCAGCATGATTTATAGTCCTTTGGGTATATACCCAGTAATGGGATGGCTGGGTCAAATGGTATTTCTAGTTCTAGATCCCTGAGGAATCGCCACACTGACTTCCACAATGGTTGAACTAGTTTACAGTCCCACCAACAGTGTAAAAGTGTTCCTATTTCTCCACATCCTCTCCAGCACCTGTTGTTTCCTGACTTTTTAATGATTGCCATTCTAACTGGTGTGAGATGATATCTCATAGTGGTTTTGATTTGCATTTCTCTGATGGCCAGTGATGATGAGCATTTCTTCATGTGTTTTTTGGCTGCATAAATGTCTTCTTTTGAGAAGTGTCTGCGTGGGCAAGGACTTCATGTCCAAAACACCAAAAGCAATGGCAACAAAAGCCAAAATTGACAAATGGGATCTAATTAAACTCAAGAGCTTCTGCACAGCAAAAGAAACTACCATCAGAGTGAACAGGCAACCTACAACATGGGAGAAAATTTTCGCAACCTACTCATCTGACAAAGGGCTAATATCCAGAATCTACAATGAACTCAAACAAATTTACAAGAAAAAAACAAACAACCCCATCAAAAAGTGGTCTAAGTAAAAAATTCTAAGTAATCTACAAAAATGCTACTAAAACTAATATGCGTGTTTAGCAAGGCTTCATATCAAGTCAGAAACAATAGTTTCCTCCTATTTGCAGGGGATAAGTTTCAAAACCCCAAGTGGATGCCTACAATCATGAATAGTACCAAACCCTAAATATACAACATATTTTTCCTTTTTTTTTTTTTTTTTGAGACGGAGTTTCGCTCTGTCTCCTAGGCTGGAGTGCAGTGGTGTGATCTTGGCTTATTCCAAACTCCTCCTCCTGGATTCAAGTGATTCTCCAGCCTCAGCCTCCTGAGTAGCTGGGATTACAGGCACCTGCCACCATGCCAGGCTAATTTTTGTATTTTTAGTAGAGACGTGGTTTCGTCATGTTGGCCAGGCTGGTCTCGAACTCCTGACCTCAGGTGATCCACCTATCTCGGCCTCCTAAAGTGCTGGGATCACAGGCTTGAGCCACCGTGCCCTGCCTAATATATTTTCCTAAACATACATACGATGAAATTTAGTGAATTGTGCAGAGTAAAAGATTAACAGCAATAATTAATAATAAAATAGAACAATTATGCCAATATATTGTAATATACTGTAATAAAAGTCATGTGAATGTGACCCTCTCTCTCTCTAACTATCCTATTGTTACTATATGCACCTATTTTCAGACCAAGGTTGACCACAGCTAACTGAAACTGAGGAAAGCAAACCTATGAGGAAAGGAGAACTACTGCATATAAGAAGTAATTTTATTTTTGTATACCAGCTGTTATGGATTGAATTCCGTCCCCTTAAAACTCATATGTTGAAACCCTGGCCTTCAATGTGGCTGTATTTGGAGAAAGGGGTGCTTGGGGTAATAAAGTTTAAGTGAGGTCATAATTGGCCTTACTCCAATAGAACAGGTGTCCTTATAAGAAGAGGAAGAGATACCGGAGGGATATCTCTTCCCCTCCCCCTCATGAGTACACTGAGGAAAGGCCACATGAGGACACAGTGAGAAGGTGGCCATCTTTAAGCCAGGAAAAAAAAAAGCCTCACCAGACACTAATCCTGCTAGCACCTTGATTTTGGACTTCTACCTTCCAGAACTGTGAGTAAATAAATTTCCATTATTTAAGCCACGTAGTGTATGGTATCTTATTATGATAGCCCAAACTGACTAATGCACTAGCCACAAATAATGAAAATTAAAATAAAAATGATACAATTACAATAACATCAACAATATGAAATGCCTAAAAATAAATGTTAACGAGCCTAAACATATGTAACATAAAGTCAATATACAAAATTTACGATATACAAAATGTAGTCTCAAAGACTAAGCTATTAAGAGTGACTTTCCCCCCTATATATTAGAAAGACAGATGCAGATAGCTATAGATAGCAGGAGTTGTCATGAAAACTCACAGAGAACTGAGGAAGCTTGTAGATGCAGCTCAGTAGCTACAAGGAAACTCGTAGACACCAAGTGCTTTGGTCATCGTATGCATTTAATTATATGAATTTCTGAAAGTTTTTGGAATGAATGTGTGAAATCTTCCTGTTCTTGATATTTCCTCTAGCTGACTTCAACATTCCAAGCATTAATTAATTTAAAAAAGACATCAGAAGCCATGCCAGAGAGACTCTTTGTCACAGTCTGATTATGAATCTGGAATGACAAGTAAGTTTCAACTTGAGAGCCAACTCTGATAGATTGGTAGTGACTACCTAGAGCAAAAACATTGAGAAAATGATTTTGAAACTTTATTTGAACTCAGTAGGGGAGGGATGTATGGTCAGAGAGCTATGCAAACTGTAGGGGTGTCAATATACATACCTCGTATTAGCCCTCCCTTCCTGAAACCTCACTGGATGCAGGAGGCAGAGGCAGGCCCTCATTTGGCATTAAATAATGCTGCATATATTCAACTTGTGACTTTCAGTGATCATTTAGTTTAGTTGCTATGTGTGGAAAAATCTAGATTTTTCTTGCTCTTTTTACAATTGCTAAACCATTTGATTATTTTGCAATGTTACATAAAAATGAAAAATTCTGTTGTTTAATTCGTATACACACAGGGATAAACACATACACAGAGGGGAGAACTAACATTCATATATGTATCTTGACTTGCCCAATCAGGCAATGGCTAAATGACAAACCCAGATCTGAAATTTAGTTATTTTGTTCCCAAGTCCAGTGTGCATTTCAATACTACAAATATCTTCAATTTATAAGAATCAGAGCCACATATCAGAGCAAAGTGATTTGTTGAGAAGTAGAAAGTTAACGAGTTGCGAAAGAACTCCATGGACCAATCTGGTTAGATATAGGATTATTTTTATTTTACAGTTAGGAGTCATTTATGGGACATTTCATCTACCCTACAATGTTTCATGATGATGTTTGTAATTATCTATTTTCTTGTCTCTTCCCTACTTGATCATAAGCAAACTGAAAACATTCCTTTAATTTCTACCTCTGTAGAGCCTAACACAGCACCTGGCAAACTGTAGGCACCCTAAAACAGTTGGTAAATGCATAATTGAATAAATAGAAATCATCTTAAGCCTTTTACAAGGTTATGACAATTGTCAAGAAAGTTATCTGGGATTTTGAAGAAAATGTAATAATATATCTCTATTGATTTAAATATAATCCATCGGTTGTTAATATCTGCTAGAGGTCCATCCTTGAGCTAGGCACTTAAATCTGCATTATTATTTCTTGCTCACTCACAATATTTGTAAAATGGATTTGATTTTGGACTTTTGAATAGATGAAGAAGTTGATGCTCAGAGAGACCAACCAATATATCCTATTTTACACAGTAAAATACAAATATTTACGTTGAAAGTCCAGCTCCTCTTTCCAGCATAATACTACTTAAACTGGGGGAATACAACTGTGTTTTAAGAATTGCCAGGAATATTTCTTACGATGATGATGATCAGTATTCTCCATAGTTTCTTCAGAGATTAATCTTTCAAATTATGAGATATAAGAACATATTTGTGAAATATTTATCTTCCATTTTTAAGTTAAAGCCTTCTTTGTATCTTAGAATTTAAAGTAAACTTAAAGTAAAACCTAGCAATGTCCTAGCAATATAATGTCTTCCTCTGCTAAGCCCTGAGCAGATCCAACCACGTTGTAATTCAAACTTACAACAATTTTCCACTTGTACCATACCTTCCCTCCCCATTTTGTCCTTTGGATAACCTCATAATGACTTTTACTGTATTTATGCAAGATCTTTCCAATTAGCCCACTGGAACTCTCAAACAGAAGAGAAACAGAAAAGAATGAAAAGAGGAAAGAAGAAAAACGATGATCTGGGGTAGCGTTTAACTAGCAGGAGCTTTTCACACTGTCGGGCCACAGAAACATAGAAAGTCAGAAGGTCCTAGAGTTCTCGTAATCCAGTCCCATAATATTTACAGATGTGTTTACTTTGGCATATGCAAAAGAACACAGGGTTCATAGTCAGTCAATCTGGGGTCAAATACTGACTTTGCTGCTTTCAGCTTTATGAGCTGTGGTATGTTGCTTAGCGTTGTTTTCCCTGATTATAGATAGGAATATTGATATCTAACTCATAGAATTATTTTGAAGATCAAACATGGTAATATGTAATCAGTTAGCACATTTGTGGCACACAGGAAGGGGGCTCTTAAATGTGAGCCCCTATTGTCATTATTCTTGTAATACCGTGGTACTTCATTGCACAATTCTAAATTTATAATCATGTGAGCACTGCTTGGTGTGGGTGCATATTGACCATACTGCTACTGTTCAGCTACTCTCAGGCAGGCCTAGAGCTTAGTAGAGGTGTTGAAAAGTAAATTTAGCCACAACCCCTAAAGATAATACTTTTTAAAAATTTTGGTGCTTAAAACACTATTTTAAGGGTGATACCTAGCAATTCTACAACGATTTTTCTATCTGAATATACATTTTTCCAGTGAGATCTTCTCAATTATCTTGTTCTTCCTTTTATTCATTCAAATTTATTGTATGAAGCTTATTGACTGACCTCAGTAACGTGGACTCAGTTCCTCTAATGCTTTTGAACTCTCTCTCTCTACAAACTCCAGTGCAGAGAAAATAGAATGACACATATGCATTTATAATAGGTAAATTTGGAAGCATGAACTAGTCATGCTCAGTGCAGCTCCTCCATTTTTCTTCGTGGGGCACATAACTTCCAGAAGGCATACATTCTCCCCTGCTCTGATATGCCATATTTTAATGAGAGACAGTCCCATTAGAGAAGACTTGTAGACTTTTGGCTATGACTGTAACTAGCTGGGTTAATCTATGTAATCTGGATCAATATTGGAGGTTTACTTCCCATGTATAAACTACATTCTCTAACTTAGTCTTATCAAAGTAAAGAAGGGAGGCAATATGTTTTGGCCCCTATCTGCTGACTAATTGTTTAAGAAGTTGAGCTATTAATATAAAGGAAAATACTGTTTAAACGACTCCCAAAAGACCATTGTGTTGAGTCTGGGATCATGAAATCTTTGATTCGGACTATTTTCATTTATTTTTCATGCTGCCTTTTATTTAATAGGTCTTTTGCACACTACATTCAAACATTGGAAGAATGATTAGTTTCATACCATGTAACATGCTTGTAAACTAGGTTTGTATACCATTCTGAGATATTTTAGGCCTTCAGATAATAAATATTGACCCTCACTTGGAACCAAGCCAAGGCTAGTCTAGAGTTGCATGTCTTGTCTAATTTTACATTATCTTTGAGGCTCTACATTGTAACAACTGCCAATTATGCTTATGAATATTGGAGATCCAGTGTGGCTTCATCCTTTGAAATAAAATATATTTTATTTATTCCAACGATAAATTAATGAGCAATTTAGAAGGAATGTAGGCTACTATCAATTTAGAGATGCAAGTTCTGCTTGTATGGAGAAAGCAGGAAAAATTACCACAAATCCAAAACAAAAAATTCATAGAAGAAGCATATTTGTGATGTTTTATTATTGGGAAATAGTCTGGCTCAAAAACAGTGCAAGAGCTATAGCAGCAGATTAGGTAATTGAAGGACATTTTGTAGGTGAAGAGAAAATGGGGGATTCAGCAAACATCTTCTTGTTCTGGAAATAACAGTGGATAAACTAAAATACTGGGAAATGAAAAAGTGAGACATGTATTTACAAAGGGAGTTGAGGTTTCTGAGGCCAAACTAGATCTGTGTGAATAGATGAATAAAAAGGAATTCATCAAAGAAACCCAGAGCTAACTGACCTAAAAGGTGAAAATAGAAAAATGGAGGATTTGGGCTGAGCATGTCTGGTTTATTCTCCCCAGATTTACCAATCAAATAAGTCGCTCACCCTCCCTTAGGATATATTGAGTAAACTGACAGAAAGAAGCCAGAAGTATAAGACTAACAGGGCTATCTCCACCTGAAAGAAAATAGAAGGAATGGAGAGAAAAGAATTTTCTCCTAATACGTAACAGTGAATCATGTACAATAAGATCAATAAGTGAAAATATAAAATTAAAACACATGAAAGAAGGGAACAGAAAAACTAGTGACCATTAGCTTTATAATTACCACCATTTGGTTTATAATTTAGCAAAAATTTTCCTAAAACCTACAGCATACAAGGCACCAGGCTAGTTACTATAGATGAACTGACGTAAAAGATACAGTTTCTGCTTTTAGGAGCTTACAGTAAAATGACGAAAAATATATTAAATGAATAACTTAAATATAATGTGTAAATGGTCATATAGAGGTATTCACAAGGGGCTTTAAGAGTACTTAACACAATCTAGAAATGGCTAAGCTTCGGGCTTAGTTCTTGGCTTCTTGGCAGCCAGGAGGAAGAGGTAACAATGGTGAATTTTATAAACTTCAACATCATAAAGAAAAAAATATAGCAATCCTTCAGGAAAGACCAATGTGTCTTTTTTTTCTGTCACTACATTGGAAAGAAGCTTTTTACATGAGATTTTGTAAGAAACGTTGAATGATGTAACGGGTAAAGTTCTCGGCATCAGTTCTTCAGCCCTTGCAGAAGTAGATATCATCTGCTTTGTCTTCATGAATTTTGATGACAGTAAAGAGCATAATATTGTAGAATATTCATTACCAAACTTGTTGCATAGCAGAATCATTTGATCTTTTAAAAACACATATTCCCAGGCATCATTCAATAAGTTCACCCTCAAAGTCTTAAATTCTCAGTTTACATTTTGACAATACCTCACTCCTTTTATCTTTTCTTACACTTTATAAACACTACAGTTGTCTTTAGACCTTATAGAGAACGCCAATTTATTAATCTTTCCATTTCTTTCCAGTCTATTAATTCTCCCCTTAGTTCTCTTTCTTTTCCTGGGTGATTATTTGGCTACTTCCTTGCCAGAATCCTCAACTCCTTAAGCTACTGTAGCACTACACATCTTCAGCCACCACTTTATAAAACGTTAACCCTCTGTGACTTCTTTTTAAAAGAAGTTCATAAACACATAGATGCAAGAACGAATTTTACAATTGATCAAATAGTGTTAAATTATCTTTAGGAAATGTCTCCAAATTATGAGTGAGGACATAATAGTGATAAAGAGCACAGCGATTGCATATGACACCTGCTTGCTATTTATGGAATATAATGGACTGAAAGATATGTTTGCAACACGCAAGGTACGGCAAATTGATAATAAGAGTAGGATGCACTCAGCTGTGTAATAGTCCTTTCCATGAGGAACTTATAGGCTACTTGAGGAGATAAAACAGATAACAATAATAAGATTTATTGAGTGTCTACTAAATTACAAATTTAAATTTGTAATTACTAAACTTCACGATATCCCTATTTATCGGTATCTTTTGCTATATTAACAAACTACTTCAAAATCTAGCAGCTTAAAACAGTCATTCTCAAAATGTGGTACCCGGACCACCTGCATCAGCATCACGTGGGAATTTACTGGAAGCGCAAATTTAGGAACTTCCATGCGAGACCTTTAAATCAGAAACTCTGGGAGCTCATTGGTCTATTGTAACAAACACCCGAAGTGATTCTGATGCAAGCTAAAGTTTGGAAACCACCAACTTAAAAAAGCCATATGTATGTATGTGTTTACAGACGCGTGCGTGCGCATGCGCGCGCGCGCACGTGTGTGTGTATACACACAGAGGACTGAAAGTCCAATATATATATTGGACTTTGTAGTATGCATGCAAGTTTGCATACTTCGTAAGTCCAATATATATATTGGACTTTGTATGCATGCATGTAGGTATATGTATATACATACATACATACATACATACATACATGCATATGGTTGTTTTAGTTGGTGGTTCCCAAACTTTAGCTTGCATAAGAATATACATACATATATATGTATATTCATACATACATACATGTATATTCATACATACATACATGTATATTCATACATACACGTATATTCATACATACACGTATATTCATACATACACGTATATTCATACATACATATATATGTATATTCATACATACATATATATGTATATCATACATACATATATATGTATATCATACATACATATGTATATTCATACATACATATATATGTATATCATACATACATATGTATATTCATACATACATATATATGTATATCATACATACATATATATGTATATTCATACATACATATATATGTATATCATACATACATATATATGTATATTCATACATACATATATATAGTGGATGATTCTTCTCATTTCAGCTATGTTCCCTCATACATCTGCTGGTGAATTAGCTGGGATCTGGCTGATCTACAATATTCTCAATTGAGACAGCTCATCTCTGCTCCATGTGGTCTCTCATGCTTTAGGAAGGTAGCCTTGGCTTGTTCACATGACAGTTGAACATGATTCTAGGAGAGCAAATGGGAGTCCACAAGGTCTCTTGACTCTAGGGGCCTATGTTCAGAACTGGAACCTTTCACATCTGTCATATTCTGTTGGCTAAAGCAAATCTCAAGAACAGTTTAAACTCAGGGAGTAGGGAAACAGACTCTGCCTATTGATGAATGAGCTACAAAGTCACAGTGCAAAGAGCAAAGATACAGGTTTGAAAATTGAGGCCTTTTTGCCAATGGTTTACAGCAGGGTAGATATTTTTATACTTAACATATGTAGGCGTAAGAAATTACAGCTCAGGAAATTTACAAGGTCATCCATCTAAAAAGTGGAAAATACTAAATTTAAACCTAAGCCTGTTTGATTCTGACTGACCAGATCATGTGCAAATAGCTATAATACAACATAGTATGTGCGAAGTAGAATAGAGGCCCAGAAAAGAGATTGTAATAGTTCAAAAGACAGAAAGATGATTTCTGGCTGGAGAAATCAGAAAATTCTCAATGAGAACAATGAAATTTGAAGGATGAGCAATGTAGGAGTGAAATAAGTTTGAGCATAAAACAAAACATTTGTTGAAAACTACCAAAATTCCATTGGTAAATACATGAAAGCTCTTTTAGCTGGAATTTAGGGTATTTAAAAAGGAAAAGAAAGAGATACATTTAGAAAAATAGTCACCAACATGGAGAACTTTGAATACCAAGGTAAGGAGTTCGAACTTGAAGTTTTTGAGCAACACTTATTAAAATAAGGTATTATCATATAAGTTCCAATTATATATTTATCTTCATGCAAATTATCTTTTTGCGGATGTATCCATGGAAAACACTTTACTTTGGAGTGACCTTCCATCCACTATTTTCCAACTGTCTTCCATTCTCTTTAAGGAAATATTCAGGGAATACAGATCTAAGAAGCTAATGTGGCTTTATTCAGATCTGATATTTAGTAGCTGGGGGGTTCAGTTAGGTCACACTTTCCTTAAACCAAAGTTTCCCTAGTGGGCCTATGCAGTGTCATTTATGAGTAATCCTCTCAGCAAGCTGGGAAGCCATATTGATTCTGGAGTGGCTGAAGGCCCCTTGGGTGGTTGCTTCAGGGCAGCCTACTGTGTTCCTTCATTCCAGTGTGCTATGTAAACATTAAGCATTATTAATTTCTATGTGTTCCATATGTATGAGTTAAGAGGCACCACCCTAGAGGCATTCTGTGACCAGGCTCCCAAAGCACAGGGGATGGGGAGATACCTATAAAGCTCCATAACTATGAAGAGATCCTGGTATGTCCCAGAAATGTGCTTGTATTTTGAAGACTCCTAAGTGACTCTAATAGCCCAGCAAATTTCTGGGCACTATTGTAGAAAGCTTCTATCCAGTAAACTTGTCTTCTAATTTCTGGACTTTGGTTCATGACAAACTATAATGGGGAATGTAATGGGTCCCATGCCGCTCCAATTCTGAACTCAGCCCACATAATGGGTTTTCTTACTAAGCACCTACAAAGGCTTTCAATTTCACCTCCCTGCATGCTTTTACTCCATGAGCCACACTTGGGATAACCTGAATTCTTTGAGAAGGCCAAACTTGGAAAGAACACAAACAGATATCCGAACACATGTTTTGATTTGCATGTGGCCCTGGAGCCTCATGAAAGACAGCTTAAATCCAGACCCATAGCTGTACACTAAACTGGAGCTTTGTGAAGACAGCTGAACTGATGGAGAATAAATTAAGTTTCCTGAGAGAAAAATCACACTAAGAGAAGTAGCCTGGCAGAAGGAAACTGACTGTTGGAGACAGCTGTGGTTTCACTTACACTAGCAGATTCTGTTCGAGCATGCTCACATCTAGAGCATCCCTTACCAGCATTAACTTGAGTCACCTGTGTATTCTGGGAAGAAGACTCATTTGAAGAGGAAAACAGTGTCACTAGGGCACATCAGCTCTATTTTAGAAGCCCCCACTGGAAGAACTGGCCTTGTCAAATGGAAAGAGTTGACCCGGTGAAGGAATCCCAGAGGTAGATGCAGGGGAGAAGTAAGAAGAGGATGAACACTTGCCTGAGAGAGATGGGGTGCCGTTGTCTAGAGGAGGTCAGGAAGGGCCCAGGCCAAGACATAGGCAGCAATTTGTGAGTGGCAGCATGATAATGGAAGAGTTGGCTCTCCATTCCAAAAAGGGTATGGTGACTGTAGAGGATGGTGGAATGAAAAGTTGTAAAGATACAGAAAACTTTGGTTATATTTATTAATTAATTTTAATACAAGCTATGTATTGAGTGATTAAAAGGTACAAAGTACTGTTCTAGATCATGGATTTTTGTCAGCAATCAAAACTCAAAAAAGAGAATATCTGTTCTTATGGAATTTACATTTTAGTAGTAGATTTTTTATATGGACAATTGTGGGAAAGTGGGCGAAGGACATGAACAGACACTTCTCAAAAGAAGACATTTATGCAGCCAAAAAACACATGAAAAAATGCTCACCATCACTGGCCATCAGAGAAATGCAAATCAAAACCACAATGAAATATCATCTCACACCAGTTAGAATGGCAATCATTAAAAAGTCAGGAAACAACAGATGCTGGAGAGGATGTGGAGAAATAGGAACACTTTTACACTGTTGGTGGGACTGTAAACTAGTTCAACCCTTGTGGAAGTCAGTGTGGCAATTCCTCAGGGATCTAGAACTAGAAATACCATTTGACCCAGCCATCCCATTACTGGGTATATACCCAAAGGACTATAAATCATGCTGCTATAAAGACACATGCACACGTATGTTTATTGCAGCACTATTCACAATAGCAAAGACTTGGAACCAACCCAAATGTCCAACAATGATAGACTGGATTAAGAAAATGTGGCACATATACACCCTGGAATACTATGCAGCCATAAAAAATGATGAGTTCATGTCCTTTGTAGGGACATGGATGAAACTGGAAATCATCATTCTCAGTAAACTATCACAAGAACAAAAAACCAAACACTGAATGTTCTCACTCATAGGTGGGAATTGAACAATGAGAACACATGGACACAGGAAGGAGAACATCACACTCTGGGGACTGTTGTGGGGTGGGAGGAGCGGGGAGGGATAGCTTTAGGAGATATACCTAATTCTAAATGACGAGTTAATGGGTGCAGCACACCAGCATGTCACATGTATACATATGTAACTAACCTGCACATTGTGCACATGTACCCTAAAACTTAAAGTATAATAATAATAAAATAAATAAATAAATAAATAAATAAATAAATAAATAAATAAGAAAATCGTGTCTCCTCTGCAATACTCAGCCAGAATAATTGAATGTAAGAATCTACGGCAGGTAGTTGTAGAAGGGTAAGTAATAAAGCTGTATTTCTGGTTAATCAAATTAGTTGGAGCTCAAAGCTTTGAGACTCGAGGTATTATTACTTACCAATGAAGAAATTTTAATATTATCCCCAACAAAATACATTTTAAAAGGCAAAATTTTTTAAATCATATAATATATTCTAGTGTATGACCCAAACATTTGGGGACTATCTCTTCTGGATTACTTCAATCACTCATTACTGTATAAATACATAGAAACAACAACTAACTTGCAATCTATTCTGTCCATGAACTTTGAATGAATCATTATTTAGCTCTTTGATAAGTATTGGGAAAAAAAAGATTAACAGAACACAGCCCCTACCTTCAATAGGCTCATGATGCACAAGCATAAATCCATAACAAATCCAAGGAATATCTACAGAAATCCATTTGTTCTGATTAAGGTATGTGCAAATTTCACTCTATTGTGGGAGTTCAGGTAAATAACTGAATAAAGGAGGTGCCATTTGTGCTGGTTCTTGAAGCACAACCCGAACTGAAGTCTGTCAGTCAACCAAGGAGATGAGGGGTATCCCTGCCTAGAGAAACAGAATTTGCACAGAAGTAGTCACATGGAAAAATGTGGAATATGCAGAGAACCACAAAATAGTTTAATAAGACTAGAAAAACTAGATACATAATATCTTTTCCTTAGATTTTTTGAGGCTTGCTTCAGTGCAATATAGGTTCTGACCCTGAGATGTGTCAATGGTGGGCAGTTTGAGGTTGCATAATGTTATGATGCTTACTTTGAAAAGGCTTTGAACTTTTTGTTTTGAACTTCTGAACTTTTTGTTCATTTGCCTAGTCACCCAGCAACTATGTCTGAGCATACTTAAAGGCTAACCAAGCCTTTTTGTGATTAGTTAGAATGACTACAGGGGCTACTAAATAAGGCAGTGGTATTTTAATAGCAGCAGGTGTAAATACATGCAAGAAATCACAATGATTACAATTGGGAAATCATCTTCTGCTACCCCCATTTCACCATTTCAGGACAGAGATAAGTAAAGATGGATTAAACAGAACTTTAAACGTGGAACAACAGGATAGGAGTGATTGGAGATTTCCTAGAACCTCAGTCCACATTATAGCTCAAACATAGCAATTAGACTGGTTGGAAAAGAGCTTCAGCAACTGTGGAGTGTTATGAAGACAGGGAGAAAGAGTTTTATTTGCTATTTATAAAACACTTCTCTCTAGACTTGTACTGTTCAGTACAGCAGCCACTAATAAAATGCGGCTGTTTAAATTTAAATTTGTATTAAATATTCAGTAGAATTTAAAATTCAGTCCTCAATTGCATTGTTTCAAGTTCTCAATAGCCCTGTGTAGCCAGTTACTCCCTTGTTGGACAGCACCAAAGTGGAACATTTTTTTTTTTTATCACAGAGAAGTTCTATCGGGTAGCTCTGCTCTAGATTATATCTTAAGTGAGGCATTCATTTATGTATTAGATTAAAAGGGAAAAATTATGTACTTCTATTGTGTATAAACCAAATACATTTCTATTGTGTACATATACTTCTATTGTGTATCTACCAAATATGTTTCATGCCCTGTGCTTGATTCTAAAAGCACATGTCAGGGAATGGCAGAAGCAAGGGCATGTGGAGGATCCCATGTCGATGAACTTCGATGAATGGTTGGTTTTTTCTTTAGTTTTGGGTTTTGTTTATTTGTTTGTTTGCTTTTTAACCTCCTTGGGGCCCAAGAGCATATTACATAGTAGAAGTTCAATGAATGTTTGTTGACAAAGGTATCAGTTGGTCGAAATTAGTGATTTTCAATCAAATCCTTTCTTGACCATTTTAATATCCAATCTGCTGCAAAATCCATTAGTACAATCAATCGAATCATGCTGTAAAGACATCCAAATCCCACTGGATCACTTATTTTTCAATGCAGAGCTTTTCACAGGGCAAATCCCACAGTAGGAAAAAGATATTAAGATATATTGGAATTCATTTTCCTCTTATTCATCCTAGAGGATGCAATTACTCTTTACAAAGACCTTGAAAATCACTGCATTCCCAGCCTTATCCCCCATGAAAATGGTTTACTCACTCATGACAAATATGCCTTTCTCTCCCCTACCTCTAAACATTCCCACACACATTTCCCTTCCCCTAGTATGCCTTATCCCCCCTTCCCCAACTTCACCTATAAAATATACTATTCTTTAAGGACCTGGTCATCTCTTTATTTTTATTGAGTTCTCTCCTCCCTCACTTACCCTAAAGGAGTCTCTTCCCCTCTAATTAAATCTCTGCTCAACAGAGTTCCTCAGCATTTAGCATAGGGTCTTACTCATAATTGGTCCTCAGTAGATATTTGATAAATGAAAGTATGAATTCTATAGAACTGAAAAATAAGTTTATGATTACAAATGTTGGTACTTTTAAGTTTTCGAAGTACTTTTAACATATATTATTTATCTTCGCAAAATTTCTCTGAATTACATGTTACTATACCCATTTAACAGATGGGACTATTGAGGCTCAGACAAAGGTGTGTCAGTCTCTGTCTCAACGTAGATGGCACACTCAGTGGGCTATGTGAAGACAGTTGAATGAAGGTACTCTGCTCCTGAAAGTTTCTATCTAAGAAGTATTAACACCCTCATGCCTGAAAGGACAAGGGGAGGAAGCTATTATAAGAACTTGGTAAAAGTTATGCTTATAAGAGAGCCACACTCTCCCACCCAGCTCCCAAGAGAAGAGAGCTCTTTAAGGCCTGGCCCAGTAGTTTGTAAGAAGTTAGGGGAAGGTGAAGGAATACCTTGAATTCTTTACCTTTCTCTGATGCTTCCTATTCCCCAAACCCAACAGAAAACAGATAGCAGGACAGCCTGAGAGATGCAGTACTTGGAGATCAGCCTCACAGAACCCATGAGGAGGCACAGGGATGGGAGTATTCTGATGGAGAATGGATGTAGAAAGAAAACCATATTGTATCCGGTATTTAGTCATGCGCTATTGGGTTACAGACCATGATACACAACCCAAAACTTCTGTTCATTTTACTACGCTTCAGCTTCGGCACATAAAAAATAACTCTTTCCCAAAAAAGTACTTGTGTTTGTGTGTCATGTGTGTGCATGTTATATTGTCTCAGTTAAATTAAAACTTCCATAAAATATAAATATCATCTGTGTGACCCTGAACAAGTGACTTAAATACATAGACATTAGTTTCCTTATCTGCAAACTAGTAACAATAGTACCTCTCATGGTGTGGTAGGAATTAAATAAGAAGATATTTATTAAATGCTAGCATGGTGTTTGGCACAGGGGAGGTGCTTCATATATTTCAGTCCTTTATTATTTGTATAACCATCCACAGGGCCTAATTAACACTAGAACCTCAGTAAATGTATATTGATCAAGTAAAAATTAATTAATCGAAAGAAACAAATCAGAAATAAATATGATCAGAGTGTCTTGGGAATATTGAGAAAGAAGTTTCTCACTATGGCCAAATTATAAGGTTAAGTTCTTGCAGGTTGTTTCTATAGAAAGGATGCCATAAAAGAAGTAGAAGATAAAATATGATCCCCTTCCTTTAGGAGATCCCTGTCTATCAGGAAAGAAGGATATTTAAGCAGCCTATTACAACATAGTTTGAGAAGTGGTTGAATATAAGCAGGTGAAACCTGGAAAAGGGAGCCAGTGCTTGGGGAATCAAACAAATCTTCAAAGAGAAAGTGATATTTGAGTTGAGCTTTAGAGAATAAGAGTGTGTTTGAAGAATGAATGAGAGAGGGTAAAAGAAAATTCCAGAAAGAGGAAAAAGATGAACTGTGAAATTAAAAGAGAAAATGTGTGCTAGATCATGTCAAATTTTCCATTAACTTCACTTACAAACATAAGTGAGAGAATGGTCCGGAAATATAGCTCTAAGCACTCCGTCACGAATGCAGAGTTTCTTTGAAGATAATTCTATCTTAAAATATCACGCCAGTGTTGCATTCTGTGCCACAATATATTAGTGTTTTAATAGAAGAAATTGTTTGCTCCCATATTTTCTTTAAAAAAGATAGGACAGATGTCTAAGGCTTATATAAGCTCTTTACAAATGTGAGTTACATTATTATTTACAGACTTTAAACTAGAGTTGGAAAAGTATGGTAAGTCACTCTGGCCTTTTCAACCCCATGGGAAAATTGGTTTTCATACTCTATTCTTCCTTCCAATATAGGTCCAAGTTCAGCGATCCAATGGCTCATTGCCATTTAAAGGAAGGATGAGAAAGTGCCTCTCGGTTTGGCAATAGAGTTTGGGAATTGGCCAGCCCAACTCACTTCAGTGATTTTAATGCAAAGCACTCAGCAAATTAAACTTGTTGATGATAAAATGCTTTCCATTTGCCCCCAGTTTTGGCACTTTTATGGAAAGTTTTACTTCCAATGAGAGAAAAGTTCAAACTAAGAATATGTATAGTTCCCAAACTCACAAGGACAGCCTTGAGGCAAAGGGCAAGATAGAGTGGTGCAACAAGTGGTCTGTCTCTTCCATCTCCAGTCCAAGAGAAAACTTTCAATGGGTAGAACATAAGCATGAGATTTCCAGTCTAAAGATAGGATGTAACTTAAAATGAAAGACTTCTCATCTTTCATTTGTTTATTCACCGAATAGTTATTAAGTGATATTTTCAGTACCAAGCATTATGCAGAAGCCGATAATGCAAAGATGAGTATGAAATATGATTAGCTTTTCAAGGAGCTCATCCTGTAATAGATGAGACACAAAAATCATGTAATTATGAAACAATGTGATAATATGCATTCAGCATTCTGGGGCACCAAAAACAAGCAACTAAGCTAGCATTCAGTAGTGAAAGAGTGAGCTAGTACTAAATCTCTGGACATATTCAACCAGAAGCTGGAAAATTCCATATCAAGGTCACTGTAGACGAATTCTACTTTGGGAAAAATATGAACTGAATTAGAAGTTCTTTTTGACTGCAATACTGTTGACATTTTGGGACAGATAATTCTTTATAGCAGGAGGATGTTCTGTGTATGGGGGGATACTTAGCAGCAGCCCTGGCCACTACTCACTACATGCCAGGAGCATCCTCTGCGCTATAGACTGAAAGCCTGTGTTCCCCCTAAATTCATATGTTGAACCCTAATCCCTAATGTGATGGTGTTTGGAGATGAGGCTTTTGGGAGATGATTAGGTCATGAGGGTGGAACTCTCATAATGAGATTAGTGCCTTGCTTCCTCTCTCTCTGCTCTCTGCCTTGTGAAGACACAGCAAGAAGATGGCAATCGGCAAACCAGGAAGAAGGCCTCCCGAGAACCCAACAATGCTGGAAGCCTGATCTTGGATTTTCCAGCCTCCAGAACTATGAGAAATACATTTTTATTGTTTAAACCATCCAGTCTATGGTAATTTGTTGTACCAGTCCACACTAAGACAAGCTAATTATCAATCAAAAATGTCGCCAGAGATTGCCAAGTGGCTTCTGGAAGAGAACAATCACCTTCAGCTGAAAACCACTAGACTAGATGGTCTCCAATATTTCTTTCATTTTTGGGAATTGAACACAGCGGCCGGCTGGCATTGTTGTAATACTCAAGGAAAACTTACTTCTACTCTCTGATATTGGAGCTACTTAGATTTGACCACAGCTCTGACATGCTCGTAAGGACACAAACCTAAACTAGGAGAAAAACTCAAATCATTAGTCTCAAAGCCACAAATACCGTCTATCTACAATGTCATCAGGCAGTCTCTGCTTGGTCGATGTAAATTGAATAATAATGTCCTGTGCTCAAGCAGTTATACTTCCTGGAAGCCACAGTTACTGACTGAGAGGAACGGCATTGTTACTTGGGCAGAATCAGAACTCAGAATAAAAACGTGCATTTAAAACTGTGCTCTGTGTAACCCCTCCTCCCATCAGAGTTCTGTCCTTTATCTGTTTTATTCATCCATCCTTCTGTGCGTATGTTAAGACAGAAAACATTTGGAAGAACTACTGGACTTCAATTGAGGCCCTGGCTTTTGGTCCTAGTCAGATTATTAAACTCACTGTGTTAATTTGGACAAATTACTTCATATATTGGCTTTGTCATTGAACAAATTATTTCAAGTGCCTGCTATACATGAGAAGCTCTAATGGATGGCTGGAGATACACAGGGGATGACACTGCTCTCCCATTCACAATAGAAAAGAAGGAGAAAAAGAAAGCAGCCCGTATTACATGGGATGGTGTTGGTATGTCATTCCCGCACCACTCTCAGGGGAATTGCAATCAGTTGTTTGCTCCCACATTGCCAGGTTTTTCCATCATGACACTTTCTCCATCAAGGTGACAAACATCCCTGTCTCTGTCCCATCAATTCATGTTGACTGGTGCTAACCATGCCTAGTAATGTCAATGGGCAGGTTATTCATCTGATGTGGTGTCCACACTCAAGGTTGTTCTGTGTTTGTTCTGTGTTGTAGCTTGTTCTGTGTTTCTACCATTTGCTCCCTGGCCCCTGATGAAAGTTGCTTTTTCTGCTTCCCAGTTAAAGGAATCCTATCCAGTCCCTCCTACCTTCTCTTATCAAAATCACTTTTCCATCTTCTCTTTTTCCTTCCCCCAATCTCAGAATTATCTAATCTCAAGGACTCTGAGATTATATTGTGACAAGTATGCATCTGAGAATTTTAGAATCTTCCTCTCTGTTTTGAGAGGCCCCAACTAAACTGAGGTTTTAGTACCAGAGCGGCTAGCAACCCTACCTTAATGGGAAATAAAGGGTGGCTGCACATGGGTATTCACAGCATTCCTTTCACAGGATACTTCCTTTGCCTGGTGGGTGGCCTAATACCTAGTTGTCCAACCTGTGATCCAGGGGTCTCTCATGCAGGAAACTTGTTTATGTTGGCAGATGCCCTTGTGCTCTTGTCTGACCTGTGGCCAGTTTATGCCTGCCTAAGCATCGCTGTGGTGCTGGGGGCCTGATCTTGTGTTCTCCCCAATATCTTGGGGAAAATCTAGCCTAGGACAATTCCTAGTTCTTCAGGTGGAAGACACAAATTCAATGTACCACCACCACCAATAGGAAACAACCTCAAAGATTTTTACTTACAGATTCTGGGCAGGGAGTGCTCAATGAGTTCGCAGGGCAGTCTTCTGGCCCCAGGTCATGGGTCATGGGAGGTAGAAATGAAAATTCAGGAAGAGAAAGAGACAACACATGACAACTAGCAGTATATATAAGGAAATAGGGTGTGGGTCACTTTAAGTATGCAGGCAAATGCCTAAAAGTCTATTTACAGGAGGTGCAGAAAGCGAGGGGTCTAGCCTGCTAGGAAGGAGGGATGCCTCTAAGTTTTATCTCTGGCCACTAGCTTGAGCCATTTGTGTGTCATGTGGAACTTGAAACTGTGTCAAGGGCAATTGATTGCTGCTCTTGGTATGAGAAACTTAAACTTGTATTCAAAATGGATGCTGAGGCAACTTAAAATTATAAGAATTCACTACACTGTCTCACAGAGGTAAACAGTTTCTTTGAGGCTTAATTTTTGCTTCATTTTAGACTGGAAGCAAGGAAAATTATTCCGTGAGAGAGCGAAGGATGAGGAAAATGTTCAGAAAACAGTGAAATAACTAGTCAGGTAGAACCATAACTTGACTCATGAGCTCAATGGTGCCAGTAGCCAGTATGGTGAGCTCAGAGACAGAAGTACCATATTGATACTTCCCAATAAATGGCAGTTGGCAACTTGACCATCAATTTGTAACTGTATGTACTTTTTCTCTAGTGGCCAAGCACTGGTTCTGATTGAAGAGAATGGATCATTGAAGTTATTGGCCAAGACTTCAAATAGCTCTTCATTTTCCCTTTTAGGGCCTCAAATACCCCCAAAATGAAAATAAAATGTTGATTAGGAGCTCTCTTAGATCTGTGAGAGCATTAATATTGTATTATTAGTAGGACTTGAATTCCTTTTCCTACCAGCATCCCTGGTGCACCTCTCTCTCTTACCTAAGAATTACTGGTTGGGGCCAGGCGTGGTGACTCACAGCTGTAATCCCAGCATTTTGGGAGGCCGAGGTCGGGGGATCTCTTGAGCTCAGGAGTTTGAGAACAGCCTGGGGAGCAAAGTGAGACCCTGTCTCTACTAAAAATACAAAAATTAGCCAGGTGTGGTGGCACATGCCTGTAGTCCCAGCTACGGGGGAGGTTGAAGTGGGAAGATGTCTTGAGCCTGGGAGGTAGAGGTTGCAGTGAGCCAAGATCTCACCACTGCACTCCAGCATGGGCTATAGAGCCAGACCCTGTATTAAAAAAGAGAGAGAGAGAGAAATGGTGCTTGATCCAGATGTGAAGGCTGCAACACTAGGTAAAAAGAAAAAGACAGACTCCATTTCTTAATCCACTGGGGAGGTCCTCCTGAGCCTTCATCCACTGGGTAAAGAATTTACCTGCTTTCAGAGTTTTCCTCTGAGAGGCTGATCCATCATGATATGAGCATTGCTGTCCTTTGTGATTCTATAGCATGGACTTGAAGTCAAACCTGAGTGGATATCTTGGTGCCTCCATTTACTTAGTACCTACTGTGATGCTGGACATAGCAACTGAGACTCAGTTTGCTCATCTGTGAAATTAGAAAAATAAATATATGTTGCATGGTATTTTCAGGGCAGTGCCAGGTACTTTTATCCCTACCTCCCAGCATCCAGCCCATAGTAGGCATGCATTAAATGTTAGCCACATTTACCTCCCCACTTCTCGGATTCCCTTTTTAAAGGAGACTTTAATAGCCTCTTGTGTCAGACCACAGAGATATCTTCTTCCTACCATAATTAAGCAACTTGAGAAATCCTGTGAGGTCGATAAATTTGGAAAACGCTTACATAAAACAGAATATAAAATGGCAAGCCCTGCCATAAGAAGCCAGTAAAAGTCAATTGCTTTATGTGACACCTCTACAAATGGCATTATGTCATTGCATAATATTAGTAAGAAATTGTAAGATTTTGTTCAGGCCTATAAAATGTAATGAGTCTCACATCATCTACCAATATAAAAATAAATTGAAAGAAAGTAATATTTTAAAAATAAAAAAATAAACCAAGCTTCCAACTTCTTGGCTTTGTCTATATTTGAGGAAATTTAGTCCATAAAGAAATAAATTTAAATGTTCTTTATTGTGGTTGATTGGCTTTCTCTTTCTTTCTTTCCTTTTTTTTTTTGTTGTTTCTCTTGATTATTTTAAATTTTTCTTTTTGTCTTTTCCATTTAACTGTGAACACCCAAAAACTCTGTTTCAAAAATCAGGCAGTCTTGGCTGAAAAATTCTCCCAATACATAAAAAAGGAACTTTAAATGTTCAAAAAAATGGAAAGTCTTCATGGTGCCAATAAGGAGATGGATTTATTCATCTGGGCTAAAGTACAGGACATTAACTTTCACAGATGCAGTGGTTCATCCAGAAGTTTATGCTAAACCAACTTGAAAAGTCTTTGTACTTCCAAGGAAATGAAGGCTGTATGAGTCTGGGCTAGCAGTGTTTATTTTTTCTTTTTTTTGGTAACAAATAGTGATATGAGAATCCAAAGGCTTCCAGCTAGCATTTCTCTAAGGCAAGGTTGAATGCCCGTTGGTTCTGGAACAGAAGGAATTGATCATTCTGATGAGATTATGCCACACTACCGAAACCCTGGCTTGCAGCTATATTAAATATGATTTGGAAAAATGTAGGCAATAATCTCACAGTTCTTCAACAGTGAAGTCCCATGGATGTGAGCAAACATATCCACTAGGAATAATATATAACCAGATCTAAGTCATTGGGCTCTCTAAATAAACGGTCTGCATATTCGGGGAAGAGAAAAACCAATGTGGTATGTTTGGCTCAAAGAATGAGCTGGGGTTTTCTTCTTTGTCAACATTACCATTCAGTGGTGCAGGTGGGCTAGAGACTCTTGTGGGTAGGGGTACTTTGCTGGTTCAAAATGGAAATAGCATAGAGTAGTTTAAGCCAAGAAGGAAGGCTTGGATCCATGTAACCAATTCAAGTCACTCATAGACTGAGAGAAATTCAAATTTGAATTGAAACCTACAGGTCATCTCTTCAACCTTTAACCCAGTGCTGGAATCCTTTCTCAGATGGCTGAAAGATGGCCATCTAGCCTTGAGATGGACCTTTTCCAGGGGCAGGGAGCTCATTATCTGTGAGTAGCTCTGAGTATAATACTTTGTGTTTATTGTTATTGCCATTGCCACATGGATCACTACTATTTTAAACAGAACTGCAACAATAGCAATAATCCCCAAGGAAACACAAATCTAAGATGGCTGTAGAAGCTCATTTCCTTATTCTCTAGCTTTGCAAGAGCCATCTCAACATTCCTGAGCTCTACCAAAACAGTCTGATACCAGAGGTTAAACTTGGAGAGTCCTCACTTTATAAGCAGGAAGTCATTGAGAGGACCCCTCTTCCTACTCTCTTTGTACAGAAACAGTTTTATGGGGTCAGGGTTCTTATCTATTGGAATACGTTTTGTGGTGTCCCCAATAGAGCTGTCTGCCTGAGTCAACTCTCTATGGAATAAGAACCCAAGGTCTGTGTGTGCTTCCTTTCCACTTGTAAGTTTTATTCTGTATAAATCCTATTTTAGTTTTATACAAAGGGAGTATGTATGTAGGACCCCTTTGCATGACACAATCAGTAACATTAATTGAGCACTTATAAAGTGTAGGCTTCAAGCTAAGCACTTGAGTTTTATTATCATATTTAATCCTCCCAAGGACCTCTGAGGGTAGATACCATACTGATCACCCATTTTGAAGAAGAGAGACCTAAGTCTCTAAGAAGATGACTTGCCCTGGTAAAAACTGGGCTTTTAGCCAAGGTCATGTTTTTAAACTCTGCTACATAGGTGGCCACTTCTGGTATAATGAATAAAGAATAACCTTTGAAGTCAGCCAAGCCTGGGTTCACCTCTTGCTTTTTCCCTTAGTGTCAGTGGCATTAGGTACTTTCTTAGCCCTTTGTAGTCTCAATATCCTTGTCAATAAAATGGTAACAGTATTTCTTCATAATTTTTTCATGAGGATTAAATGGGACCATGTATGTACCATGGATAGTAAATGGGATTTTTCTTGTTGTCCGCAGACTGGAGAGTAGGCCATCAAACAGAAGTAAATATGCATTACATTTCCAACATTATAGAGCAAGAGAAACCAAAGGGCTACCCACAAGCGAGTGTCTCTTAGGCTGAGGAAGAAGTAGGCAAACAATTCTACTACCACTGATGGTCAACTAGCTACCACCACCCACACCCCCAGAATATAAGAAGGAAAATGATAAAGTGGAAAAGCAAATATGATGAGTCATGATGAGTTGACCTAGTGTGGGGAGGGCTGCTCATTTTTCCTCCTCATCCCAGAGGAAATGAGAGGCCCCAGGAGAATCAATGCTAAAGAATGGGAGCACCTTCAAGAAGGAGAGACTTGCATCTCATTCCCTAGTGAGACAACTGTTAATGCAGAAGATTCTTTATTTGCCCACTGTCTCTTTGAACAAGATAAAAGAGAGTTATAAGGAGAAGGTGGAGTAAAAAGTGGAAATTTCCAACAGGTTTATGTCCACCACTTGATGTGGTAAGAATAAGTTAGTTTCCTGTGAATAAAGAGCCCCCAGGAAAGGTGACTTGGGTTGAATTACCTTGCCAGTGTCACCC
The DNA here is from genome assembly GCF_000001405.40 of Homo sapiens. Classification (NCBI taxonomy): domain Eukaryota; kingdom Metazoa; phylum Chordata; class Mammalia; order Primates; family Hominidae; genus Homo; species Homo sapiens. The sequence continues at coordinate 60,255,423 of NC_000001.11, read as the reverse complement.
AAGAGAACAACTCCACACAGGCATGGGGACCAGGACTGCAAGAGGCTGAAGCATATTGCTTATGGTATTGCTGTATGTATATTTTGTGGGGGAAAAATTGAGTAGGAATGGAATATTCCAATTATGAAACTGTGCAAGAACTCATACATGACCCCTACAAAAGCACCTTTGTGTGGAAACCTGCCACACAGAATAATTTGTGTTAGCCTGAGGAGGAGTAGAAACATCCAGGAGAAGATACAACTGCAGACCCAGTTAAATGTAAATGTTTTTCCTCATTTCCCATAAGCCTTTCCGCCTGAGGAGGTAGAACAAGAAGGAGAGGAAGAAGGACAACACCCCACATACACACACCTGCAATTCCCTGGAGCCATGGGTCAAATTTGAACTGGGAGAAGGAAGAGGGTGACTAATCAGTTTGGGGGTTAACTCTGTACCAGACTGAATTTTTAATAATTTAAAATAGTTATAAAGTCATAGCACTCACTTCAGAAGTTAATACAATATGATAATAAAAAGACTTACTATGACATATCTGGTGGTAGCGGTTAGAAAAAAAAAATTTCGTGTGTATACCCCAACCAACTTTATTACTGGTTTTATCCAGTAATGTATGTCAAACACTGGGCAAATAATATCTCTTCAATAAATGTTAGTTTTATCTTCCTTTATGTTATAGCATGTATTGGTTTTCTTCTCTGATTATAACATGAATTATAACTGTTTAGATAAACCAGCTGGAAAAGGCAAAAAAATATGAAGAGCATATTGAATATAAAACATAGCCCTCTTCCTACCTTTAAAAGCAGCATTGAGCAGCTCACTTAGCAAGATTTTCCTTAACATGAACCCATATCTGTTCCCTGAAATTCCCATGCACTGGTCCTAGAACTGCCTTCTGGAGACACAGAGATTCAGTTTCCTTCTTCCTCCATGTGACACTCTTCTAAAAATGTAAAAAGAGATAGTTACTTTTTTTTAACCCCTCCCTTTTATTAACAGGGGAAACATTTCAATTTCTCTCACCATTCTTTATGGATTCTGGTTTCCAGTCCTTTCCTATTCTGGTCAATCAATGTCTGAGGTTTTCTTGCTGGGCCAATGTCACTCTTTAAATATGACACAGAACCTAGCCAAGCCCCAAAGTTGACATGGGCTGATTGTTACCGCCTTCATTTGAACACTATTCTTAAATTTGACATTAAGTACAGCCAAAGAATGTAAAGAGACCAATTTGTCAGCTTGAAAATATTGCTTTAGATTATGCTGACCTATTTTCTTCTTAGGAACTTCTCAAAAAAAAATTCCTGGCTGCTTGGTTTTGAGATTTTACCAATTCAACAGAAGACATTTTTTCAGTCTCTTGAAAGAAATAGAGATTCCTGATGTCTAGGCGTAAGAAAGAATTGTTTCAGAAATAGGTGCTAGGAGAGTTAGAAGCTCTTTTTTCTCCATTCATTCATTCATTTGTTGTAAATAAGAAGGATATATTCCACAGCTTACAGTTGATAAGAAGTATAGTTAAGGCTTTTTTCAAAGCCCTGACCATGCCTATCACAGGCACAAATCATCATTACCATCCTCATCATCCTCTCCACAGTAATCCCCACTGTCACTATCATCATCATTATTCACATTGTGAAGGGCTTGGCATGTACCAAGCCTCTTTCCACAGGGGCATTTATCACAGTTTTCTTCTCTGCCTTTTGCTTATATTAAAAATTACATAATTCCTACTAATAGTGCACATTATTCAGAAGAATTTACTAAGTTTCCCACGGGGACGATCTCATTTAACTCTCACAGTTGCCCAATAAGGTAGAGACTATTGTTCTCTTACTTTACAGTTGGGAAACTTGAGGCCTAATAAGAGCTAATAAGTGGTAGAGCCAGTTTTATTCCCAATAATAAATGACATCAGAGTGTGTGCTTTTTTCCACGCTTTATTAATTTCAAGTGAAATAAAATATACATGTGCTGTCAAGTATAGGTGGTACAAAAATATGTCAAATGCTTAAGGATGCTTCTAAGGTAAGCTGACCTACAAATTGATTTGTTAAAATAATTGAAGGCGAAGTTGGAAGTTGAAGGAGAATGGTCCCTGCCTCAATAGTCAGCTATGGTTTGTCTTCTCCAGTGGTTTCCACAGGAAGTTGCAGTTTCTGTAGCATAAGGGGAAATAATAAAACTGAGTAAAGACTTATGTTTTATGTGACTTGTCCACTCCTGTATTTATTCAACAATCTTATTTAGAGTGGACTACAACTATGCACATGTATTAACTATCTCACCTTGGAGAGGCCATTTAGACTCTTTAAGTTTGGTTTTCCTCATCTGCAAGCTCAGTTTAATTAATAATCCCTGCCAGGATTAACCTCAGTGGTTTTTTGTGACCATCAGATCAATTCATAGATGGGAAAACTTTGTTATTACTAAAGAGTTACATAATCTGATTATTTTTGTTGTTACAGTCGTAATTGTTACCAATATTATTACTTTAGGAGTCCTAAAGAGAAAGTAGAGGGCAATAAGCTCTGTACCATCAAGCCGTAAGACTTTACATTTTTGTATTTTGTGCTTCTGTTTCCTCAAAATAACAATAAAATAGCAATTTACAAGCCCAACATACCTCATAAAACAACTATGGCTATTTATGAAAAATTTTTAAACTGCTTTAGAATTTAAACAGATTAACAATATCTCAGTAATGCATCAATATGTACTGGCTGTTTACTGCAACAAGCTGGTTTATTCAATACCATACTCAGCCCTGTTCATACTCTTTGTATCTAGAAAGGCCTAACTTCCCTTAAAAAATCTTTTGGCTTGGACACTCTGGGAAATGTGTCCCACTGGCAGAGAGAGACTTAAAATGATAAAAGCTGCCATTTATTGAGCACTAATTATATATACCTAATAATATTTCCAATACTAGCCTATGAACTTATTACTATCTTATTATTCTCACAAGAGGCTGCCATTTAAAATAAGAAATGGAAGGCAAGACAGTAACATTTATTTAATATCCACTGGGTTCCAGGAATGTAATACACATATATATATACATATTAGATATAATAGATATTATATATCTATTATGTCTATTATATATAAAATATTTTATTTAATACTCATAACATGTCTATGAAAGAAGATGCCTTCAACTTAAATATATGGAAATTTTCCATTAGAGAAATTAAGTGACTTGCCTATTTTGTCCTTCACTCAACTAGTAAGCAGCTCAGTTGAGAGTCAGTCCCAGAGCAGTCTAGGGCAGAGGCCATGCTCTTTCCACCACAGTGCCCAATTGGTAGTCATACTATGGACTGACTAGTTCAAATTCTGCACTTTACTCACGGTGCTCTTGAGGCCTCTCAAATCGTCCCAAGATGGAAAAGCAAGAGAGACAGTTGTGGAAAAAGTCTCCTACATAGGTGTTCTGAGCCTAATTGTGCTCCTTCCCAAATTTATATGTTGAAGTCCTAACCCACAATACTTCAGAGGGTGATTGTTTCTGGAGACAGGGTCTTAAAAGACATAATTAAGGTTAAATAAGGCCATATGGGTGGGACCTAATCCAATCTGACTTGTGTCTTTATAGGAAGAAAAATTTGAACACAAAGAGACACCAAAGATGCTAGTGCAGATAAGAGACCATGTGAGGACAGTGAGAAGACAGCTCCTTGCAACTTAGGAGGGAGGCCTCAGAAGAAACCAACCCTGGTGACATATTGATCTCAAACACCTCGCCCTAGAATTGTGAGGAAATACATTTTTGTTGTTGAAGTCACACAATCTGTGGTATCTTGTTACACCAGCTCTGGAAAACGAATACAGGTGAGGAAATGAGGACAAACATGAGAAGACAGTGAGAGAGAAGGCTAGTCAGCAAGAGAAGGCCATTCCTACACCCTCTGCCCTGCTAAATTCTCCTTAGAGATCATCACCCTGTCCTAGGTTCCATTCAGACCCTAAAGTGTGAGTTTCTTGCTATAATCAATTTTTTAACATATAAGAACTATATTAAAAAAAAAATCCCAAGCCACTGGAATCCCCCTGCCCTCTCCTACTCCGACTCCTAAGAAGGAAAGCCCCAGTCATAATGAGGAATGGGGTTGGAGTGGGGAAGTGGTGATATGAGGGGAGGGCACTCAAGGAAACTGAGGGAAACAAAATCAATATATCAATATGCATTTTAACAAACAAAAGATATGGAGATGCCAGGATGTCATCTTTCCAGAGAGGAGAGCTTCAGGCTTGAGAAGAGTGCAAGGAGGAGAGTAAATGATGAGCCACTGCCTTGGGCTCTGAGACTTGGGCTCCACTGATGTGTAAAGCAGATCTTTCAGAACTTTCATTGCATGTTGTTGACGGTATACACATAACTACTGAATTTTTTTTTTCTTTTTTTTTATTATACTTTAAGTTTTAGGGTACATGTGCACATTGTGCAGGTTAGTTACATATGTATACATGTGCCATGCTGGTGCATTGCACCCACTAACTCGTCATCTAGCATTAGGTATATCTCCCGATGTTATCCCTCCCCCCTCCCCCCACCCCACAACAGTCCCCAGAGTGTGATGTTCCCCTTCCTGTGTCCATGTGATCTCATTGTTCAATTCCCACCTATGAGTGAGAATATGCGGTGTTTGGTTTTTTGCTCTTGCGATAGTTTGTATCGCAAGAATAACTACTGAATTTTAAAGAAAACTTCAATAAATTTCTACAATACTTCTTGAATAAGATATTTGTTTCATTTAGATGCATTGCTTTGCTTTAAATGAACTAAAGGCAACCCAGCATATTTAAATTATACACAAATATAATGATGGAAAATAAGTTCTGTGTTTTTAATTGGGGATTAAGTCTTCCATCATGGTTGTCTTTTCTTTCTATCATTGTATTGAAACGCCTGGGTTGTGTGTAAACTCTGTGAGGTAAAGGGACAGCATTTACTTTGAATCATCTAAGTATCCAGGCACCTAAATCCTACCCAAATATACCTACTGGTTTCCCACTTGATTTATTCTACAGATAATTGTTGAGAACCTACAATGCTAGGCATTATTTTCTATATAACAGATATAAGATAAAAGTGTTTTCTGCCCTCATGCAGCTTACAATCTAGACTAGATGGAAGATGTGTGGGGGAACAGTTCCCCCAAATAAACATTCTTTGAAGAGAAAGAAGCTGGAATGTCTACAATATCATATACTTGGTATCTAATTTAATTTTCTCTTAAAATTGCTATGATATAGGTACTTAGTATGTCACTTATACAATAAAAATGTTGAAACCAAAACCATTGGGTAATTTGTTAAAGATCACACATCTAGTAGGAGGTAGGCTAGGTCTAGTGTTCATTGGCAGTGTTCTTAAAAATACACCAATCTCTCTTCTTTGAAGGCAAGGCCTTTGTCTTACACCTTTTGAAATTTCTATTATGCCATAAAAAATGACCCACTAAAAGATAGGTTTAATTATTTGGGGTTGAATAACATCTTCACTAATAAATTATTAAAATTTCCTAGGGATTAGTCCATCTTTCCAAGATTTCTATTCTCTACCTGCATTAACTTTCTAGGTTTCATCACTTTAAACACATGATACCTATTGAATTTTTGACTCTAGTCATAACTGAATTCTGGACTTATATACCTAACTTCCTAGTTGAAGCCTCCCTGGGATGGTTAATAGACATCTCCAACCTAACATGTTGAAAGAGAGTTCTTGATTTCCCACTTCAAGCCAGAATTACCCCCTTCCCACCCTGTTCCCCACCTTAATATACTCAGTTGTTGTATTAGTCAGGTTCTCTAGAGGGACAGAAATATATATATATATATAAAAACTATATGTATATATAACTATATATATAACTATATAACTATATATATATAACTAACTATATATGTATATATATAACTATATATATGTACATATATATATATGGGAGTTTATTAAGTATTGTCTCACATGATCACAAGGTTCCATAATAGGCCATCTGCAGGATGAGGAGCAAGGAGAGCCAGTCTACATTCCAAAACTGGAGAACTTAGAGTCCGATGTTTGAGGGCAGGAAGCATCCAGCACAGGAGAAAGATGTAGGCTGGGAAGTCAGGCCAGTTTCTCTTTTTACATTTTTTTGCCTGCTAATATTCTAGCCGTGCTGGCAGCTGATTAGATTGTGCCCACCCAGAGTGAGGGTGGGTCTGACCTTCCCAGTCCACTGACTCAAACGTTAATCTCCTTTGGCAACACCCTCACAGAAATACCCAGGATCAATACTTTGTATCCTTCAATCCAATCAACTTGACACCCAGTATTAATCATCACAAGTCCACCCCTTGTCAACTTGAACTCATACACATCTCCTCAGATCTTACATAATCTTCAAGTAAAGACAATAATCAGGTCATAATTATGCCTAACATAACACAACTCTCCTTCGTACAACCAGAAGCGCACCAATCCCCAACCCAAACGCTATTACATAAAGTTAACAATACTTAAATGCTGATGTGAAGTCAATAAATCTTATGTCACATGATAAAGGAAAAGGAAATAAAATGAAGATATTTTCTTAATATAAGTGTACGCATGCACAAACATGTTTTTAACAAAAGGAGGAAATACTCATAACAACTACAGTCCTTGTTTCTGCAGCTGGTTACGTGGCCATAGCTGGTATTGATGACCTTCTTCTATTACCCATTCTGTATTCCCTTTGCCTTCAGCAAACACCTCAGCAGGTCATGGGTTTTTTCCTGGTGGAGAGACCCAAACCTTCATTCCTGAAAGGTCTGGGTCATTTGTAGTCTTTCCTGGATTGGACTGTTGTAGTTTCCCATTGACCTTAATCACAGGGCATGGTAATACTAAGAGACACCATAATGGGTCTCCTGTATTCCATGCATACTCTTCCTTACCTCTGTTATGTAGTAGTAGACTGACTTCATCTTGATAGTTTGGGTCAATCACCCCAGCCAACAGTGTAACTCCCTTCTTAGCCTGTTGACTTAAAGACAGGAAGAGCCCAAATTGTCCAGGTGGCAATCTTAACTTCCAGGTTAATGGAATTGTTTTTGTGCCTCCTGGCGGCAGTGTTCCTCCCTCTGAAACTAAGACCTCTAGGCCAGCAGAATGTAATGTCCCAGGAACAGAAAGCAAACATTTTGCTAGTGGATCACTGGGGGTAACCCACTTCCACTTCCATCCCTTGATTCATGGACCTGTGAATCCTAGCTACGGGAGAAACAGTGCCATATATTGGACACTGATTCAGAGCATACATGGCCTTCTGGAGAACTTTGCCCCAGCCCTGCAAAGTATTGTCACCTAGTTGGCATTTTAATTGTGACTTCAAAAGGCCATTCCGCCGTTCTATTAATCCAGCTGCTTCAGGATGATGGAGAACATGGTAAGATCAGTAAACTCCATGAGCATGAGCCCACTGCCACACTTCTTTAGCTGTAAAGTGAGTGCCTTGGTCAGAGGCAATGCTGTGTGGAATACCATGACAGTGAATAGGCATTCCATGAGTCCATGGATGGTAGTCTTGGCAGAAGCATTGAGTGCAGGTTAGGCAAACCCATATCCTGAGTAAGTGTCTATTCCTGTGAGGACAAACCTCTTCCCTTTCCATGATGGAAGAGGTCCAATATAATCAACCTGCCACCAGGTAGCTGGCTGATCACCCCGAGGAATGGTGCCATATCAAGGGCTCAGTATTGATCCCTGCTGCTGGCAAATTGGGCACTCAGCAGTGGCCATAGCCAGGCCAACCTTGGTGAGTGGAAGTCCATGTTGCTGAGCCCATGCATAACCTCCATTCCTGCTAGCATGGTCACTTTGTTCATGGGCCCATTGGGTGATGACAGGAGTGGCTGGGGAAAGAGGCTGAGGTGTGTCCACAGAATGGGTCATGCTATCCACTTGATTATTAAAATCCTCCTCTGCTGGGTCACCCATTGGTGAGCACTCACATGGGGTACAAATATCTTCACAGTTTTTGGCCACTCAGAGAGGTTCATCCACATACCTCTTCCCCAAATTTCTTTGTCACCAATTTTCCAATCATGCTTCTTCCAAGACCCTGACCATCCAGCCTCACCATTGGCTACAGCCCACGAATCAGTATATAATTGCACATCTGGTCATTTCTCCTTCCATGCAAAGCGTACAATCAGGTGCACTGCTCTAAGTTCTACCCACTGGGAAGATTTCCCCTCACTGTTGTCTTTCAGGGATGTCCTAGAAAGAGGCTGTAGTGCTACAGCTGTCCACTTTCGGGTGGTGCCTGCATATTGTGCAGAACCACCTGTGAACCAGGCCCTAGTCTTCTCTTCCTCTGTCAACTGATAATAGGGAACTCCCCATGAGGCCATCTGTGTGGGCTCGGGAAGAGAAGGCAAGGTGGCAGAAGTGGAGACCGTGGGCATTTGAGCCACTTCCTCGTGTAAATTACTTGTGCCTTCAGGACCTGCTTGAGCCTGATAATGTATATACCACTTCCATTTGATGAAGGAATGCTGCTGTGCATGACCCACTTTATGGCTAGATGGGTCAGAAAGCACCCAGTTCATTATAGGCAGTTCAGGTCACAGGTGACTTGATGACCCAGTCAAATGTTTAGTTTCCACCAAAGCCCAGCAACAGGCCGAAAGCTGTCCCCCATACTGTTCTTCTGGTAGTGAATAAGTCTCATGAAATCTGATGATTTTATCAGGGCTTTCCACTTTTGCACCTCTCTCGTTTTCTCTTGCCGCCACTATGTAAGAAGTGCCTTTCACCTCCCGCCATGATTCTGGAGCCTTCCCAGCCATGTGGAACTATAAGTCCAATTAAACCTCTTTTTCTTCCCAGTCTCTAGTATGTCTTTATCAGCAGCAGGAAAACGAACTAATACAGCTGTTCAAGCCAAAACCTTGTCATCATCAACTTCTCTTTTTCTTTCACACTTTATACCCTGTGTATTAGCAAATCCTTCAGGCTCCCCACTCAAAATTTATCTTGAATGCTAACTCTTCTCACCATTAACCCCTACTTCCACCTTTTGGTATAAGCCAGTCTCTCTCCCTCTTTCTTCTGGATGGCAGCAGTTAGCTCTTTTAAAAAAGAATTTTAATTGTTATAAGTTTTATTTTTAATTGGCAAATGATAATTACATCCATTTAGGGGGTGCAATGTGATGTTATGAGGTGTGCTTACTTGCCTGCCTGCATCTTCTGTCACCTTCCCAAGGTTTATTCTCCACTCCCCACTAGAGTGCCCCTTTTAGCACAAAAGTCAAACCATGCCCCTCCGCTGCTCAGAATATTCCTATGGCTTTTCCTCTAAGAAGTAGGTATAGTAATTCTCTAACTAACCTCTGGCTTCCTGTTGAACCTCACCTCCTACCACTGTCTCCTTTGTCCCTTCTGCTCTTGCCACATTGAACTCCATGCTATTCTCAGAAAACACTAAAGTGCTCTCATCTCAGAGCCTTTATCCTTGCCCCTGTCTCATAACCAGTCCCTAAATTTTCACAATGGCTCCATTAAGGTTTCTGTAAAACATCATGTCCTCAGAGACTATATATACTTCCCTGTATGTATATGCATACACTATAGTAGGAGCATAATAAATGAATATATGAAATGCATTAGAATCAGAAAATGTATGTAATAACCAAAATTGGATAAAGCTGGGGCTCCTTCTGTTGCTTTAAGAGCTCTGCTCTCTCTGCACTGTTATGTGAATGTTCATAATTACTCCTTTGCTAGTTTCATCACTGTGATCAGGCTCAGAAGCTGGCAAGGAGACCACATAAAACCTTACATCATCACTGTCTACAGCCAGGAAAGTAATGGCACATGTTGCCCAGGATCCATTTGCTTTTCCCATTTGTCTTTAGTTACAAAGTTGGCAGCCATGGGAGCATCGAGAACCTTGTTATGCTCTGGAACAAAACTGATTCTAGATGTGAGGTCAGAAGAAGGATGTGCTGTTTGGAAAGGAAAAGTTTCTTGGACAAAGTGCCAAAGTCAGACAGAGCTGGGCCATGTGCCGTTGTGAGATGTCAAAGGAGCATGCTCTTGCCTGTATCCTTCTCTCCCTCTGTAGAAGCTGAACAACACAGAATCAAAGTCACCTTCATGCATTTGGACAAGATCCCAGCCCAACCAGCTGCATGAGAAAGGCAGTTTTGCTGTCAGTCCTTCAGAAATGAAGTGTTGAAAGATTGGGCATGGTATGGACACATTTTTCTTCCTCCATTTTCTTTGAGTTGTTGTGACATCCATTCATGGCTGGGGTGTGGTTGTGTTCTGGTCACAATTCATTTACCATCAGTTTACAGGTTTACAGTTCACAGTTTGCAAGGCAATATAATTTACTCCTGGTTTACAGCTTTCTTTCCTTTAGAAACAGAGGTGGGGTTAATTAAGAAATGTACCCAAGGCCTTTTTTTAAATGTAAGAATTATTGAGCTTCAATTTTAATTTAGTCTTTGGGACCAGAGAGTCCTGAGTTTGAATGGCTGCCTCAGCACTTAAGAGCCAAAGGACTTTGGGCCTGTCACGTCTCTTGCCTGGCCTCTGCTACTCATCTCTAACATTGGATGATCTTGAGGTCTTAATGAGGAAGCACATGCAGGATTCCTGACAAACTATTTACATATATTAAATCTTAAATAAGCATTATTTCTATATCCATTTGACAATTTTTACCTATCACCTACTATGGGCCAGGCATGTTTGGGAGCAAAGGACACAGAAATAAACAAGACAAAGCCTCTGTCTCACAGAACTTTAAATTCTCATATGGAAGATAGACAATAAGCAAGAGAAAAAAAACTTCAGATTATATACATTAGTTGTCAGTCTCCCTTTTGCCTAAGACCCTGAGTCTTATGCTAAAACGAAGGTACCTCTGTTTATATATGCATACATAAATATACATGCATACACAGAGAACCTGCTTCCCATCATACTCTTATTACTTCCTCATAGATAGAACTCAGTAGTATTGTGTGTTCCTTTATTCTTTAATTCAAACAATCACCTTTTATCCTTTAATTCAAACGGTCTTTTTGAGGACATACTATGTGCTAGATACAGCATTGGACGTTGGAATTAAAAGGTAGTAAGAAATATCTTTCCTGTCAATTGGCTCATGATTTTGAGGTAGAGACAAACCGCCAAATACACAATTACAATACCATATATTGCTTGTTCTGTGGAATGTTCTAGTACTCTGGTGATCTAGAATGTTTAGAGAAAAGTAAAGAACATCTCATGTGGCCCAAGAGGAGGGTGAAATTTTTTTTTTGGTAACTCAGATTCAAACACCTAAATAAGAATTTTCTAGGAACAGAGAATCATTTGTGCAAATAAATAACATAAACAACAGTTTGATATGACTGACCATTAGAGAGCTTCTATTCAATTCAACATATTCTGCTCTAATTAATATGCTGTCAATAGGAAATAAGAGCAAGGTACAGGGGAGTATAAAAGGCCAATGAATAAAGCGAAGATTATAACATGTGGGTGTTACAATATAAGGTAGCAAGAAAAAAAAAAAGGAAGAGGCCCCCAGCAGAATCTAAGATGAGAATGAAAAATTTGATGAAATAGTGGACGTGGGGTCTGAAGTGAGAAATTTCAGGACAGTGGGACTAACTCCTACAAGTTTTTAGTGGGAAACTTTGAGAAATTCCAGAAATTTCCAGTAATTTGTTATGACTAGAAGGAACTCATACTTCATAACTCAAATACCACTGTTTGAAGGAGGCGTTCCCTGAGCCTCCAGACAAGCTCAGTGTCTTCCTCTATCCCCAGCTAGATAGTGCATTCTGTGAGGATCAAGACTCTGCTTCTGTTCAATAATGTTCTCTGTTGCCTCTCACTGTGCCTGGCACAGAATAGCCTTCAATAAATACTAACCAAAAGAGTAACTGGGGCTGGGTGCACTGGCTCATGCCTATAATCCCAGCACTTTGGGAGGCCAAGGTGGGCTGGTTGCTTGAGCTCAGGAGCTCAAGACCAGCCTGGGCAACACAGTGAGACCTTGTATCTACAAAAAATAAACAAAAGATTAGCTGGGTGCGGTGGCATGAGTTGGTAGTCTCAGCTACTTAGGATGTCAAGTTGGGAGGATCACTTCAGCTTGGGAGGTTGAAGCTGCAGTGAGCTGAGATTGTGTCACTGCACTCCAGCCTGGGCAACAGAGTGAGACCCTGTCTCAAAAAAAAAAATAGCCTAATAAATAGACTAATATTTCACACTAAGAATTTGAAATTCAAAGTCTGCGGTCTCCAAACTTTTGTTTTATCACTTACCCTAGTGAATAAATGTTTTTAAGAACTCATTCCCCATATATGCATATTTGTTCTATATAGAATTGCATGTTTTGCCCTAACAGATTACTTACGTTATAAAACATGTAAAAAAAATTGGAGGGTGGCGCCTCCAATAGCAAGAAATAAAACCTGGACAAGTGGAGATTAAGATGAAAATCAAGAAAGTTCTGGGGTTTTACCTTTAACATCTTCACTAATGAGATGTGCAACAACGGGAAAATCACTCCCCTCTCTGGGCTGTAGTTTCTCCATCTGTAAAATAAAAAGTAATAGCAGATGATCTCTAAGGGCCCTTGCAGCTCTGACATTTTATGGTTTCTATAAGGTATTCAGAAATTATTCTTGAGCTGCCTTTGTCAAAAAGCAATAAAATTTAATATAATATTTTAAAATCCACTATTAAAATACTAATGGACTTAAATGACAAGGGTGTTAAGAAGAACTAAATGAAAAGCTTGGGCTTTCTGACCTAATCAATCAACATAAATGGATGGCAGAAAAGAGTACAGAGGATGGAGTCCTGAATATTATCAAGAAAATTGACTTTTGAATTAAAGAGTCAAGCAGCAAGAATTTACCAATTGTGAAAGGTTCAATGTTAAGGATCATGTGGCACGAGCTTGAGGAAGGGCAGGACGAAGACTCACCTGGGGCAGACAGTGATGAAAACGAAGCGGGTACAGATTCAGTAATGGAGGACAATGAACTGGGGATGTTCTGTGATATGAGAGGCAGAGTCTACAGAGAGCAGCCGTGATCCAAAAATGCAGACCACTATGGGGCTGTGCAGACACAGAGAGGAGCTGGCTGTTGGAATAGGAAGACTTCCAAAGATGGTTAAATCTATCTTGCTGAACTCTTTCTTCATCTGTTGGCTACTTTGAATGAACTAACTCAACACATAGTACTGATTTTAAATGTTTACTTTATAATAAAAACTAATGTACATAGAGATAAATATAATACATATGTATATTTATACAAGTATAAATTCTGGACCATCCATTAATGTACTTGCCTATTTTAGCATTAATATGATGATGTGCAGTATTTTAATTGCAGCAGCTTTGAAGCATTTTATCAGTTAGGAATTGCATTCTTCTTTGTGTAACCTAGTAACAGAAAACTAACTATAGTAGCTTAATGAAATAAGAAATTTATCATTCTCATGTAAGAGGAAGCTGAGAGTTAGAGTTCAGGGTTGATGTGGCCCTTGTTGACATTAGGAACAGAAATTTTCTAACATTTTTCTCAAATATCCTTAGTGTGGGTTTCATCCTCATGTCATTAGTTCATGGTTGAAAAATGATTGCTTCATTTCCAGCAACACACTTCTGTTCCAGGCAAGAGCAGAAGGATAGGCTATAATGTTACCTAAAAGTGTAGAAGCGACTTTGGAACTAGCTAATGAGTAAAGACTGGAAGAATTTTGATGTGCATGCTAGTAAAAACCTAGGTTGCTATGAATAAGTGATAATTCTTCTGGTAAGGGCTCAAAAGTAGAGAAAATCTATACAGAAAGCCTCAGTCTTCTTAAAGAATATCCAAGTGGACATGAACAATATATTCATGGGAGAAATATAGATGGTAAAGGCCATTCTGATGAGGTCTCAGATGAAAATGAGGAACACATTATTGGAAACTGGAGGAAAGGCCATCATTGTTATAAAGTGGTAAAGAATGTATACCATTCAGGACATAGGCATGGGCAAGGACTTCATGTCTAAAACATCAAAAGCAGTGGCAACAAAAGCCAAAATTGATAAATGGGATCTAATTACACTAAAGAGCTTCTGCACAGCAAAAGAAACTACCATCAGAGTGAACAGGCAACCTACAGAATGGGAGAAGATTTTTGCAATCTATTCATCTGACAAAGGGCTAATATCTAGAATCTACAAAGAACTCAAACAAATTTACAAGAAAAACACAAACAACCCCATCAAAAAGTGGGCGAAGGATATGAACAGACACTTCTCAAAAGAAGACATTTATGCAGCCAACAGACACATGAAAAAAATGCTCATCATCACTGGCCATCAGAGAAATGCAAATCAAAACCACAATGAGATACCATCACACACCAGTTAGAATGGCGATCATTAAAAAGTCAGGAAACAACAGGTGCTGGAGAGGATGGGGAGAAATAGGAACACTTTTACATGGCTGGTGGGACCGTAAACTAGTTCAACCATTGTAGAAGACAGTGTGGAGATTCCTCAAGGATCTAGAACTAGAAATACCATTTGAACCAGCCATCCCATTACTGGGTGTATACCCAAAAGATTATAAATCATGCTGCTATAAAGACACATGCACACATATGTTTATTGTGGCACTATTTACAATAGCAAAGACTTGGAACCAATCCAAAAGTCCATCAGTGATAGACTAGATTAAGAAAATGTGGCACATATACACCACAGAATACTATGCAGCCATAAAAAAGGATGAGTTCATGTCCTTTGTAGGGACATGGATGAAGCTGCAAACCATCATTCTCAGCAAACTGTTGCAAGGACAAAAAACCAAACACCACATGTTCTCACTCATAGGTGGGAATTGAACAATGAGAACACTTGGACACAGGAAGGGAAACATCACACACTGGGGCAGTTGTGGGGTGGGGATAGGGGGTAGGGAAAGCATTAGGAGATACACCTAATGTAAATGACAAGTTAATGGGTGCAGCACACCAACATGGCACATGTATACATATGTAACAAAACTGCACGTTGTGCACATGTACCCTAGAACTTAAAGTATAATAAAAAAAAGAAAAAAAGAAAACACTAGTAGACACAGAAAAAAAAAAGAATGTGATTGAATTGTATTTGTGTCCTAGTGTTTTATGGAATGTAGAACTTTTGAGTGATGAAATAGAATACTTAGCTGAAGAAATTCCTAAGCAAAGTGTTGAAGGTGCTGAATGGCTTCTCCTGAATGCTTATAGTAAAGTACGAGAAGACATAAACAATTTGAAGATGGAATTTTTAATCAAAAGGAAGCAGAACTTGAACATTTGGAAATTCTCAGCTCATCTATATATATATATATTTGAGATGATGTCTTGCTCTGTCATCCAGGCTGGAGTGCAGTGGTGCGATCTCAGCTCACTGCAACCTCTGCCTCCTGGGTTCAAGTGATTCTCCTGCCTCAGCCTCCTGAGTAGCTGGGACTACAGGCATGCGCCACCATACCTGGCTAATTTTTGTATTTTTAGTAGAGACAGGGTTTCACCATGTTGGCCAGGCTGACAAACTCCTGACCTCAAGTGATCTGCCCGTCTCAGCCTCCCAAAGTGCTGGGATTACAGGCGTGAGCCACTGTGCCCTGCTCATTATTGTACAAAATAAGAAGTGTTTGAGAGAGAACACCAAGAGTGTGTACCATTTGATTAGGAGATTAGTGTAGATCAGCAAGGTGCTTATTCATCAAGATAACGGAAAAATCATACTGAAGGCATTTCAGAATCTTCAATTCTCCCTCTTTCATCACGGGCCTTGGGGGAATAATGATTTCAAAGGAGGCCAAGACATTGGTGCTTGCTGTCCATTACTTCCTCAAAGCTCTTTGGCTGGGAGTCTTGGGGGCTCAACTCCTAATCAGCTAAGCTGAGGAGGCCGGATGTTTGCCTCAGTAAGATTGGAGGGCAGAGCATCAAACCAAAACAAATTATTTCCCATCCTTAAAGTTTTAGACTTAGTTGGGACTCATAATCCCTTTTATTTCTATTTTTCCATTTCGAAATGGGAATGCCATTCCTATACCTATGGCACTATAGTATTTTGGAAGCACAAAACATGTTTGATTTCACAGGTTCACAGCTGAAGAGCAATTTGCCTTAGAATGAACTGTACTTTGAAACTCACTCATATTGATTTATATATTTAGAAGAGACTCTGGACATTAAACTAATAAAATGATGATGAACCGAATTAAGATTTTGGAGCTATAGGGATGGAATACATGCATTTTACATGTAAGAAGGACATGAATTATGGAGGGCCAAGGTGAAACACTACAGTCTGCATGTTTGTGGACCCCTAAAATTTGTATGTTGAAATCCTAACCCCCAAGATGATGGCGAGGTCTTTGTGGAGGTGATTAGGTCACAAGGGCAGAGCCCTCAAAAATGGAATTAGTGTCTTTATAAAAGAGAATCAGAGAGCTCATTCTTCTTTTTTACCATGTGAGAACACAGTAAGAAGGCACCATTCATGAACCAGGAAACAGGCCCTAACTAGACCCTGAACTTGCCAGAGATTTGATCTTGGACTTCCTAGTTTCTAGGAGTGTGAGAAAAAATTTCTGTTTTTTATATGCTACCCAATTTATGATATTTTGTCATAGCAACCCCAAAAAACTAAGACAGTGCTTGTCTTAGAAGTAAGGTTATTTTAAGATTTCTTGTCATTTCCAGTTTGTCGCTTTTTATGCCAATGTTGCTAATTTTTAATTTTACTTTTATTTCAGCTTTATTGAGGTATAATTTAAGCGCAAAAAATTATAATTATTTTAAGTGTACTGTTAACAAGATATGACAAATGAAAAAAACCCTATGTAACCACTTGCCCCTCAAGATACAGAATATTTACATCATTCCAAAAAGTGTCCTCAAGATACTTTTCAGTCAATTTCTCCACCTTCAGCCCGAGACAACCACTGTTTTCCTTTTTGGCCCTTTAGTTTTGCTTATTTTAAAATTTCATATAAATGGAAGCACACTGTATTTACTCTGTATTCTTCTAATCAGTATAATGCCTTAGAGAATTATGTTTTGAAGAATCATTCTGTTTTGGAAAAATCATTTATGCTGTTGCATGAATCAGTAGTGTGTTCTATTTAATTAATGAGTAATAACCCAATGTATAAATAGACCACAATTATTTTTATCCATTCACCTGGTGATGATATTTGGGATAGTTTCAATTTTGAGCTATTATGTACAAAACTACAACGAACATTTGTGTACAAGTATTTCATGCACAAAATGTTTTGATTTCTGTTTAGAAGCTAATTAGTGCTAGAATTACTGGGACAAGTAGTAGTGTATGGTTAACTTTATTTAAAAACTACTGACGTTCTCCCAAAATAGATATAGTATTTTATACTCTCAACATAAATCCATGAATGTTCCAGATGCTCTCACTTTTTGACAAGACTTAGTTTTTGTCATTCCTTTTAATTTTGGCCATTTTAGTGAATGGGTAGTAATATATCCTTGTGCATGTAACTTACATTTCCCTGATAACTAATGACCTTGAGCATCTTACATGTTTCCATTGGTCACCATCTTCTTTGTAATGTGTCTGTTTACACCTTCTGCCCATTTTTGAATTGAGCTATTTGTCTTTTGATCATTAATTTGTAGGAGTTCTTTTTCTATTCTTGATACAAGGTCCTTGTCAATATGATTTGTAAATATTTTTTTCTGGTCTGCAGCTTAACACTTCTTTTTCTTTTTTAAAAATTTCTTTTTCACAACATTTAGAATGATATGCAACACTTTATTTTCTTAATGATATCTTTCTAAGATCAAAACTTTAAGTTTTGATGAAGTCCAACTTATTATCCTTTTTTAAAATAGATAATTCTTTTTATGTCTAAGAGATCTTTGTCTAGCCTAATGTCACAATGAAACCAACCATACTGGTCTTTGTGCTTCTTGAAAAATTGCATATCTTACCCTGAGCTTTGGGTACTGCAACTGCTATTCAATCTGCCTGGATTATGGAATATTTTTTCTCCAGATTTTTGCTTCAATCAATTAGAGTTCAATTCAATCAGCTTTCTGCTCAATATCACCTTCTCAGAAAAACTCTATTCCTCCCAAGTTATTCTACTGTTTTTCTATAACCACTTCTAAAAGTTTTATGTTTTAATTCTTAAAGATGTGTTGATGATCTGCTTTGCATTAATTTTCTTATATGATATGAGGTTAGCATCTAAATTCATCTTTTTGCATGCAGAAATCTAATTATCTCAGCATTGTTTCCTGAAAATATCAAAATGCCTTGTCATCTTTGTCAAATATTAATTAACCTCAAATGTAAGAGTAAAGTTCTGAATTCTAAATTGTGTTCCATCCATACGTATGTCTAACCATACTTTGGTATCGCACTCTCTTAATTATTGTAGCTTTATAGTATTTTGTAATTGGAAAATGTGAGTCCTTCAACTTTGCTTATTGTTGTTATTCTGAGTCATTTCAATTTTTATATAAATTTTAGAATCAGCTTGTAAATTTCTGTTAAAAAAAAAACCAGAATTTTGCTAGAAATTTCACTGAGTCTGTAGACAAATTTGAGAAGAATTTCTATCTTAACAATATGGAGCCTGCCAATCCATGAACATGGAATATCTCTCATTTTATTTAGATCTTTAATTTTTCTCAGTAATGCTTTACAGTTTACAATGTACAAACCTGACACAACTTCTTAAAACTGTATTTCCAATACTTTGTTTTTGGTGATACCATTGTGAATGAAATTGTTTTTTAATTTCATTTTTGGATCATTATTGCCAGTATATAGAAACACAGTTTTGTGAGTGTATGATCTTATATCCTGATTGTGCTGAATTCATTTGTTATTTTTTTGTAGATTCCTTAGGACTTCCTGGTTACAGGACTATGTCATTTGAAAATGAAGATAGTTTTATGACTTCCCTTCCAATCTGAATGCCTTCAATTTTATATATTTATTTATGTATTATGTTTGTATGTATCCATACATTGCCTTATTATGCCACCTAGGAACTCTAGAACTATGTCAAAGTAATGAGAGTGGACATCTTTGCCTTCTGCTTGATTTCCGGAAAAATGCATGCATATTTTACATAACATAGATGAAATTTAATTAAAAGGATTTAAATAACCTCTTTTATTATTATGAGACAGGAGTCCTCATCTAAAGTAAAAAATCTGAGTTTAATTCCTTTCCCACTTAAAGTTTTCAGAACTGTTTTTAATACCAACCAACAAAGTTCATTTTTGTTTGTATGTTTTCTCTACCTAGTCCAGCTTGACCACCAGCAGCCATTTTAATTTCAGCTTCATAAGATAGCTGAAGAGATATATTCATTCCATCAGGCCTCCAGCAGACACAGTAGAAAAAGAGGAAGCAATCTCAGGATTTCTCTCAGGTCCTCCTGGACACGTAACCAGGACTCAAGTGTCTGACCAAAGCAACGTAGGAAAAGGAAACAAGCAGAGAAAGGGAATGGTGCTTATGTGTTTTAAACTAGCATAAGATAACTTAAATAATCCTATGGGAAGTTATTCTATTTTATCACATACTAAGTACTCGAATGGTAGCTTCTGATATTAGTATTACTACTATTAGTATCATTAACCTTATAATTACTATTATTATACATTCAGACTAAACTCTGTTCCGTGAAAAGGGGCTTGATCCTCTCACTTTTCTAATAAAGTAAAAACAGCCCATTAGAATAAAAATCCATTAGGAGTATAACTGGTGATGAAAATGTACAAATCTGTTGACAATTATGACTGCATGTCTCCTGTGTGCTGTTCCCAGCCATAGAAGTGAATGGTCATCAGGGGAATGCAGGAGTGCTGACGCTGTGAAGCCTCAGCTCCATGGGTTGGGGTGACCCCTCCCCAGCTGTATGATGACAAAGCTGTCATTAGTTAGGGGAGCTCTGAATCCCAAGTGCAAGGACCTTATGCAGTGCTCTAGAGATAGGAAATCCCTTCTGTCAGCTGCAAGGAGAGTGGGCAAAGAAAGCCAAGGAGTCGAAAGGGGGAGGGTTTCTGTCCTGCCTGATCCTTGGTCATCTTCGTATGAAGTTGCAGGAAGTCTGCTCTGAGAATCATTGCACAGGCCTCCTCAGCAATAACAAAGAGATCACCTCGAGATGAGGGCATTCTGTGGGTGTGAGCTCTCTTTGATTCCCTGCCAGGCAGCCACAATTTATTAAAGGTGGGTTTGTGAAGTAAGGGTTCTGCCAGGGAGAGATTGGCACAAGAGAAATGAAGACAGCTAATTCTCAGGGGGTCGTCTTTGGCAAAATCCACTATTGAGGCCTCATGCTACTTGTGCTCATAGCTGCTGAAAACCAAGAGTGCCATCTGCAAACTGTGATTCATAAACACTCTGTCAGTCTGCCATCTACCCTGACATCATAAAATAACAAGAAGCTGCAT
Organism: Homo sapiens; assembly: GCF_000001405.40. Taxonomy (NCBI): domain Eukaryota; kingdom Metazoa; phylum Chordata; class Mammalia; order Primates; family Hominidae; genus Homo; species Homo sapiens. The sequence continues at coordinate 60,234,903 of NC_000001.11, read as the reverse complement.
TGTAATAAAGGGGAGGTTTGCAGCCTACCAATTAAATGCATCTAATTTATTTCTCTTACAGCTGAGGCTTTATTTATTAGTAAACAGCTGCATTTGTTACACTTTTTACTCAAAACGTGCCAACTGGCACTTTGAATGATCCATTAATCCTAAATAATCATCTGTGTGCTTTATAGATCCTAGATATATAGGTCTATATGTATAAGATGGTTATTAAAAAGCTAAAGCCTAACCTTGCCAGTCAGCTGGAGGGCGTAGTTCTGGGCATCAGGGTGGGTGAGTTAATGTGACATGAAGTATGTGGACACAAATGAGGTCTGGCTGAGATTTTGGAAAGATTTTGCATGTGGCTTTATTTCTCCCTTTTCCCCAAGTATCTGTAGAGAAACATGCGTGTTAATTTTCTGCGATTGGGCGTTGCTACATTCTTGTCAAAGTCTAATTAGCTTGGTACTACCAGAAGCAGATTATAGGGTTACCTGTTTTTAATTGGCAGTGAACGGATGTGGGATAAGAAGGAAAATGTGTGCTCCCTCACCAGCTGAACTTTTGCAGACCCTGCTAACTGGTGCGTGCTTCTGAGGTTAGAGTTATACCATTTTGGCAAAGTGGATGCCAGTACACACACACAGTTCATTTATTTGAAAATGACTATAGTGCATGAGGGTAAGGTCCTATTTAATCCAGTTTTTGATTGTTTCCTTGATACACAGGAAAACTAGGTAATTGAGAATCACTGTCAGGGAGAAGAGCTGCATCAAGCAAAAGCTAAATGTTTTGCTGGACCACCTTTAAAGGGAGACGATTTATTGAATATTAACTTAGATTTATCCATAACCATTGATTAAAAAATAACGTTCAGTTGCACTGCTTTTTTTAATGCCAGTGGATTCACATTGAAATAGGTCATTGAAGGAAATATTTTCATCTCTAGAAAAGATTGGTTATCCTTCTGAATGTTTTGTTTTTATTTTCTGGGAAGTAATTATAATCTATTCAGAGAAGTATAAATGACCGACTTTGGCCTACTTTAAACTCAATTAAATTAGAAGTCCTCTATAATATGACGTTGCACTTATAGTTGCTTAAATTATGTGGCTATGTGATGGTCACTGGCATATTATTTGCAAACCAATATTCTATTATGGTGTTTTTGAATTAATGGGCATTGATGGAAATAATCAGACTTTCATTTGCTCTTTTGTTTTTATTTTTATTTTTATAGCCATTAGCTTAGGCTAGGCATGCTATATAACTTACATAGTAATTAAGATTTCAAATTTAATAAAAAACTGAAAAAGAAATATGGAAAGAGGATACAGATGAAAGAATCAAAATACAATTTATAAGTTTTGATGTTTTTATATCTCTCTCTTTTTTTCTTTGCTAAATAACAAATTTACATATAACCTTTTTCATGGCCCTATACTAACAGGATCATTACAAGGTATGTGCTAAAACCATGTCAGGAAACGAATGGATGATCATCAACTAGACACATGTTTATCTGTTAGAAAATACTTACAAGTCAAATGTGCTATGTTATTTACAAAGTTGGTTCACAGTGGTTAAAGATGTGGGGTTTTCAACAAGACTTCCTAAATTATATTCCTATTCTATACATAAAAATTGTGAGACCTTGAGTAAGTTACTTAATGATTCTGAGCTTCAGTTTCATCATTTTAAAAATGTAGTTAATCCCAGTTCTTGTTTCAGGGGGTTATTATAGGGATTGGATGAGCTGAATCACAAGTGCTTAGCACAGTATGTAGGACACATAAGCTATCAATAAACGTTAAATTAACAAAGAACTCAATCCCTGTACAAGTAATAACCAGTAGTTAAGATTCTACAATGGGCCCTTTCTGAGATCTCACATTTCTAGTAGTTTTAAGTATTCAGGTGAATGCTAATGTTACCAGGGTAGCAGGTTACTTTACACAAGTCTCTTACTAGACAGTATCTTCAATACAGTAAGTAGTGTGCTGGAGCAGGCCATTTATGTTTGTCTCTTCCTAATTCTGTGTTTCACAGAGTCTGTGTTTAGTGATACCACAATGGTAGTTTGAAATCAGACCTGGTGAGATTATTTACACCAAGGAAATTAGCAAATGCTACAAATTTGAGATTCGTCCACTCCCCTGGTTTTAAACATTTATCAGCTCATCTTTCCTATAGAGAACAAAGCCCAAATCCAGAAAATGAGACCATTAAGTAAAGCCACTGAGAAGCCAATTGACAAAATCCATGTAAGTGTCTTACTAAGTATAGTTCTTGATGTTCTCACTCATGGTATTATCACTCTCAGTTTTCACATAGAACTAACAAGTTTTATTACTTAGTGTCTTTCTAACAGTACACTAGAAGCAGCAAATTAAAAGAGGCCAGAAAGTTGGCAAAAGAGAAACACACATCTGAATGACATGAGCATTCAAAGACATATACAGTCTGAGGTTGTTTGCTATAGGAAAAACAAAAGAGCCCGGAGTACCCTAAAGTTATCTTCTCACAGCACTTCAGAACTCCTGTGTTTATAATGAACTCCTTAAATCATCAAGGAAAATAATAAATTATGTTTTAATTCTATTGCTTCCTCTGATAGGTTAGCGTGAATATATTTAATCATAGTCTAGGAGTTACAATATTAATGCTGATCTTGGGGACTACCATATCCAGCAGGTTTCAAATGTGTTAACTATAGAACAATATTTCAAATGGTCTATTTATTACACAGAAGCCAAGCAGTTAAGAGAAGGCAGCTTTGGTGGGAAAAGTGTTTCTGTTTTGTAGTCTTATCCTTTCACAGTGAAGCATGTTACTTCTGTGAAGGCCTTTGGGCACTCTAGTACAGACCCAGAAACACCCATAGAAAATTCTCCCCACATTTTCCAGGCTTAGAGATCAGAGGAGATATTTATTTAAATCAACCACAATGTATTAGGGACCCAAGCTTAGCCTGACTTTCAGCTGGGGTAAGGAACCACATGAGGTGAAGTTTCCAGGATTAAGCCAGGAGTTGAAAATATTTATATTCAATAAATAACAACATTCAGTTTTGGATAATATTTTAAGCTAATGATTGGTAATATTAACATAAATCATTGATATGTCACTTGCTGTATGTCAGGCATTTAATCCTCAAGAATTCTATATGATAATTATCATTTTAAATTCTATTTTACAGATGAGCAGTCTGAGTCTTGAGAAGGTTAAAAAAACTTCCCTAAGGTCACTCAGGTTAAGTGGCCAACTGCTCACAGTAACTTCAAAGCCCATGTCCCAAAAGAAGATGCTCAATTGTTTCCCCTATGAGCTATATTAACAAGGTGCAAAGTCTGTCAATTGCTAAGACTGACAAATCTGGAGGGACCAGAGACAAATGTCAAACACAGGATACAGAACTAGGGCATAAAGCTGGCAAGAGAAGAATGAGCTAAGATACTGGAATCAAATGAGAAAACTAGGAGAGTGACTTGATTTTATGAACTAGAAGGAGGAAGACACATGCAAATAAGTTGTACTTAAGGAATCCAGAATTGGATGGGAAGTTTGTGGCAGAATTTTTGAGATATTAAGTGACTTTCCTAGGGCCATATACTCAGTTAGCAGTCCAAGTCCAGTTGTTTATCAACTGCATTATAGTTATGAAAGTCCTCTTGAAATTAATGTGATAATATTAATATGCTTTGGAATCAAAAAGAAACGACTACAAGGAAAGTTAATTTTTGTGAACCATATGAAGCCAAATAATTGAAATAATCCTTTGTTCCATTTGGAATATGGATTTAAATGTATGTCACTAAATAATTTGAAATCCAGAGCATAGAAACCAATGTTTATAACCCTTTACTTGAATTAAGTTTTTGGTCTTTACTTACATTACTTGTCTTATCAGACTGGGACCAGAGGTTCAGGAAAAGGTGATCCTCATAGTGGCCCAAATTAGAGGAAATTGCTGCCAGATAATCATCATATTTATACTACCAAAACATTAAACTATTGAATCAGGGAACAAACTAAATTCTATATACCCTCCACACATTTAACAACATTAAAATTACAGTTGGCCATAAATATTTTGCTTTTTTTTCCCAAGAGCTCCACTTTAATGTTCTGCATGGTGTTTGGTGACCAGGCTGCAGGTACAGATGAAACAAAGCATATTCATCTGCTGTTTTGTCTACTCCTTCCCTGACCTTCCCTTCTGCTGAGAAACTGTATTGTCCTAATGTAGTACTCTTTAGGTTTGATGTGGGCAGATGTGAGTGTGTTTTACAAAATCCAGCAGATTATCTTCCCCTTCTCATCTCACCATTCAATGATAATCAGTAAGTCCCTGAAAGCCCATGGTGCCAGCAATATTTGTCCGATAAGTAAAGCCGCACTTCTTAAACAGATGGGAAGGATGTTTCTTTGCCACTGGGTGAAATTGCTTTAAAACGCCTCAGCAACAAACACAGACAGGGAAAGATGAGCCATTGCTGCTGGAAGTCCGGCCACATGTAATACTTGCTGCTTAAAAATCCAATATTGCATTTGCTTCATTACAGTACTTTGTCCACCAGATCATTTGAGTCTATTAACTTAATTGTTCTTTATTAACAAATGGGTCATTCTTTCTGGCAGCAGAGCAAAGCTCAAATGCCAGTTAAATACTTTGATAAATGCAATGCCCCCTTCCATCCCTTCCATTCTACTCCCTCCCTGAACATGCTGTGAATGCAGACACACACACACACACACACACACACACACACACAGATGCTTAGTTAAATGTACTTATACAAAAGGATCATACCAAAAAATGGTTTTTAAAGTTAGCAAGCAGAAAGGAAAGTGCTTGTTTTTACAAGTAAATATCATATTTCCTTTACAAATACATGTCATGTCTTTGATAAAAATGCTATTATTCTTTAAAATGAGCTAATGTTTTGGCTAGAGTGAACAATGACAATAATCTTGCAAGCCTTTTATAAGGTTCTCCTTTAAAAACATGTGCACTTTTTCTAATTTTTCAATTCAGTAATTCTATTATTATTATTTATCTTTCAAAATTAAAATAAAAGAAAGATTTCCTGTTGTCATTGTGTATCTTGGTCTCCCTTTCTCTTTTCTCCCAGCCCCCAGCATACATAACCCTTCTTCTTAGGTGACATTATCCTACTCACCAAACCTGTAACTTTAACAGAGGGTGACAGGGTGACCTTGACGACAGATGTTTTTATGGCAACAGATGGCACTGGCAAACCCGAGAAGCTGCTGTACGCCGTCTCTGTGCCACCTGTGCCTGGTCAGATTGAGCCCATCAATTATCCAGGCTGCCCCATTCCCTGCACAGCCAGTCAGATGGATTGGCCCAGAGGGTTTGCTGTGTGCGTGACAGTAGCCAAGGGGCCAGTGAGGAGGCAGTCAGGTGAGAGGGTCCCCTTCCTCCACCCTTCTATGTTTTCCACCACAACCCCCCATGTATTTCATGACTTCAGTGTATGTATTTCACTCATTCATGTATTTCATGACTTCAGTGAGTAAAAGAGATTACACTTTTTTTTTTCGGTGAGAGTTCACCAAATGACCTTTAAAGATAGCCAGCCATGAGGGTGGCTTACATGCAAATGAACAAATACCGCTATCACATTATACACAGGAGTGTATTTTTATTGTCTAGTGATTCCACCACGTTAGAAAGCTATTCCAGGAATAGATACATAATGTGCAATACGGTCTTTGCTTATCACATTTCCAATTTGACTTATTTCACATTCTGACCATACTTTTGCTTTTAATCTTGTCTTGCTTCTCTTTGCACAGGTTGAAGGAAATAAAGATGACCATGCAGATAAAAAAAACTTAGGAATAATAGTGACTCTGATTTTTCTAACCTGTTACGTTGGGAAAGTGGTAATTTACTAGAGATTTTTATAGTCATAATCCTTAAGCTTCTTAACAAACTTACCATAGATATAATTATTCTCATTTTGTAGCTGAGGAAATTGAGGTTCAGAGATTCAGAAACACGCCCAATGTCTGACAATTAGCGCACAGCAGAGGCAAGATTTGAACACAAGGCAGGTGGACTTTTCACTACAGAACGTGCTTCTGGCAACCAGGGAAATCGCATGATCTGTTTGGTTAGAAATGGATAATATTGGACGATGGATTTGGGCCCCAACTCACATTATTAACACAAGCAACTGGCTTGCCTTCTGCATTTTCAGCTACTATAATAATTATATTATTTATTAATAAGGCAGTATGTGATCTCCAGCAAGTAGGTCAGACATAAGTGTAACCTTTTATTATTTTCATTAGAACAACAGGGTAGTTAAAGTCAAAACAGTTTGGCCTCTCTCTACCCGAAGAAAACTGGAGTATTGTATGAAATCATCAGTAGACCTTAATCCAGATGGTAGTGTCATTTCTAAGAAATAACATATGCTAGCTATTATGATACTTAAATGTAATGGTTTTATATCTCTCCAGTGGTCAAAGAAACCATACAACAGGTTTTAGTCTAGGAATTTTTGTAATGGTACTTTAACCCTCCAAAAGAGTATTTACATAAAGAAATTCAATGGATAGAGCCTGGTTTAACAATAAAGGAACACAAATTTCTGCCTTGTTTCATGCAATAATAGGACAGCATCTGGATTTACTACTCTCTGAGTCTGCTATTTTACATAATGTTACTGAATTGGGGACTATTACATGCTTTTTTGATTTAAGAAAAATTTCCTTAAAGATTATTTACACTCATCTTATAACAAAGAGGGCAATGTGACTAATTTTATTCTTAGTGTGATTCGCCATGAGTCATTTCCTAAGAAATGAGTTTAATTAACCAGGGAAAGAAAATTGCAACAAATCATGAAAGTGGACTGTTTCTAAGTAGGATTAAAAACATCTTTTTAAAAACTGCCATCAAATAAATCACAAACCCTAAGTTATTATTAAAGACATTTTTGTATTTTGAAAATTTCTGACAAAAGGTTAAAAAGAAGAGAAGAATGTGTGGCAGCAGAAGTAGGTTAAATTACTTGAAATACTTTGAGAAACTGATCATAACTCATGGTTCTTAATCAGAGATTTTGGCCTCCATTAGTGTTGCTCACAAATATTTCCAGGTCTCCCTCATTCCAGGCAGATGGTGGAATTAAGAATTCCCTACCACTTTTAAGTTAAATGTGCCATGTGGCTTGCTTTGGCCAATGGAATGAGAGAAGTGGCACTTCCAGGCAGAAGCTATAAGATCCAGTGCAGTGTTTGATCCATCTTCTTCCCACTGCTGTTATGGTCATAGTAGGATGTAACTTGATGAAAAATCCATGTGGCATGAGAGAAAAATAAACTTGTGTTGTGTTAAGTCATTGATATTTTGGTGGGTTTGTTTTTGTTACTGCAGCACAACCTAGCCTACTCTACGTAATAAATGGGTAGATATTAGATTCATCTAGAGAGATTTTCCAGTATATAAAAGCCAGTGCTCATTCAGAACTCTTGAATCAGAATCTTCTGGTTTGAATTACAAATGTATGTGTTTTTAAAGAGTCTCTCTGGTGATCCTGATGTATACTTTGCTCGGGAACCACTGGAGATTGCATTTGTGAGTGGATACATGGGGGATAATATAGCTTTGATATAGTCTTTTAACTGCATATTACCCTAATGGGCAAATATAATGAAGCCTTCCAATTGCGTTTTGCATTTCAGCTTACATAAGTACTTTTGTACTGTTCCTCTTATTTGGTAGTTAAGATATTAGTAAATTATAATGTATGGCCATGACGTCTATCAATGTGTTGAGGATTTGAACCATGAATCTAACTTGCCGAGTTGGTCCCCCTTCTTTCCTCAGTAGCTGCTGTGCATTCTATCAAAACTTGTCTGCTTAGTTGATGATGATAATCATCACAGCAACGGGAGATCTTTGTTCTACAAAGGTCTCAGAATAGTTGCATATTTTGCCTGTGAATTTGCCTTTCTCTCTATGGACAACTGAAACTCCCAGGCTAGGAACATACTGTTCAAAATATTTGAGTTTTGTTAAAAAATACGTAGTTACTATTTCTATCTTTCTCTAATACTTATTTTGGGGACCTTCATATTTATTTTACTCCCAAGTTGTGTGTGAGAAACTGCCATCTTGAAAATGAAAAATTGAGCAAATATTATTAACTTGTGGTATCTTAAATACCACACCGAGGGCTCCTAAAATTATCCCTAGCTTGCAAGCAGAATGCTACATTTATCTATTAAATTAACATATATTGGCTGGCTCTCTATCTTTGATAAACCTTATATAGTTCTTACTATTTATAAGCAAGGATTGTATATACTTATTCACACATATGCTGTAAGTAACACCCAGACATAACCAAATCTTGCCTTTAATATTATCATTAAGGGTACAGACTCTACAGTAAAACTTTGCATTGAAGTCTTAGCGCCTTAACTTGCTAGCTGTTTGCCATTCAATAGGACATTTGAATTTCTTAAGTTTATCTTTCTTTAATTAAAAACAGCATAATAATAGGATTTAACTTATAAGATTGCCATCAGGATTAAATGAGATAATCAGTAAATTTAACAAAGAAAGAAAGAAAGGAAGGTAGGGAGGCAGAAAGGAAGAAAGGAAAGAAGAATGGGAGGAAAGAAAAAGAGGAAGAAAGGAAAGAAGGAAGGAAGGAGAAAGGAAAGAAATGAAGAAAGAAAAGAAGAAAGAAAGAAAGAAAAAAAAAGAAGAAAGAAGAAAGAAAGAAAGAACAAAAGAAAGAACGAAAGAAAGAATCTGGAAATTAATTTAAGAGGTCAGATACCTTACCAAGCAAATTCCCAGAGCCTTGAATATGTAATATTCATTGTGAGTCTATTAAAACTTTGACTGTGGATGAAGGTGGGAATACTAGAGGTTCAGGGAAGACTTTCTGGAGAAAGTGATGCCTAAGTTGCATCTTTAATTAAGGGAAAAGATGTAAGAGCCAGAAAGAGTACGAAGCTGAGAGTGGGGCAAGGACCTGGGGGGCTGAGAGGACATTTCAAGCAAAGGGCAGGGGAAAACCAGAGAGGTGTGAAACAGTAATGGTGTATGTGGGGAGCCTAAACACGTGAGCCTGTGAGGGCAGGGGCCGAGAGACTGGAGAATTTGGCAAGGGCTAGATTTTAAAGAGGCTTTTTTGCCATGTAATGAATTTGAAATTTTCATCCTTTTGGCAATGGCGGGATGCATCAGTTGGGACCTTGGGAGGAAACAGATGGCACCTACAAAAATGTAATTGAGGAAATTGTAATGAAGGGACTGTTTACAAAGGAATGGGCAGGGCTAAAGGGAAACTAACAAGACCTAGGAAAGCATCCTAGGGCTAGCAACAGAGAAGAGATAATACCTCCCTTGGCTTTAAAGGACAAAGGGATAAAGAACTTACTAGAATCTGGAGACAGCTCCAGCCAAAGCTATAGATGAAGAAAGTAACACAACAGGAGCTGTGGCCTTCAGGAGAAAAATGCAGTCAGTGTCCATTTGTGGCCTGACAAGGACAGGATGGGAGAAATAGAGTTTGCCTCTCTCTCAGCCTCGGGTGACAGAAGAGAAAGGTAGAAAGCAGATAGGCTGGGGCAACATAGAAAGTCCAGCAGAGCCAGCAGGAAAGGAACATGGTCTGGTTTGAATTTATATGAGCCACCCTTGCAGCTATGTGGAAATTGATCATAGGAGATATGAAATTCTGGAAAGGAAGACCTAACCTGATAGCCACACAAGAGATGAAGAAAGCCTAAGCCAGAGATGTTCTATTAGAGAAAGAGTGGGAAAGAACAGATTTATGGGAACATTTGGATGTCAAAACTGGTGGAATTTGGTGAGTGGCTATGGCTAGTGGATAACAGAGGTGATTTAAGGATTATTCTCTGATTTCATAGATTATTTTTCTAGTGTGAATGATAAAGTGCCAAGCAATATGAACAAATAACATGGTGAACACAGGAATAGAAGCAAGTTTGTGAAAGAATTGAGGAATTCTGTTTTGAACTCATGGAACTTGAGAGGCCTGAGGAATGTTTACATGGTGATTTGTCACCGGTATTTGGATATCAGAATCTGACTCCAAGTGAGAAAAACCAAGGCAAGAGATACAGATTTGCAAGCCATTAGACTATAAGGCAGCCAAAACTATGAAAGTGGATGACATCCCCAGGAGATGCAAGTAAAGCGATAAGGGGAGCGAGCCAAAAACACCAATATTTAATATCTGAATTCCACTGCATTCCTCTTGGGGACCTGGGAACACACTCAGTTCTTGGCTCTTCATCACTGATCACCTAAATTTCCAGCAAGAGATTCTCCTTGAAGTAATTGTGTTGGCCTGTTCTAGGAAGAGAAAGAGAGTTAAATTGCTGGGCCTCTGGCTCCTAGTAGAGACAGAAAATATCTTGATTTCAGACTTATTGCACTTTAAAACTTAAATTGATGATTTCTTACAGACCCAAGTCACCTAAGTGAGAGAAATATTAGTTAAAACATGTCTTCTTTGTTCTTATTTCTTGGGTCTTAAGGTTTATTGGCTCCTTGCAAGTAAGTTTTTAAAGAACACCTCTCAAAAGTTCCGATCAGCTTGAGCCCAGGGGTTAGAGGCTGCTGTGAGCTATGATCGTGCCACCGCACTCCATTGTGGTTGACAGAGAGAGAGATTTTGTCTCAAAAATAAAAGGAAAATAAAACAAAAAGTTCTGATCACATGGCGTAGCAGTGGAGACCCATGAGAGAGGCTCTCAGGCTTCAGCTCCTGTTCTTCTCACTCTCCTCCTACCCCATGCTTACCTTGGCTTTTCCCTACCTCCTGCCTGGACAGTTTACTAATGGAACACGAGAGAGCAATTATGATAACAGCAGCTATAGGCTGGGTAACCCATGCATGCATGGCTTACTCAGAACCTTGCTTCAGATGATGGAAAACAAAACAATCTCTCATGAATATAATCATAGATAGGTAAATAGGTAGATGGATAAATAGATACGAATATTTATGTACATATATATCTCATGGTTGTTTACCTATATACGAGATAATATGTATTTACATACATGTGTGCACATACATATTAGTGTCACAGATGTGCATGCATTCATGTGTATACGAGTATGAATATGTGTGCATATGTATGCCAGTGTGTTATGTGTGCAAAGGTGTAGGTTCATATATGTATGTGAATATGTATTGATGCCTTTGAGAACGAAAGAAGGAGAAAAATATGCCTGTCTTCCTGTGATAACGAGAAGACAGGAAAGGGTTAAGGCAATCACTTTGCAAACCATTTTCCAAAAAAGCTGCACCCTAAATTAATTTTGGCTGGTAATCTATATCGGGTTAAATAACTCCTCATTATTCTGTAACACAGCTGAGGCATCTCCAAATGTTTATCTTGTTTTGTAACCGGTACCTTCTGGTATATTCTAGTGCCAGCACTCCCAGCTCCTGCTATATTTCATTCTCACTATTTTTGGACCGAAGCTGCTGGTTCCAGGTGATTTAATAAATTGCTTTTTTTTTTTTTTTGGTGTTCCTTTTAACTTACCCATCTGCTCAACACATGCGTAACTTGCAATCTGTCGGCAGTTTGCAGAAAGACAAACTGTCAGAGCTGCATGCATTTGACAACTTTGTTCCCAATTAGATTAGTGGTAATTTTAACAGATTTCAGGGCAATGGAGAAAGGGATGGCATGTTATTAAAGCATCAATTCTGACAGACCCAAGCACATATGATTTCAATGTAAATTATTTTAAATGCTTTAATTAAAACTAGAGAAAGATTTACCCTTTTAAGCAGTAAGTGTTAGCAAGACAAATTTAAAAGGAAAGAGAGTAACCGAGTTTTCTAAATGGTTTATGTTGTGCAGGGTAGTCCAGCAGTCAAGATGACTGTAATCTATGGCAGTAATGTGGAGGCCGAGTTAATTATTCATTGCTTCCTCTCTGTAGCAGATGTGATTCAATACACGAGGTACAGTATTCAGGGCCTGGAACACTGTCTGTGAAAATCTCAGTTCAGGCTTCTTTTGGAGCCATCAGGAAATTGCCAGAATCTGTTTAACACGTTAAATATATTCATAAGAAAAAAAATCTTTTTTTTTTTTGGCTCTTTGTTATTCCTATGTTTCAATGCAGCTGCTTCTCTCCTCCATTAAACTCAGCATCCCCGGCATCCATATTCCCACCCAATCTCCAATCTAATACCCCTGAAGCACATGCACAGATGTACACAAGTGAGTAGATTAGGCAAACTAGGGGATTCTGTACCTCTGGTCACTTTACAGATGCACAACTCACCGGAAAATGCCCCATGTATAATTTAAATGTATTGCAATCGTCACAATGCACGAGTGCAGAGCATCATTGACAGAATGACTGGCGTTCGGGGAGGGAGGTCTCTAGAACCAAGGGCACATATAGGTGGAAAGATTTCTCTGACAAATTTGACAATGTGCTTAATTTATTTAGCCATAAATCTAGCCATTGGTTTAATGCTTTCCATTTGTTCTTAGACGACAGAGGGCATTTTATTATTGAAATCACCAATACATTAATTAAGGTTTAATATTTCCTGAACATAATTGCATAAAATTCTTCTACTTGTACATTTGCTAGACACTTGGGAAGGGTTCACCATTTTATATATGGACCTATTGAGTTGAGAGCTGTCTGCTTTTTAAAAATTATTGAAATGGCTTGGTAAGGAAGGTTATCACTATCCTACATGTAGGTTTCCTTAATTTTTTCAAATTGTTTTTAAGTAGGTTATTGTATTGTGTCTTTAAGGGCATCTTTTAGATAGATTGTTGAATTAGTTTTAATTCATTTGAATTGGTTTACACCTAGGCTGAGTTAGTTAGGATTAAATGTTTGAGGCAAACTGATTTTTTTTTTTTTTTTAGATGGAGTTTTGCTCTTCTTGCCCAGGCTGGAGTGCAGTGGCACAGTCTTGGCCCACTACAACCTCTGTCTTCCGGTTTCAAGTGATTCTCCTGCCTCAGCCTCCCGAGTAGTTGGGATTACAGGTGCCCGCCACCATGCTCGGATAATTTTTTTTGTGTGTGTATTTTTAGTAGAGACGGGGTTTCACCATGTTGGCCAGGCTTGTCTCAAGCTCCTGACCTCATGATCCACCCGCCTTGGCCTCCCAAAGTGCTAGGATTACAGGCATGAGCCACCGCACCTGGCCCACAAACTGATTTTTATCTTCTCTGTTAACACTACATATGAGAAGTGCATGCATCACAATTTGCCGGAAAAGAAATTAGTAACAGCTTTTTTGAAGAATCAACACACAATAGATTTGGAGGATTATATGACCTGTGTATGGTGAATCCATCAGAAATGGCATCCCAGGAATGATGTAAGATTTAGTATACTGAGTCAAGTTCAACAAACTGCAAACTTCCCTCATTTCATTCCAAAGGACATACTGCTAAGCCGTTTCTCTGAATTTCAGACTCTCTACACACAAGAGAGTTTTTTTCTTCTTTTTGTTTTTGTTTCCATTTTTCTTTTTGTATTGGAAGAAGAATATATCCATCAGCCTCTGATAGAAATTTGTTGCTACCACCTCCTAGGTGAATGACCTTTGACAAGCTCTTTAATCTTAGCCCCAGGCTTTTCATCTGTGGGTGTGATGATGAATAGCTGCATTGCAGAATTTTTTGAGATTTAAGTAAGATAATGCATTTCAAGTGTCAGGTATATAGTTGCTGTACAGTAAATGCAAATTTCCTCTATCCCACCACTCACATTTTACTGATGCTTTTACACAATTTTGTGTTTTTGTGCTTACATTTTCTGGTGGATCAGAAAATACAAATAGGAATGACAAACTTTCCAGGAAAGGGGAACTCATCCTTCACCTCTTCAAGGTGAGAATCATGACCTCATAGATATATACCTTCAGGACTACAATTAAACCAATAAGTTGAAGCAAACTTGCAGCAGAAAGACAATATGAGCTTGTATATATTGCAATCAACTCGATTTTTCTCCTGCACAACTGGCATACTAAGCAACTTGGGGTATAAAAAAAAATGCCACATTTTAAATTTCTGTACAATCATTTAATCTACTTTAGTCCTTTATCCTGCCTCAATTACAGTCATTATTGGAGCTCTCTTCTTACCCAAGGTGGTACCCAGGCCTTGAGAGCCTGACACAATCTGGAATATTCAGGACAAGCATCCTGGCTTTTAGTCCATGCTATTCACCTTCAAACACTAATTTCCTGAGTCAGCATGGTCGCTTCCAGTCTTGGATCTCTGTTGTTCCCATTTCAAAGTTGGTCCTAGGGATTCTTGGCTGGCAGTAGGTGCCAAGGTGTCTAGTGCCTATTTCCCTTTGGAGATCTACCACCTTCCCAGGGTGTCATGAGAGAGTAAGGCAGAATCCTGATTCATTGTTACCTGGAGAACCCAAAACTAAACTTGTCCTCATACAACAGCTTTGGCCTTTGGAACTCCAAAACTTTGCACCAAACATGTTTTTAAACTCAAGATCCCAGGCTTTAGTTAAAATAATAATAATAATAATAATAATAATAATAATAATAATAAAGTGTCTTAATGCTGAAGGCTGGTAAAGAGCTAGCTCTTCAGGAATCAAAACCCTGCTGGATCAGGCTGGGAGGAATGGCAGTGGCTCATTGCTGAGTCTTTCTGATGCTTCTACAGAAGGTAGAAAATAACAAAAATGTGAAATTTAATAACTACTCAGCTTCATGTGGATGGTGGCAAGATTTGGGAGAAGCTCTTTATATGTATTGCAAAGATGGCCTTTTAAGTGTCACAAAATGAAATATGACATGAAGCCCTTAAAAACGTTCCTAAAGTCAAGAATTGGGACGTCACATATTAAAATTCCTAATATTATTAAATACATCGATAGGGTATTTTCTATGTGCCAGGCACCAAACTAATAAACTCAAGAAAATAAGCTTGTACACGTATCCACACACACACACACACACACACACACAGAGAGAGAGAGAAAAAGAGAGAGAGAATAGTAAAGTAGTAAACAAAAAAAGAATAACTTAAATATGACAGCAGTACATACAGGGTATAGTATGGAACACAGATTATT
Source organism: Homo sapiens (assembly GCF_000001405.40). Classification (NCBI taxonomy): domain Eukaryota; kingdom Metazoa; phylum Chordata; class Mammalia; order Primates; family Hominidae; genus Homo; species Homo sapiens. The sequence goes on along the minus strand of NC_000001.11, from coordinate 60,219,788 downwards.
ATGTAATTAATTACTGCAGATAAAGGAAGTCTTTTTTTATTATTATTATACTTTAAGTTTTAGGGTACATGTGCACAATGTGCAGGTTAGTTACATATGTATACATGTGCCATGCTGGTGTGCTGTACCCATTAACTCGTCATTTAGCATTAGGTATATCTCCTAAAGCTATCCCTCCCCCCTCCCCCCACCCCACGACAGTCCCCAGAGTGTGATGATCCCCTTCCTGTGTCCATGTGTTCTCATTGTTCAATTCCCATCTATGAGTGAGAATATGCGGTGTTTGGTTTTTTGTTCTTGCGATAATTTACTGAGAATGATGATTTCCAGTTTCATCCATGTCCCTACAAAGGACATGAACTCATCATTTGTTATGGCTGCAGAGTATTCCATGGTGTATATGTGCCACATTTTCTTAATCCAGTCTATCATTGTTAGACATTTGGGTTGGTTCCAAGTCTTTGCTATTATGAATAGTGCCGCAATAAACATACGTGTGCATGTGTCTTTATAGCAGCATGATTTATAGTCATTTGGGTATATACCCAGTAATGGGATGGCTGGGTCAAATGGTATTTCTAGTTCTAGATCCCTGAGGAATCGCCACACTGACTTCCACAAGGGTTGAACTAGTTTACAGTCCCACCAACAGTGTAAAAGTGTTCCTGTTTCTCCACATCCTCTCCAGCACCTGTTGTTTCCTGACTTTTCAATGATTGCCATTCTAACTGGTGTGAGATGGTATCTCATTGTGGTTTTGATTTGCATTTCTCTGATGGCCAGTGATGGTGAGCATTTTTTCATGTGTTTTTTGGCTACATAAATGTCTTCTTTTGAGAAGTGTCTGTTCATGTCCTTCACCCACCTTTTGATGGGGTTGTTTGTTTTTTTCTTGTAAATTTGTTTGAGTTCATTGTAGATTCTGGATATTAGCCCTTTGTCAGATGAGTAGGTTGCGAAAATTTTCTCCCATTTTGTAGGTTGCCTGTTCACTCTGATGGTAGTTTCTTTTGCTGTGCAGAAGCTCTTTAGTTTAATTAGATCCCATTTGTCAATTTTGGCTTTTGTTGCCATTGCTTTTGGTGTTTTAGACATGAAGTCCTTGCCCATGCAGAATCTCTGGGACACAAACAAAGCAGTGTGTAGAGGGAAATTTATAGCACTAAATGCCCACAAGAGAAAGCAGGAAAGATCCAAAATTGACACCCTAACATCACAATTAAAAGAACTAGAAAAGCAAGAGCAAACACATTCAAAAGCTAGCAGAAGGCAAGAAATAACTAAAATCAGAGCAGAACTGAAGGAAATAGAGACACAAAAAACCCTTCAAAAAATTAATGAATCCAGGAGCTGGTTTTTTGAAAGGATCAACAAAATTGATAGACCGCTAGTAAGACTAATAAAGAAGAAAAGAGAGAAGAATCAAATAGACGCAATAAAAAATAATAAAGGGGATGTCACCACTGATCCCACAGAAATACAAACTACCATCAGAGAATACTGCAAACACCTCTACACAAATAAACTAGAAAATCTAGGAGAAATGGATAAATTCCTCGACACATACACCCTCCCAAGACTAAACCAGGAAGAAGTTGACTCTCTGAATAGACCAATAACAGGCTCCGAAATTGTGGCAATAATCAATAGCTTACCAACGAAAAAGAGTCCAGGACTAGATGGATTCACAGCTGAATTCTACCAGAGGTACAAGGAAGAACTGGTACCATTCCTTCTGAAACTATTCCAATCAATAGAAAAAGAGGGAATCCTCCCTAACTCATTTTATGAGGCCAGCATCATCCTGATACCAAAGCCGGGCAGAGACACAACCAAAAAAGAGAATTTTAGACCAATATCCCTGATGAACAGTGATGCAAAAATCCTCAATAAAATACTGGCAAAACGAATCCAGCAGCACATCAAAAAGCTTATCCACCATGATCAAGTGGGCTTCATCCCTGGGATGCAAGGCTGGTTCAATATACACAAATCAATAAATGTAATGCAGCATATAAACAGAACCAAAGACAAAAACCACATGATTATCTCAATAGATGCAGAAAAGGCCTTTGACAAAATTCAACAACGCTTCATGCTAAAAACTCTCAATAAATTAGGTATAGGTGGGACATATCTCAAAATAATAAGAGCTATCTATGACAAACCCACAGCCAATATCATACTGAATGGGCAAAAACTGGAAGCATTCCCTTTGAAAACTGGCACAAGACAGGGATGCCCTCTCTCACCACTCCTTTCCAACTCACCACTCCTTTCCAACATAGTGTTGGAAGTTCTGGCCAGGGCAATTAGGCAGGAGAAGGAAATAAAGGGTATTCAATTAGGAAAAGAGGAAGTCAAATTGTCCCTGTTTGCAGATGATATGATTATATATCTAGAAAACCCCATCGTCTCAGCCCAAAATCTCCTTAAGCTGATAAGCAACTTCAGCAAAGTCTCCGGATACAAAATCAATGTGCAAAAATCACAAGCATCCTTATACACCAATAATAGACAAACAGAGAGCCAAATCATGAGTGAACTCCCATTCACAATTGCTTCAAAGAGAATAAAATACCTAGGAATCCAACTTACAAGGAATGTGAAGGACCTCTTCAAGGAGAACTACAAACCACTGCTCAATGAAATAAAAGAGGATACAAACAAATGGAGGAACATTCCATGCTCATGGGTAGGAAGAATCAATATCGTGAAAATGGCCATACTGCCCAAGGTAATTTATAGATGTAATGCCATCCCCATTAAGCTACCAATGACTTTCTTCACAGAATTGGAAAAAACTACTTTAAACTTCATATGGAACCAAAAAAGAGCCCGCATCGCCAAGTCGATCCTAAGCCAAAAGGACAAAGCTGGAGGCATCACGCTACCTGACTTCAAACTATACTACAAGGCTACAGTAACCAAAACAGCATGGTACTGGTACCAAAACAGAGATATAGATCAATGGAACAGAACAGAGCTCTCAGAAATAACACCGCATATCTACAACTATCTGATCTTTGACAAACCTGAGAAAAACAAGCAATGGGGAAAGGATTCCCTATTTAATAAATGTTGGTGGGAAAACTGGCTAGCCATATGTAGAAAGCTGAAACTGGATCCTTTCCTTACACCTTATACAAAAATTAATTCAAGATGGATTAAAGACTTAAACGTTAGACCTAAAACCATAAAAACCCTAGAAGAAAACCTAGGCATTACCATTAAGGAAGTCTTTATGATAAAGTAGATTGAGAATATGTGTCTTAAAGAGTGACCAGAATTTTCTGAGGAATCAAAGTGTAATTGAGGGAGTAGAGGTTTGATATAAGATAGGGTGTATGTTCAAAAACAAGAAAACGCTTGAGCAAAGACACAAAGCTGCATCCATATTTAAAGGACTATAAGTGGTCTGGAGTATGATAAAGTGGAGAGAAGCAATACTGGGTAAAAATCAGCCAGTGAAGAACTTGTTTATGATGAGAACATTAGAGGAGTCTGCAGAATTCATAATATAGTGGACTAGTTACGAGGCTTTCAGATCGTGTGTAATGGAATACCCAATAAAAAATGGCTTAAACGATATGAATTTATTATCTTATATAACAAGAAATCAGAGTGAAGGCAGCTGGGGTTGGGTAATTCAGCAGATCAACAGTGTCAAGGTTCTGGGTCAGTTGCTCTGTGACTCTCTTAGATTTTACTAAAGAATACCAGGAGTCTGCTCAGATCTAAGCATCACATGCCAACATGGTGCTATGAAAAGATGAGAGGCTTTCTGGTAGTGCATCTCTTTATATTTTGGAAGAGAACCTGTACAGAAGCCTTCCAACAGATTCTTCCTTGCATATTGTAGACAAAATTGGATCGCATGCCCTCTGTAAAAAAAAAAAAAAAACACAAACAAAAGGAAAAAAAAACTCTAAAATATTGTTATTGGCTATTGACCTGGGAAGGAGCCACATTTCTGGGTTATACTGCTGTGCAATTCCTAAAAAATATTGGGATATGGATAACAAGAAAGTAGACAAGAATTGGCTAAGACCCCTTAGCCATATTTCAACACAACCAAAATTCAAAAAATGATAATAAAATAAGATTTTACTATTTGTCATTGGACTTCAGTCTAATTAAGAATTTAAAAGCTCATTCAGTCAGTCAGTCATTCTCTCCATAGACATTAGTTAAGCACTAGACAAGTGCCAGGCATCATGGTAGGAGTGCTGGAGGAATCAAACAAAGCACCTAAGAACCAGGGACTTATGTTTACAATGAAACAGACAAGGTAAGGGATGTATGAGTCTACAATCCAATAACGAGAGTGGCAAATGTCTTAAGGAAGATGAATATGTGTGCTGGAGTTGGATCATGAAGACTAATAATGTCTAACTCTTCACACTTTTGCCCTAACTGCTATCCTTTGCTAGTCTGAAATTGCCCATGGTCGAAGAATTTACACCATAGAAATTGGCAAATGCTACAAATCAGAGCTTTAAAAAGTTTGTTTTCTTTCAGAGAGCCAGTCGCTAAATATTTACCAGCATACTACTAGAGGTATAAATATAATGCTAAGAGCATGTTTTCAGGAGGGAAAGATCAATTATCTTAAACATATCATCTCATCAAGCTAAACCAAATGACCAAACAAACAAATGAACCAAGTCGAATTTTAGTTGAACTATTAACTTGAGACCCTTCTAAAATGTTCCTTAGGCTTTTCATTTCTGCTCTGTGGCTCTCTACCTTTGTATGCTTGTTAGGCTGTGCTAAACGTGAAGACAAGAAGTCATGAAAATCTCCAGGAAAATCTTCACAAGAAAGTATATTCTTTCCAGGTTTCTGACCCAACTTGGCAAAACAGGTGTCCTGGATTTCAGAAAGCATATTGCTGAAGAGATGTCTTCCAGCCCTTCAGCTGCCTCTATATTTACTCTCTCTTCTACATGCAACCTCAAATTGTGAATCTATTCCATATGGCAAGATCTCTCCTAATGCTTTTCACAAACAGCTCCGAATATTATCTGCACTCCAAAAAGTCATGGCCTCTTAGGGCTTGCAAGGCCTTAAAGGTCATCTCATCCACCTCAGTCTTCAGATAGGCACACTCTTAATCCACTATCCTGGAGAAAACTGAGGTCATCTTGTTTGGAAGACATATGGTAAGGTACATAACTTGCCTTTATTAATGGATGCTTATGATTAAAAAGCCTACATAGATATGAAATTCTTCCTTTGATCAATTTAAGTCTCACATTTTAGAATTCAATCTCTTCTTTGCTGCCCAGTGGGGATTAGAAAGCAGATGGTGATCATCCATAGTGTAAGAGACATTTAGACAGATGGATCTCCTTTTTCTGAAACGTTTTGGACAAATTAAATTTTATAAATTTAATTGATTTCTATTTGGAATCTTCTCTGCATAAAAGAGAATCTGTTTGAGAGGTGAGGAATCTTCTTGTGGAGTGATTGATTATCCCCTCATTTGGGTTTGTAAACATCAGTTTTCATATATTGGGTATTCTGAAAGCAAAACCCTGTTTCTACACTTAAAAACTCATTGCAAATCATCTTTACAGGATAAATAATTCTCATTTATTTAAGCTTTCTTCATAGATATCATTTTCTTACTACTTTGTCATCTGTTTTTCTAGGTGCAAACCCATATATATAATAAATTCATGAACAATTTTGACTGAATTTATATATTATCAGTGAGAGAAAAAATAGGAAATGATTTTATAAAGGATATGACTATATCCTGACTGACCTGGTTGGTCAACTCCATTGCAACAGCCTATAAAAAATAATATTACCTAATACTCCATAGTTCTTTGTACTTTTTCTATAACCATCTTGCCAGATTCTCACAATAATTCAGAGGAAACAGCAAGAAAATATCAAATGCATTTTGTGGATGAAGAAGTTAATATGAGCACATGTAGACTAATTCACTCAGGGTCACAGAACAATTTAAAGGCATAGTCAAATTTAGAAAAGTCACTAGTATTTTTGGTGTGTCTATTATATGTCACATACTGTACTCAGGAGCTCATTCATTTTCACAAAAAGTCTATGAATTATTATTATTTACATTTTTACAAATTGAGAAATGGAGGCTTAGAGATGTAAAACAATATTTTCATGTTTGCATAGCTAATGTATAAGAGAACCAGCAGTCAAACCTAGGTCTGCCTGACTCCAAGGTATGGAACCGGCAGGTACAGTGTGACTTAGGAGCCAGCAGTTCTGGCAGCATCTCCCTTAACACGAAATTACAGCTTAAGTGATGTGTTTTTAGTGTCGACGTTGCTATGGAAACCCTCAGGTGCCTGCATGAAGGATAATGTAGTGAGATCCTGGTACCAGCAGTTGGCCTAGTGGATTCCTGATATTCCAGATTCCTGATAATAGAAGAGGTAACAGTTCTTATGGAAGGCAAATTTTAGAGTGATTTTGGAGAATCATTCCTGTAGTCCTGCCTTTTCAACAACGTCTTAAGCTCCTACTTTAAAGTATTGAATAACTTTCTGTTTCAAATAGAGTGGTCTCTGTTATTTGCAACTGAGCTCTAATTGTTAACATATCTAATATTATTTTTACTTGTACACTTGGGCAAGGCCTCCAAAATGCTTTCACCTTCCCACATTAGTGAAACTAGAATATTGTTTTATGCTTTGGCTCTCATTTGATTTGAATATGAAAGGAATATTTACTCTTGATTTCTGTAGTTTTGAGTCAATATAATGTAGATGATTAAAGGATTGTCTAAAAAGGCAACACCAGGAAGAAGGATCCCTGAGGCCATATTGAAGACCTGGAATTATCAGATATGGCTAAATCTAGCAGCATTGCCGGTAGAAAGTCAGAAATTATTTGTAGAGAAGAGCTAATGCTATAGCCAGGAAGATAACAGCTTGGAGCTGATCTATAGAATAAAGTATAGAGATGAGGAAATGAGGGCCAAAACTGGTGGATGGGATAGTCGAATTCTAAATGAGATGATGAATGGGGCGTGAATTAAGACAATTGCTTAGAAATGTCAAAAGATGCTTACTGAGCACGTATTGAACAACATACTAGGTGCTGAGGATAAAGCAGGGAAAAATGCAAAGTCCATCATTATTTCTATGAACTAATAGTCTAGCAATAGACATCTATTCCTAATGGCTAAATTAGCTGCTAAATCTCAGAATCTTTTTAGTCACATGCTAACCAACCACTCTATTTCCATGCTCTGAATTTGCAATGTTGAATCACACTTCATTTATCTTCATTTATGTTTTCAATATTCTGGAATTCAGAAGAACTCTGATTTTCTCTTTTAGCATGTTGCCCAAATTATACTCTGATGTTAATAAGAGTCATCTCTAAGCTAATAAACAGATTCAAAATCCAGTTAATATCATGGAGCAGACAAAGGTGGGCTAACCCTTTTCAACTACCTTCCAACTCCATATGAAAAGTAGAAAGTATAGATAGACTATAAACAATAAATTCAAAATATATGAATAATATTGGGTATCTAAAACTAGGAGCTGGGATTTCAACATCTTTATAAACTTATAGGCTCTCATGCACAATGTGAAGTTGAGTCTGGCTTTCTTCTGTGTGCTAGTAATGAATTGTCCCATGTGAGTGTTTATATCTAGAAAAATTCCATTTACCTGTTCAGATGTCTGGAAACTTAACCTGTGAATGAAAAATGAATCACCTATTAAATTTCAGAACCCCAAACCTATGCAGTGTATGGATGAAAAGTCCGAATTTATACTATTCATACTAGATAAAATCCCATCTGAGAAATCACTGAAGAAACATATAAAGCCTAGAAAATCCATTATACCAGGTAGAATCAAGTAAAAATCCATCCATAATTATATTTCCATAACCCGAAGCACATTTGTGAAAACTGATCAAGAAAATTATCAGTGAAAAATAGTTTATGGTTTATAAAAATGGTAAAGAATATGAGGAAACATACTGCCATAAATGAGAATTAGCAAATCGAATATGTGGAAAGAACTTTAACCCAGGTATCTGGAAATAATAAAATACATAGAAAGGGGCCTCAAAGTAAATATTTCAATTATGTTCAAATATATTAAGAAGGAAAGATGTGATCAATAGAGGAAACTGGCTTAGGGATATAGAGGACCTCTTTGTACTATCTTTACAATTTTTCCATAAGCTTAAAACTATTGGACAATTAAAAATGTTTTCCGAAAAAAGAATGAGGCAAGTCCTACAGACAAGAATAAGTCAATGAAACAAAAGCACAAGTAGGTTAGAAAAGCAAAATTAAAATTCTAGAAATAAAAATTAAAATAATTAAAATTAAAAATTAATTGAACTATAGACAGTTGAATTAGTAAATCTGAAAATAGATCTGAGAAAGTATCAGAAATAGAAGAAAATACACAAAATACGAAGGACATATTAAGAAACATGGAGGGAAGAAAAGGAAGCTGCAACATAAATGAGTTAATTAAGAATTCCAGAAAAGGAGAATAAAGAGAATGGGAAAAGACTAGAAAAAAGTAAAATGCGGCCGGGCGCAGTGGCTCACACCTGTAATCCCAGCACTTTGGGAGGCCGAGGTGGGCGGGTCACCTGAGGTCAGGAGTTCAAGACCATCCTGGCAAGCATGGTGAAAACCTGTGTCTACCAAAAAATACAAAAAATATCTGGGCATGGTGGCGGGTTCCTGTAGTCCCAGCTACTCAGGAGGGTGAGGCAGGAGAATCGCTTGAACCCAGGAACTGGACGTTACAGTGAGCCAAGATCACACCACTGCACTATAGCCTAGACAAAAAGAGTGAAACTCTGTCTCAATAAATAAATAAATAAATAAAATACAAGTCATAATACATGAAACAGAAGAGAAGAATTTAAATAGAAGATGACCTTAAGTTCCTTGTCTTATTTGGGAAGATATAGCTACAAAGACTCCTAGTTGCTTACTTCATATCCATTTTTCCATTTATTTATTTATTTATTTATTTATTATTATTTTTTAAATTATATTTTAAGTTTTAGGGTACATGTGCACATTGTGCAGGTTAGTTACATATGTATACGTGAGCCATGCTGGTGCGCTGCACCCACTAACTCGTCATCTAGCATTAGGTGTATCTCCCAATGCTATCCCTCCCCCCTCCCCCGACCCCATCACAGTCGCCAGAGTGTGATATTCCCCTTCCTGTGTCCATGTGATTTCATTGTTCAATTCCCACCTATGAGTGAGAATATGCGGTGTTTGGTTTTTTGTTCTTGCGATAGTTTACTGAGAATGATGATTTCCAATTTCATCCATGTCCCTACAAAGGACATGAACTCATCATTTTTTATGGCTGCATAGTATTCCAGGGTGTATATGTGCCACATTTTCTTAATCCAGTCTATCATTGTTGGACATTTGGGTTGGTTCCAAGTCTTTGCTATTGTGAATAATGCCGCAATAAACATACGTGTGCATGTGTCTTTATAGCAGCATGATTTATAGTCATTTGGGTATATACCCAGTAATGGGATGGCTGGGTCAAATGGTATTTCTAGTTCTAGATCCCTGAGGAATCGCCACACTGACTTCCACAATGGTTGAACTAGTTTACAGTCCCACCAACAGTGTAAAAGTGTTCCTATTTCTCCACATCCTCTCCAACAACTGTTGTTTCCTGACTTTTCAATGATTGCCATTCTAACTGGTGTGAGATGGTATCTCATTGTGGTTTTGATTTGCATTTCTCTGATGGCCAGTGATGGTGAGCATTTTTTCATGTGTTTTTTGGCTACATAAATGTCTTCTTTTGAGAAGTGTCTGTTCATGTCCTTCACCCACCTTTTGATGGGGTTGTTTGTTTTTTTCTTGTAAATTTGTTTGAGTTCATTGTAGATTCTGGATATTAGCCCTTTGTCAGATGAGTAGGTTGCGAAAATTTTCTCCCATTTTGTAGGTTGCCTGTTCACTCTGATGGTAGTTTCTTTTGCTGTGCAGAAGCTCTTTAGTTTAATTAGATCCCATTTGTCAATTTTGTCTTTTGTTGCCATTGCTTTTGGTGTTTTAGGTGTGAAGTCCTTGCCCATGCCTATGTCCTGAATGGTAATGCCTAGGTTTTCTTCTAGGGTTTTTATGGTTTTAGGTCTAACGTTTAAGTCTTTAATCCATCTTGAATTGATTTTTGTATAAGATGTAAGGAAGGGATCCAGTTTCAGCTTTCTACATATGGCTAGCCAGTTTTCCCACCAACATTTATTAAATAGGGAATCCTTTCCCCATTGCTTGTTTTTCTCAGGTTTGTCAAAGATCAGATAGTTGTAGATATGCGGTGTTATTTCTGAGAGCTCTGTTCTGTTCCATTGATCTATATCTCTGTTTTGGTACCAGTACCATGCTGTTTTGGTTACTGTAGCCTTGTAGTATAGTTTGAAGTCAGGTAGCATGATGCCTCCAGCTTTGTTCTTTTGGCTTATGATTGACTTGGCGATGCGGGCTCTTTTTTGGTTCCATATGAAGTTTAAAGTAGTTTTTTCCAATTCTGTGAAGAAAGTCATTGGTAGCTTAATGGGGATGGCATTACATCTATAAATTACCTTGGGCAGTATGGCCATTTTCATGATATTGATTCTTCCTACCCATGAGCATGGAATGTTCCTCCATTTGTTTGTATCCTCTTTTATTTCATTGAGCAGTGGTTTGTAGTTCTCCTTGAAGAGGTCCTTCACATCCCTTGTAAGTTGGATTCCTAGGTATTTTATTCTCTTTGAAGCAATTGTGAATGGGAGTTCACTCATGATTTGGCTCTCTGTTTGTCTGTTATTGGTGTATAAGAAGTTGAATCTCTGAATAGACCAATAACAGGATCTGAAATTGTGGCAATAATCAATAGTTTACCAACGAAAAAGAGTCCAGGACCAGATGGATTCACAGCTGAATTCTACCAGAGGTACAAGGAGGAACTGGTACCATTCCTTCTGAAACTATTCCAATCAATAGAAAAAGAAGGAATCCTCCCTAACTCATTTTATGAGGCCAGCATCATTCTGATACCAAAGCCGGGCAGAGACACAACCAAAAAAGAGAATTTTAGACCTATATCCTTGATGAACATTGATGCAAAAATCCTCAATAAAATACTGGCAAACCGAATCCAGCAGCACATCAAAAAGCTTATCCATCATGATCAAGTGGGCTTCATCCCTGGGATGCAAGGCTGGTTCAATATATGCAAATCAATAAATGTAATCCAGCATATAAACAGAGCCAAAGACAAAAACCACATGATTATCTCAATAGATGCAGAAAAAGCCTTTGACAAAATTCAACAATGCTTCATGCTAAAAACTCTCAATAAATTAGGTATTGATGGGACGTATTTCAAAATAATAAGAGCTATCTATGACAAAGCCACAGCCAATATCATACTGAATGGGAAAAAGCTGGAAGCATTCCCTTTGAAAACTGGCACAAGACAGGGATGCCGTCTCTCACCACTCCTATTCAACATAGTGTTGGAAGTTCTGGCCAGGGCAATTAGGCAAGAGAAGGAAATAAAGGGTATTCAATTAGGAAAAGAGGAAGTCAAATTGTCCCTGTTTGCAGACGACATGATTGTATATCTAGAAAACCCCATTGTCTCAGCCCAAAATCTCCTTAAGTTGATAAGCAACTTCAGCAAAGTCTCAGGATACAAAATCAATGTACAAAAACCATTTTTCCATTTTTATTAGTTAAATAAAATATGTTGAGATTGGCAACATGACCAAAGTTTCATATTTCCTACTGGCCTCTTACGGCTGGGTGAACTTATAAATTAATACCTTGTCAATGAGAAATGAATATTTTGTGTGAAATATTCATAAAGGTTTCTTAAGGGGATATGATTCAGTTGTATGGAAAATCACTTTTTTGCCTTCACCTCCTCCTCCTTATTCATAGAATGTTGGTATAATAGCTCGAGTCCCAGCAGCCACATTGGGTGATAAACTGATCTTAAAGGTGGAAATTATACCCTAGGAAGACGGGACAGAATAAAAAAAAATAGTCTGGGTACTCAGTAACCATGAATCTTCCACATCAGCTCTATAAGGACCACTTCCAAAATTATTTCATGAGACAGATTGATATGGTTAGGCTTTGTATCCTCACCCAAATCTCAACTTGAATTGTAATCCCCATAACCCTCATGTGTCTAGGGAGAGACCTGGTGGAAGGTGACTGGATCATGGGGGCGGTTCCGCCCATGCTGTTCTTATGTTGGTGAGTGAGTTCCCAGAAGATCTGATGGTTTTATAAGGGGCTCTTCCCTTCGCTCTCACTCTTCTCTCTCCTGTGAGAAGGTCCTTGCTCCCCCTTCACCTTCTGTCATGATTGTAAGTTTCCTGAGGCCTCCCTGAGCTATGTGGAACTGTGAGTCAATTAAACCTCTATCCTTTATAAATTCCCTAGTCTCAGGTATTTCTTTATAGTTGTGTGAAAACGGGCAGAGATATAAACCCTTGTGTTTAAACTGCTGCTAGTTTGGGTTTTCTCTCATATGCACCCAAGCATAAACTTAACTGATACATAGAGAAGGGAAGGACAGATTAGCTTTAGAATTTTAAATATACCTGTATAGAGGGAACCACTAAAATTGTAGAAATAGTATGCAAAACTTCTAAACCAGAACTGACATAAAAATGCTGCTGGGAGGGGGGGTGTTGGAGTATTAATTATTTAAAGAAAAATTAGGAAAAGAGAAAAAGTGGCTCTTGTAATTATAAAGACATTTAGGTCAAATATGCATGTAAAGAGTTCTAATAAAATTGTTTCACAAAATGTAAGCATGGAAAAAGCCATATATGTAAATCATACTATTATTTTATATAATACATAATTTGAAAATATGTACATAATCAAATTTATAAATTAAATCTCATACTGCCAATAAAAACACAAAAAGCCAAGTCAGCCCCACTTGTTATTATAGTTCAGGACCCAGCTCATTTCTCCTTCAAACTCATTCCTCTGCCATTACCATCCCTGGCTTTGAACTCTCCACTCATTTTCTTACTTAATTTTAATTTCTCTTTGAACTCATTGATTAATATGAGTTATTTTGCCTTGACTCTTGGCACTCTGAAGTCTTTGGTTTGCAGCTAAATGTATGGATCACCCAATTTTTTTCAAGATCTACAATTTTATATTGTTTCTAGAATTTATGCTTTCAGCCAACAATACTCAAGGATATAGGCCTTGGAGATAAGTATTCCATTTCTATTGAGTTATAATGGCACTAAAAGAAACGGGCTTTGGAATCAGACTAATTTAAATTTCAATCCAAAACTATGCATAAGGCACATGTTAAGAGGTTAAGAATAAAGGCTGCCTAATAAAAATGTGGTAAAAAGACATTAGCAGGTAATTACTAAATATGATATAAAAAGAACATAGATAGATGATAGATAGATAGATAGATAGATAGATAGATAGATAGATAGATGTTTAATCTTACTAGAGATTTTTAAAACTGTAAATTGAAGTAAGACAGGTAATCTTTTACCCTCTCAGATTGGCAAAGGTTATAAGGCGTGATTGAATTCTGTTTTGGCAAGGTACAGAATAGGCTCTTTATACGCTGGTAGATAGCAGCTAGCTTTTTACTGCAGATGATCCTTTTCTTCTAAGTCAACAGCAGGGCCATGTTTCTCTATTTGCACATAGATGTTTTGAATAATGACACGTGGCGGAAGTGATATATAACATCCCCTGCCCTCCACCCACTCCATCCCTCCCACATTGTATTAGTCCATTTTCATGCTGCTAATAAAGACATACCCGACTGGGTAATTTATAAAGGAAAGAGGTTTAATTGACTCACAGTTCAGCATGGCTGGGGAAGCCTCAGGAAACTTACAATCATGATGGAAAGGGAAGCAAACACGTCCTTCTTTACATGTGGCAGTAAGGAGAAGTGCTGAGCTAAAGGGGAAAAAGCCCCTCATAAAACCATCAGATCCTGTGATAACTCACTATCATGAGAACAGCATGAAAGTAACCACCCCCATGATTAAATTACCTCCCACTGGGTCCCTCCCATGACATGTGGGGATTATGGGAACTATAATTCAATATGAGATTTGGGTGGGGACACAGCCAGACCATATTGTACACGTACATATACTATCCGCTTTTTCCTTCCCTGTTGGCTGGATTTAGAAATTCGGGGAGACTTTGATGCCATATATGGAAGTTGCCAGGCTCTATCCACTTGGGTCTCTCACTGACTGCATGGGTCCCACTATGCAATTCACCACCAAATGAAGTTTATATGATTAAGAAATAAATTTCTTTTTTCTTAGGCCACTAAGATTTGGGCTTATCAGTTTAAGCACCTTACATTGCCTTAACCAATGCATATACCATGAAAGGAAGCATGAATTTATAGAAAATATAAAGGGCAGTCTGGTAAAGTGCACATAATTTTACCCATGAATTTCACATTTAGATATCCATATAAGGAAAAAAATCAGATAAATGTAAAAAATATATGTATAAGGCTATTCCTTTAGGTATTGTGTTTATAATAGCAAAAAGAAAAAAGGAAAATAATTTAAATCTCATAGAGAATTGATGAATATGTCATTGCATTCATGTAATGGGTATTTTTTCATTCATTTATTTAGCAAATATTTAGTATATGTCATGTGACATCACTGTGATGGATACCAGGGAGCATATCAGTGAAAAAAGATAAGGCACCCATCAGTGTGAAACCTATTATTTAAGAAATTATACAGACATTTATGATGTAATTTTAAATTTGAATTATAGCAAGTTGTTGTAAAGGAAAAATATGGAATGCTATGAAAGCATATAATGTAAAATGTGTAACTTGTGCTGTTGGCCAGGAAAAGTTTCCTAAATTAACAGACATGACATAAAATATAGCATAGCTGGATAAAAATTACCTCTGATTTTCCCAATAATAATATTCCCTACCCTCCATCAACCAAAATATCTTTTAATTTACTCGAATATGTAAACTTGAATATATAATCAAAAGTTTACTTTTATTATTTCATTCATCAATTTATATAATCACCTATATTACAATGTATTAGGCAAAATAATAAGCAACATCAGAAATATGGCTTTGTTGCATTTGATCTTCATGGAATATCAGACTGCCTGGCATTGAATCCTAACTCTGTCTCTTAATAGTTGTGACTTTGAACAACTTTCCTCACCTGTAAAATGGTGATAATAATAGTTACTATCATAAAATTGAGTCATGATTTAGCTCTTAAAAATACATATTTAGAACAATTGCATGGCATATAGTAAGTGCCAAGTAAGTCTTAGCCATGACAATTCCTTTCTGTCTGTGCATCTTATGTTCTAATCTCGATTATCAATAGTGACATATGAAATCAGGTAACAAGCATCTTCATTTTTGCCTAAATCATTTGAGATTATTTTACAAGTTTAAGAGGCTGTCGGTTCAATTTTCATCTCAAGTAATAAATATTCATTTGCATAACATTTAGCTAGTTTTAGTTCATTTATCCTGCAAGGTTACAGTCATTATCTGTACAATAACGCAACTTACTGTAGTGCTCTGTCTCTTTTCTATCTTCCTTCCTCCGTCTCTACCATATTCCCTTTCCATTTTTCTAAATGCGATGTTCATTTTTATCAAAGAAGACCTATTTATTGCATCTAAAAGTAAATATTTTGAACGAATATTTTAAAGCAGAAGCTCATGCTTCATGTCCCTTTGGTCTTCAATACCACTCTCAGGCTACTGTTACCCTCAATTTATTCCCCAGATTAACTCCTCACCTAAATTTTAATTTATTTTGCAGTTTTATTCTCTATTTTATATTCAGCTTCTTACTTCTAATAACATGCTTATATTGCTTTTCTATCTTTTTCTTCACTTTAGACATTATTTTTTGACTTTACTACTGAAGATAACATTTTAGCTCTTTTACAACCTGTCCCACCTATCCTACATTTATTCTATTTGCATTCTCCTATGATGCATAGTTCTGAACAGTTTTAAGTAAATAGCCAATTTTACATGGCCATACAATTATTGTTCATATCTGAACCATGTATAAAATTAAAATTACTTTTTCTGTGTTGCACAAATCAAAACTTTTTCTTGGAGTTAATAGTTAAATTATATTTTTATTTCCTTGGTTTCACTGATGATAAGTCCTTAAATTAAACCTAAGCCTTCACCAAAATGATGATACTTATTTTAAGTACCCCAGGTAATTGATTGGTCAGTTTATTAATCAAAGATTCCAATTTGAATTGGTTCAGCCTACAATTAGTGATAGCTGTCAGACACACACAAGTGTAATACCCCTTCCCATCTTGTACTCAAGAGAGTATAAATTGTACTTTTCGGAATTTTGCCTAACCCAAGGTCACAAAGATTTTATAAATGTCTTCATTTAGAAGTTTATCACTTTAACATTTAGGTCTATGATTCATTTTGAGTTAATTTATAAATACAGTATGAGGTAAATATCATGGCACATTATTTTTCCATATGGATATCTAGTTGTTTCAGCACTGTTTGTTGAAATTACTGTCATTTCCCTATTGAATTGCTTTAAAAACCAAATGATCACATATGTCTTTATTAAAGTCAGTTGGTCATATATGTATGTGTGTGTGTGTGTATGTTTGTGTGTTTGTATAAGTCTGTTTCTGGACTCTATTTTCTATTCCATTGATTCACATATATATTTATTTGCCAATACTATACTGTCTTGATTATTGTAGCTTTCTGGTAGTAAGTCTTGAAATTACGTAGTGTAATTCTTGCAACCACTCTTCAAAAATGGTTATGGCTATTCTGGATTGTAGACATTTCCAAATATATTTTGAAATTATTTTGTCAATTTCTACCAAAAACAGTCTGGGGTTTGATTAATATTGAATTGTAGCTAAGTAATAAATTGATGAGAGTTGAGATCTTAATAACATTAATTTTGTTCAATCTAGGAATATGGAATATATCTGTGTATTATTTAGTTCTTTTTTTATTTTCTCTAATTTATGTTTTATAGCTTCAGTGTGCATGTCTTATATAGTATAAAGCATATTTTGTGAAGCTTATTTCCAAGTACTTAATATTTTTCTATGCCACTTGTAAACTGAATTTAAAATTCTTATTTTGTAATTGTTTGTTGCCAGGATATATAAATATAATTAATTGTGTATATTGACCTTATATCTTATAACCATACTAAATTCATTTATTAGTTCTAGTAACTTTTTGCAGATTATTGAGGGTTTTCTATATACATGCTTACATTATGTTAGATATATTTTTTTATATTTTGTGTTGAATTCCATGTGAATAGAGGGGAAAAATAAAATAAAATTAGATGAAGTACAACTAAATCCCAGGACATAATCTATGAAGCAAACATAAGAAAACTGAAAGCTGAAAAGAAGAAGACAGACTGGCTAGGGACCTCAGGATCCAAGGAATTGGACAATGGTGAGTTCCTTGAGTTTTTTTTTGGCATCATATATTCCAGACTGGAAACTGAAGAAGCTAGAAAGCTACAAATGCCAATGGATGCAGACAAAAAAAATATATCTTCATCAAAAGCTTTCTTTCTATAGATAGGGTCTAGAAAAGGGGCCGCACAGTGAGATAAAAACCTCTTAGACAATAATTGCACTACTTACTCAAACACTGGAGAAAACCGTGTGACCACTTCTACTCACACAAACAAAGGCCAAGTAGGGAACCTAGATTTTCATTCTTAACAGGATATAAAGAGAGGCCCCAATCCCACCACTGGGTTGGTGTCAGAGAAGTCTGAGTAGGGAGTTGATACTTTCATCATGCTGGGCAGAAAAGGGCTCTCCCCATCCTGCAGTTTTAGTGGATATAATCTGGAAGGCCTGGACTTAAACTCTACTTGTCAGTAACAAGGCACCCCTCCTCATACATACTGGGGTGTATCAGAGAATGACTAGTGGAAAGTCAGGATTTTTATCACCTCTCAGAGGTAACAAACACAACCACACATAGACACGCACACACACACACACACTCAGTGTTAATGGTGACCACATGGGAAGTAATATGACACTTCTCTCCCTCATATGCATCATGGAATCAGTGAAGTCTTAGCGGGGAGCCAAAATTCCCACCCATACCCACTAACCCCACCTTGGTGTTAATGAAGGCTGAGTGGGGAACTCATATTTCTCCTCCATCTGGCAGTGGTGAAGTAGCATCATTTTTGCCCCTGACAGAGCAGTGTCAGAAGAAGTCAGATAAAATAGAACTTTTAAATAAGATCCAGAATTCCATAGTATAATATCAAAAATGTCCAGGTTTCATGCAAAAATCACTCATCAAACCAAAATAAAGAAAAATGTCAACTTGACTGGAAAAAGATAATAAGTGTCAAAATTGAGGGACAGATAAGTTAGAATTATCTAACAAAGATTTAAAGCAGTCATAATAAAAATGCTTAAATGAGCATGTAAGAGCATGTTTGAAAAAAATTTTAAAGGTAAAATGTGTCAACAAGAAAATAGGTGATGTAAATAATAACCAAATGGAAATTTTAGAACTGAAAAACACAGTATCTGAAATGTAAAAGCTCAATGGATAAACTCAAAAGAAGAATCAAGAGGACAGAGGAAAGAATCAGTGAATTTAAAGACAGAAAGTGTGAATTACTCTATCTTAACAGAAAAACAAAGCCACATCCTGGGAAACTGGTGTAACTCTAACAATAACAACAAAAATCTAATGGTTGTGTCATCCAGAGTCACAAAAAAATAAGGCCAAGCTGAAAAAATATTTGAAGAAGTAATAACATAAATGTTCCTAAATTTGACAAAAGACCTCAACCTACATAATCAAGAGTTGAGTAAACAGGAAAAGAAAAAAAGAAACAAAGAAAGATATAGCAGGACACTTTGTGCTCAAACTTCTAAGAACTGAAAAGAAAGAAAAAATCTGGAAAGCAATGAGAAAGAAATATGTTTGTAAAAACGACTTGAATGAAAATGGATTTGTCATCAGAAATCATGGATGCCAGATAGAAGTGGCACAGCATTTTTCAAGTGCTGAATGAAAAGAACGGCAAACTCACAATTCTGTACCCAGCAAAGATATCCCTCAAGAAAGAAGAAGTCAATGTATCTGCAGATTAAGGAAAACTAAGAGAATTTGTTTCCATCAGACCTAACTTTAAAAATGGCTAGAGAAGTTTCTTAAACAGAAAGAAAATGATAAAATAATAAATATTAGAAAATCAAGAAGAAAGAAAGAACAACAGAAAGAGTAAAAATATTGGTAAATACGATATGTTTTATTTCTCCTGTTGAGTTTTCTAAACTATATTTGACATTGGAAGCAAAAATGATAACATTAATGTGTTTCTAAATGTATGTAGGAGAAGAATTTCAAGTAATTATAACTTGGGAATGGTAGAGATGTAAAGGGAGGTAAGGATTTTTACACTTTTCTTGAACTGATGAAATGTAAAAAACAGTAAACAGTGATGTATTATGTATGTATATGATACAATGTAATGTCGATAGCCGTACTTTAAGAACCTATACAGAAGGATACACTCAAAACCCCTATCAAAATTTAGAAAAATAGAATTATAAAAAAAGTTTAAATAACCTGTAGGAAGTCAGGAAAAAGAAAAGCACAAAACAAAACAAATAAGAGAAAGAGAACCAACAGAAAAATAAAATAAAATAAAATGGCAGACCTAAGCCTGATTATATCAATAATTAAATTAAGCGTGAACTGTCTACACACACTAATTAAAAGACAAAAATTGGCATTGTGAATGCACTGTGATGTTCATTGCAGCACTATTCACAATAGCGAAGACATTAACTCAATCTAGATGCCCATCAACAGTGGACTGGATAAATAAAATGTTGTACATATATACCATGTAATACTATGCAGTCATTAAAAAAGAACAAAATCATGTTGTTTGCAGCCACATGGATGCAGCTGGAGGCCATTATCCTAAGTGAATTAATGCAGGAACAGAAAACCAAATACAAATACCACATGTTCTCACTTCATAAGTGGGAGCTAAACATTGCATGCACATGGACATAAAGATGGGAACAATAGACACTGAGCACTGAGGACTACTAGAGCAGGGAGACTGTGAGGAGGGTGAGGGTTGAAAACTACCTATCACGTACAATGCTCACTACCCGGGTGATGGGATTATTCATACACAAAACCTCAGCAACACACAATTTATCCATGTAACAAACCTGCACATGTACCCTGAACCTAAAAGTTGAGAAAAAGTAAATAAATAAAATAAAATAACAAAAAAATAAACCAATTATATATGTCTGCAGAAATTCACTTCAAAATTAACTAAAGTAGCTTTGCATGAAAAAATATATTCATCCAAACATTAATCAAAATAAAATAGGAATGGCTATGTTAATGTCAAATAAAGCAGCCTTCAGAAGCAAAGAAAATTAGTAGAGACAAAGTAGGGCATTACATAATGATAGAAAGGGTCAATCCACCAAGAAGGCATGGTAATCTTAAATTTGTATGCACCAATGCACAAGCAATAGAGCTGTAAAATATGTGAAGCGAAACTGATAAAACTGAAAGGAGAAACAGACAAATCCGCAATTACAGTTGGAGACTTCGCCCCTCTCTCAGCAATTGCTGGAACTAGACAGAAAAAGAGAAAAAATATAGAACTTGGCATCATCAACCAAGTGAATCTGTAAACATTTACGAAACATTCTACCTAACAATAGCAGAATACACTTTTTTTTAAGTGCCCATAGAATATATAAAAAAACAGACCATATCCTGGGCCCTAAAATAAACCTAGGGAAATTTAACAGAATTGAAATGATGCAGAGTTTGTTCTTAAACCACAGTGGAATCAAGTTGGAAAACAGCAACAGATAGATAACAGAAAATCTCCAAACACCTCACACTTAAACAATACATTTCTAAATAATCCAAAGGTTAAAAGGGATGTCTCAAAAGAAATTTAAAAATACATTGAGCTGAATGAAAATAAAAACACAACATTTGAAAACTTGTGTGACACGATTAAAGCAATTGAGAAGAAAATGTTTTATGTTAGAAAAGACAAAAAAATCAAAATTCTATGATTTCAGACTGAGAACCTATAAAAAGAACAAAATTAACCCAAAGCAAGAAGAAAGGGAATAATAAAGGTAAGAGCAGAAATCAATGAAATTGAAACAGAAAATCAATAAAAGAAAAAGCCGGTACATTGAAAATATCAATAAAACAGACAAGCCTCTAGCAAGACTGACAAAAAAGATAGAGGATGCAAATTACTAACATCAGGAATGAAACAGGGGTTATCACTACAGACTCTGAGCATATCAAAAGGATAATAAGGAAACACTGTGAACAATTTATAGGTAAATGTGACAACCTAAATGAAATAAACCAGTTTCTCAAAAGTCACAAACTATTACAAACTACCTTACATAAGCTAGGTAATTGGAATAGCCATTTCACTATTAAGAAAATTGTATGCATAATTTAAAAAATCCCTCTACCCACTCCAAAAATCCTCAGGCTTACATGGTTTTACTAGAAAATCCTGTCAAACTTTTAAAGAGTTCAATTCTACACAATCTCTTTCTTTCATAAAATTAAACAAGCGGGGACACTCTCAAACTCATTTTATGCAGCTACTATTTTCCCGATACCAAGACAAAACAAAGGCAATACGATAAAGGAAACTACAGAATGATATTCCACATGAACATAGACACAAAAATCTTTACCCATAAAATAGAAATCAGCTATCTATATTTTTAAAAACTATATACCGTGACCAAGTAGGGCATGTTGCAGGGATTCAAAGCTGGTTCAAGACTCAAAAATAAGTTATACTACACTATTCTAATTTCTTCTGACATTGAATTTGGGGTTTCTTTGTTTGTCTGTTTTCTAGTTACTAGTTTGTTAATCTGGAAGACTTCTATATTGGTTTTAGAAGGGCCTTTATCTGTGATGTGTTACATAATTGCTCACCTATCCAAGAGTTAGGTTTTTATCTACCCACAAATTTAGATACTCCAAAGGTCAATATAAGAACTAAAGACAAACCAAACTAAACAGAACAAAAAACTTAAAGACAAAAAAAGGTGACTTTATATATCAAAAATTTGTTCCGTTATGCAGGATAATTTTTAAGAAAAACACCGACCAACTGAATTACATTGAGCTGAGGACAACCAGGAGGGTAGTTTGTGACTTATATCTCATGGAGTACATTAAAGGAAACAGATACTGAATTTAAAAAACAGGATATCCAAGGAAGGCATGAGAGATGTCCTCAGACAACAGAAAGGTGCTTGAGTAGAAGGCAAGTGTTTTGTGTTCCGGCGTCCATACTAAAACAAGTGACTGCAAGTGAAAAAGAAAGCTATTTCCTATAAATACGGAAAAATTTTTCTAACAATTAGAGCTGACAAAAACTTTTTTTTATGAATTAGTGAGTCTTGTATCTGCAAAAGTACTTGAGAAAATTCTGGGAAAGCACAAACAGAGATATTATAGTGGGGCTCCCTGTATGGGTGGGAGATTGAGCTAGCTGATACCCTAAGATCCCTTCCAACACAGATTCTGTGATCTTAAGGGAGCAAGGAATGGGCTGAGTTATTTTGATTTTCACTGAGTAGAGAAATCTTAAGCCCTATTTCTAGCCTAAATTGTCCTGTTGCTTGGCTTAAATGGTTTCAATTAGCTAATGTAGTG
The DNA here is from genome assembly GCF_000001405.40 of Homo sapiens. Taxonomy (NCBI): domain Eukaryota; kingdom Metazoa; phylum Chordata; class Mammalia; order Primates; family Hominidae; genus Homo; species Homo sapiens. The sequence goes on along the minus strand of NC_000001.11, from coordinate 60,196,998 downwards.
ACGAGATTTAAATGATAAATGTTCACATTAACAAGATTCGAGATATGATCTTGACAGTCCTGCTAGACCGCTCTGCCGAAAAGCACTTCAGGAGCCCTACAAATAGCTCTCATTACTTTTCTCCGTTTTAAAATGATGTTTATTTTAATTTCTCAGAACTCTGGGTCCTATAATTACCTAAGGTTTATACGGCAGTGAACAACTAATTAGTCTATTTTTTTAAGGCAGATGATTCATATTCAGTAATATATCCAACGCTTGCCTCTGGTGCTAACCCAAGTCCTGGAGTTCTTCCTTAAATTGCAGTTGATCTTTGAACAACACAGGTCTGAACTGTGCAGGTTCAGTTACACACAAATATTCTTCCACCTCCACCACCTCTAATGCAGCAAGACTAGTCGCTCCTCTTTCTCCTCTTTCTCAGCCTACTTAATGTGAAGACAATGAGTATGAAGACCTTTGATGACCAACATCTACTTAATGCATTATAAATATATTTTCTCTTCCTTATGATTTTTTAAATAACATTTTCTTTTCTCTGGCTTACTTTATTCTAAGAATTCAGTATATAATACATGTAACACACAAAATATGTGTCAACTGTGTTATTGATGAGGCTTCTGGTCAACAGTAGGCTATTAGTTGTTAAGTCTTGGTACAGTCAAAACTTATGTATGCCTCCTAACTCCCACATTGTTCAAGGGTTGACTGTACAGTGCCTAACCTGTATGATACTGATTCATGTAGTATTTCTTCCTCTACTTCCTCTGATCTGCCAGGTTTAATCAGTGCCGCAATCACCACAGAGAGGGGCTGAGGTCCCAGTTCAAGAGCTGATGTGGAGAGATTGGTTTTGATCAGCTTTCAGTTACTAGTCTCAGAGGAAACACAGCCAAATGTTAACCCCACACCTTCTGATATGTAGCTTAGATTCAAATAAAAGTCAAAATAAGACTAGTGTATATTCTAAATTAACTGAATTGAATTTAATTTACTTCTCACAAAAGAAATGATTAACTATCATTTTCATTACATAGATGTGAACACTGATGTTCACAGGGTTACATAACCTGTATCTGAACACATTGTTAAAAAGAAGCAAAGCTAAAATTCGAACCCAGGTATGTCTAACTCAAAGTACACATCTCTGGAAATCTATTGAATTCCAGAATTATGGCAAGGCAGAAATAAAAGAGAAATAAAACTTTTTAATTCTCATGAATTGCCTTTGGCACCACATTGTGTGTGAGTGTAGATATGCAGGTACATGTTTTTCCATTGGAAGCAATAATATCACTGCTGTGGTATACTTTTTGTGGTAACACACTCATGTTTCTAATTCTTTATATTAATACCATTATCCTCACCACCTATTTTGTTTTATTTTGTTTTTGCACTTCAAGAACAACGTAAAATCAGAGCTCTGATTCAGAATATTTCCTTCATTGCTTATCTGGCTAAAGATCTGAAACCATGCTCAGCTGATGTAAACCATCTCCAAGACAATGCCTTGACTATTTCTCTCTTTGTTGAAATATTTTTATAAATTGGGCAGAGGAAAAGTCAATAGAAACAAATACCTGATTTACACATCTCTTAATTCTTATTCCTCAGTTTACCAACCAGTTATCATAAGGGTCAGCGGTAGAAATGCCCTTTAAGAGCAGAGGAAGTGTTGCATATAGTTAGGCAGACAGTGGCTTGGAAATAGGGTGTATTTCTTAGGAGGTAAATGATCCAATCAGATCCAATAGGGTGTATTTCTTAGGAGGCAAATGATCCAATCAGATGATTGATCTGACTGATCCAGTCTGCCCAGAGGGCCTAAATGGCACAGTGGTGGTGACTGTGGCTCCTTCCTCATCTTCTTTGGGCTGAGAGATCCAAGGCCTCTGTGACCTGGCCTCTGTTTACCTCTCCTCTCTCACTGCTGTGCTGCTCCCTCCCACATAGTTTATTTTCCTGCTAGTACACCATGCTGTTTCCACTTCTGGAACATAATTTTTTCTCTCACCTCAGTGCCTTTGCACATAGTATTCTCTGTGAGAGAAAGGAAACACTCTACTCTTTTTGTGTCAGACATCTAAATATTCTTCAAGATTCTATTCTGCTATCACCTACCCTCTTCCCTGCTGTCAGATTTACATGCTCCTCTTCGGCATTCTGGTAGCACCCTGTGCTTAAGTCCAAGAAGTCCTTACAATAATGTATTGTAATTATTGATTTGCTCATCTGATTTTCACATTAGATGCTAACCTTATTTTTGTTGCCCTAGAACCTAGCACATGACTTGGAACAAAGTTGGAAAAACAAGCAAAAGCTAGAAAGCAAGTCTTTTAGCCACATACTTTTTCTTTGTAAGGAACCTGAATTTTAGTCACAGCAATGCCACTAACTTACTGTGTCAACTTTCAAAGTCGCTCTTTGGGTGCCATTCTTCATCTGGAAAGTGAGATTATTTAACTAGATAATGACTAGTCAATATTTTTTATTAGAAGCAACACTCGTTTTTTCAACGAAATCATCCTGTAAAGGCCAAATAAAACTGTCTAGAGCCCTGCCCATTTAACCTCCCTTTTCCCATTGTCCTACTTCCACCCTCTCTTATGCTTGGAGCAGAGTTTGAAAACCGCAGATCTAGGTGATCTTTAAGGTTCCAGTCAGGCCAGCACTTTCAGATAATTTACACAGCGAACTGAACAGAATCCTTCCTCATGGATGTTTCCTTTTCCGGGTTCTGAGGTACATCTATACCCTCATTTGGTTTTAGTTTTGTAAACTCCAGTAATAGAGTATAGAAGTCATGTTATTCTGGAAGTCAATATGCTTAGTTTTGGCATTCAGAATGTTTGCTGGCTGGTTTATACGGATCTGTATTCTGTCTTATTAATGAAGAAAAAGAATGGCACATATATCTTGGCTTTGAAATTGGAGCCACATTTTAGAATCCTGTGCGGAATCAAGGCACATAATGGTAGCTAAGAGCCAGGAATAGAAGAAATTTCAGTGTTTCTATATGCATAGTTTTTAATTCCTTGTGGTTTGTGAAAGGTGCTAGATAAATTTATTATTGACCTAAGTAGTCAATTAAATGTTGGCACAGAGAGAACACCAGTGTATTTCTTTCATGATATGATGGAATAATTAAAATACAGTAATATGAGATCATTGTTTTTAACTTGCATCTGGTTGGTTGTTTGGTTCATAGGACAGAAAAGATTAGTTTAAAATTTATAGGAGACAAATATAAGTAACTGTAGAATCTGCATCATTTTAAGCTATAATTTTTATGACTGCTAATTATATGAATAGCATCATTTATCAGTTTTCTTCTGAGGACCAGGTTTTATATATCTGAATCCTTCTAATTGATTACATAAAGAGATTACTACTACTAGCCTCATGAGATTAGTACTATTATGCCCATGTTATAAATAAGGAAATGAATCCTAGAGATGTTTAAGAACTTACTATAGTTCACATGGCTTCTGAAGGTGGAGTACATAATAGAAGTGTCAATAGTACATGGAATAAACTACATATTATTTTTAATAGATTTTTTTGTAGAGCAATTTTAGGTTCACACAAAATTGAGAGGAAAGTAGAGAGATTTCCTGTTTATCCTCTTCCCCCACATGCTTAGCACCACCTATTATAAAACTCCCCACCCAGGATGGTACATTTATTGCAACTGATGGACCTCCATTAACACATCATTATCTCCCAGAGTCCACACTTTACAGTACAGTTTGTTCTTGGTGTTGTGCATCCTGTGGGTTTGGACAAACGTATAATGACATGTATTCACCATTATAACATCATAGAGAGTAGTTTCACTGCCCTAAAAATCCTCTGCACTCTGCCTCCCTTCCCCAACTCCTGGCAACCACTAATCTTTTTTGTGACTCCATAGTTTTGTCCTTTCGAGAATGTCATATAGGTAGAATGAAACATTATGTAGTCTTTTCAGATTGGCTTCACTTCCATTTAAGTTTCTTTCATGTATTTTCATGGCTTCATAGCTCATTTCCTTTTATGACTGAATAATAACTTTCTATTATCTGGCTATACCAAAATTTATTTATCCATTCACCTGAAGGACATCTTGGTTGCTTTCAGGTTTTGACAATTACAAATAAAGCTGCTATAAACATTCATGTCCAAGTTTTTGTGCGCACATAGGCTTTCAGCTTCTTTGGAAAAATACCAACGCAAGCAAGTGTTGAATTGTATGGTAAGAGTATGATTAGTTTTGTAAAGCACCTCCAAATTGTATTTCATAGTGGCAGTATCATTTTGCATTTCCATCAGCAATGTATGAGAGTTTCTGTTGTTTTGCCAGCATTTGATGTTGTGGATTTTGGTCATTCAGATAGGTTATAGTTGTATCTCACTGTTGTTTTAATTTGAACTTTCTTATGACATATGATGCGGAGCATCTTTTCATATGCTTATTTACCATCTATGTATCTTCTTTGGTGAGTTGTCAAGGTCTTTGGCCTATTTTTCAATTAGGTTGTTCATGTTATTATTGTTGAGTTTAAGAGTTCTTAGTGTATCTTGCATAACAATTCTTTATCTCATATGTGTTTTGCCAACTTATCCAAATCTGTGGCTTGTCGCTTATCATTTTATCTTCTTGACAGTGTCATTCACAGAGAAGAAATTTTTCATTTTAATAAAGTCCAGTTTATCAATTATTTCTTTCATAGACCATGACTTTGGTGTATGTTTTATTTTGTTTTGTGCTGCTATAACAGAATACCTGAGACTGGCTATTTTATAAAAGACGGAAATTTATTTCCTCACAATTCTGTAGGCTAGGACGTCCAAAAATCAAGGTATTAGCATCAGGTGAGGGCCTTCTTGCTTCACCATAACATGGTGAAAGGCATCACATGGGTGAGAGAGAGAGCAAAAGGACACCCAAACTCAACTTTTTATGAAGAACTCACTCCCATCATAACAGCATTAATCCATCTGTAAGGGTGGAGATCTAATGGCCTAATCACCTTTTACAGGTCCCATCTCTTAACACTGTTGGATTGGGTATTAAGTTTACAATGCATGCTTGTTTGGGGAAGTGCATTTAAACCATAGCAGTATTCCATCTAAATGTGATTGCCAAACCCCAAATTATTTAGATTTTCTTTTTTGTTATCTTCTCAGAGTCTTATGGTTTTTAATTTTACTTTAGACCTGTCACACATTTTGAATTAATTTTTGTGAAGGGTGTAAAATCTGTATCTATACTCCTTTTTTGCATGTGGAAGTTCAGTTGTTTCAGTGGCATTTGATGAAAAAAAAATTTTCTCCATTGTATTGCCTTAACTCCTTTGTCAAAGATCAGTTGACTATATTTGGGTCAATTTCAGGGATCTCTATTCTGTTTCATTGATCTATTTGTCAATTCTTTCACCAATACTACACTGTCTTGATTGCTATAATTTATAGTATGTTTTGAAGTCAAGTAGTGTCAGCCCTCCAACTTTATTCTTCTCTTTCAGTATTGTGTTGGCTATTCTATGTCTTTTGCCCATTCATATAAACTTCGGAATGAGTTTGTCATTATCCACAAAGTGACTTGCTGGAATTTTGATTGAGATTCCATTGAATCAAATTGGGAAGAACTGACATCTTGACAGTATTGAGTCTTTCTATGCATGAATATGGAATATCTCTCCATTTATTTAATTCTTCATTGATTTCTTTCATCATAGTTGTATAGTTTTCCTCATATAGACCTTACGCATACTTTGTTAGATTTATACCTAAGTATTCCATTTTTGGGTTGCCCAATGTAAATGGTATTGTGTTCTTAATTTCAAACTCCACTTGCTCATAGCTGTTATATAGGAAAGCGATGGGCTTTTTTGTCTTAACCTTATATCCTGCAACCTTGCTATAATTGCTTATTAATTTCAGAAGTTTTTGTCAATTATTTTGGATTTTCTACATAAACAAACATGCAATCTGTGCACAAAGGCAGTTTTGTTTTTTCATTCCAATCTATCACCATTTACTTCCTTTTGTCTTATTGCATCAACTAGGACTTCCAGTATGGAAAAGCAGTCATGAGAGGAGATATCCTTGATTTGTTCCTGATACTAGTGGGAAAGCTTTGAGTTTCTTACTTTTAAATATAATCTTAGCTTAGGTTTATTATAGATATTCTTTATCAAGTTGAACAAGTTTCCCTCTTTTCCTGGTTTACTGAGAGTTTTTATCATGAATAGGTGTTAGATTTTTGCAGATAGTTTTTCTGTATTTGTTGGAAAGATTATATGATTTTTCTTCATTACCCTTGTATTAGTTCATTTTGTGTTGCTATAAAGGAATACCTGAGGCTGGGTAATTTATAAAGAAAAGAGGTTTATTTTGGCTCACAGTTCTGACTGTACAAGAAGCATAGTGCTGGCATCTGCTCCTGGTGAAGGCCTCAGGAAGCTTACAGTCATGGCAGAAGGTGAAGGGGGAGCAGTCATGTCACATGGTGAGACAGGCAGCAAGAAATATGCCAGGCTTTTTTAACCAGCTCTTATGTGAATTAATGGAGTGAGAACTTACTCATTATCATGGGGAGGGCACCAACCCATTCATGAGAGATCTGCCCTCATGACTGCCCCCATGACCTAAACACCACCTACCAGGCCCCACCTTCCACATTGAGGATCACATTTCAACATGATATTTGGAGGGGACAAACATCCAAACTATATCAATTCTTTTGATGTAATGGGTTACATTAATTGATTTTTGAACATTGAACCAGGCCTGCATACTGAAGATAAATCTCACTTGGTTGTGGTTTACAGTTCTTTCTATACATTGCTGAATTCAATTTGCTATTATTTTATTGATGTTTTTGCATCTATACTCATGAGAGGTACTGGCCTGTAGTTTTCTTTCCTTGTGCTGTCTTTGTCTGGCTTTGGTATTAGGGACATGCTGGCCTCATAGAATGAGTTAGGAAGTATTCCATCTGCATCTGTCTTCTGAAAGAGAAGGTGCAGAATTAGTGAACTTTCTTACTTAATTTTTTTGGTAGAATTCACCAGAGAACACATCTGGGCCTGGTGCTTTCTGTTTTGGAAGGTTATTAATTGTTCATTCAATTTCTTCAATAGATGTAGGCCTATTCAGATTGTTTATTTCTTCTTGTGTGAGTTTTGGCAGATGGTGTCTTTCAAGGAAGGGTCTATTTCATCTAGGTTAACAAATGTATGCACATAGAATTGTTCATAGTATTCCTTTATCATCCTTTTAACATCTATGGGATTCGTAGTGATGTCCCCACTTTTGTTTCTGATGGAATAACCTGTGTTCTCTCTCTTTTTATTTTTTTTAGTTAGCTCATGAAAGACTCATCAATTTTACTGATTTTTTTTTTCATAAAACCATCTTTTGGCTTCAAGAATTTTCTCTATTGATTTCATGTTTTCAATTTTATTGATTTCTGCTCTAATTGTTATTATTTCTTTGCTTCTCCTCACTTTGGATTTAGTTTGCTCTTCTTTTTCTGGCCTCCTAAGGCAGAAGTAATTGATTTTAGTTATTTCTTCTTTTCTAATATATGTATTTAATTGCAAAATTGCACTCCTTTTTATTGCATTTCCCAAATTTTGATAAGTTTTGTTTCTATTTTTCTTTAGTTCAAAGTATTTTTAATGTCTCTGAAGATTCCTTCTTTGAGCCATGTGTTATTTAGAAGTAGGTTGTTTGATCTTCAAGCATTTTGAGGCTTTTTGGGTTTTTCTATTATTTATTTTTAGTTTAGTTCCACTCTGCTCTAACAAGGTATTTTGTATAATTTTCAATCATATTTTATTTGTTAAGGTGTATTTTACAGTTCAGCATGTGCTCGATCTTGATAAACATTTCATGTGAGCTTGAGAAGAAAAGTACTATAACGTACTCTACACATGTCAGTTATACCTAGTTGATTGATGATGCTGTTCAGTTCAACTATGTCCTTACTGATTTTCTGCCTGCTGAATCTGTCTATATCTGAGAGAGGAGTGTCGAAGTCTCCAATCATAATAGTGGATTTGTCTATTTCTCCTTGTAGTTCTATCGCTTTTTTTTGCCTCATATATTTCAACTATGTCCTTACTGATTTTCTGCCTGCTGAATCTGTCTATATCTGAAAGAAGAGTGTCAAAGTCTCCAACCATAATAGTGGATTTGTCTATTTCTCCTTGTAGTTCTATCAGTTTTTTGCCTCATGTATTTCAACATTCTGTTGTTAAGCACATAAACATTCATTAAGAATTGTTATGTCTTCTTGTGGAACTGACACTTTATTATCATATAATGCTCCTCTTTTTCCCTGATAACCTTCAGTGGTTTAAACTCTGCTCTGCCTGAAATTAATATAGCTACTTCTGCTTTCTTTTGATTCGTCTTAACACAGTATGTATTTCTCCATTCATTTACATTTAATTTATATGTGTCTTTATATTTAAAGTGGGCTTCTGGTATACAATATATAGTTGGATCTTGTTTCATGATGCACTGGAACACTAAGTATCTTCTAATTGGTGCATTTAGACCATTGACCATCAATGGTCTATTCAGATTGTTTATTTCTTGATATAAATAATATAGTTGGTTTAATATCTACTGTATATAGTTGGATTGATATAGTTGGGTTAATATCTACTGTATCCATTACTGTTTTTTATTTGTTGCCCTTGTTCATTGTTCTTCTTTTTGTCTTCTACTTTTTTCTGCCTTTTGTGGGTTTAATTGAGCATTTTATTATTCCATTTCCTCTCTTTTGTTACCATATTAAACTATTTTTCATCTTTTTTTTAGTGCTTACCCTGGAGTTTGCAATGTACATTTACAACTAATCCAAATTTAGTTTCAAATAATGCTATAACACTTCACAAGTAATGCTAGTACCTCATAATAAATAAATAATTCTCCCATCACATTTATATTATCATTGCTATAATTTATCTTGCTTATACGTAGACATATATATACACACACATATAATCTAATACATTGCTACTATTATTTTTTGAAAAAGCTGTTCAATCTGTTGCATTAAGAATAAAAAATATGGGTGGTTCCAAGATGGCCGAATAGGAACAGCTCCAGTCTACAGCTCCCAGCGTGAGTGACGCAGAAGATGGATGATTTCTGCATTTCCAACTGAGGTACCAGGTTCATCTCACTGGGGATTGTCGGACAGTGGGTGCAGGACAGTCATTCTCAGCAAACTATCACAAGGACAAAAAACCAAACACCGCATGTTCCCACTCATAGGTGGGAATTGAACAATGAGAACACATGGACACAGGAAGGGGAACATCACACACCAGGGCCTGTTGTGGGGTGGGGAGAGGTGGGAGGGATAGCATTAGGAGATACACCTAATGTAAATGACAAGTTAATGGGTGCAGCACACCAACATGGCACATGTATACATATGTAACAAACCTGCACATTGTGCACATGTACCCTAAAACTTAAAGTATAATAATAATAAAAAAAGAATAAAAAATATATACCTTTATTTTACCTTCCCTTATTCCTTCTCAGATACTTTTCCTTATTTTATGTAGACCTGAGTTTCTGATCTTTATCATTTTCCTTTTTATTAAATAATTTCTTTTAACATTTCTTTCAAGGCAGGTCTACTAGCAACAAATCCCTTCAGTTTTTGTTTGTCTGAGAAAGTCTTTATTTATTTGTCACTTTTGAAGGATAGTTTCACAAGGTACAGAACTTTATGTTGGTGGTTTCTTCTCTCAACACTTTAAATATTGTACTCCACTCTCATCTTGCTAGCATAATTTCTGAGGGGAGGTTGGAATTATTATCTTTGCTCCTCAATAGGTAAGGTGTTTTTTCCTCTCTGACTTCTTCCAAGATCTTTTCCTTATTTTTAATTGTCTATAGTTTGAAAATAATATGGCCAAGTGTAATATTTTTGACATTTCTCCTGCTCAGCATTCTCTGAACTTCCTCAATATGTGGTTTGGTGTCTGACATTAATTTGAGGAAATTATGTCATTACTCTTTCAAATATTTATTTTATATTAACATATTCTAAATATTTTCTTTGTCTCATCTGCTTCTGGTATTCCCCTTACACACATGTTACACCTTTGTTAGTTGTCCCACAGTTATTGGATATTCTGCTTTATTTTATCAGTCTTTTTTTCTTTGATTTCCAATTTTGTTGGTTTCAATTGAGATACTCTCAAGCTCTGAGATTCTGTCCTCAGCCATATCTAGTCTACCAATAATTCCATTAGAGAAATTCATTTTTGTTACAGTTTTGTTTTATTGCTAGAACTTATTTTTTGGTTCTTTCTTAGAAATTCTATCTCTCCACTTACATTGTCCATCGGTTCTTGCATGCTGTCTACTTTATTCATTACAACCCTTAGCATCTTAATCATAGTTGTTTTACATTCTCAGTCAGATAATTCCAACATTCTTGCCATATCTACATCTCATTCTGAAGCTTTCTCTTCAATCTCTGTTTTTCCCTTTTAGTGTTTTTTGTAATTTTTTATTGATAGCTGGACATGATATATTAGAATAAAGGGATTGCAGTAAATAGGCTTTTAGTAATGTGATGCTAGGCTGTGGAGGGAAGGGAAGCATTCTCTAGTCCTGTGAGGAGGTCCCAGTCTTCCAGTGAGCCTGTACCTCTGGACTGTGAACATCATATGTGCTTCTCAGTGTCCTCCCACCCCTGCTTTGGTGGAACAGGATAGCTAGAGGGTGCTGGACTTGGGTATTTTCCTCATTCTAGGGCAGTTAGGCTCTGACAAAACTCCAGAAGGTTAGTTTCTCCTGAGGACAGGCCTTGTTAAGGAGAACAGAATGCTCTGGCATATTTTTAAATGATTTATATTTCCCTGGTCCTTGCCAGAAGCACAAGGAGATTTTTCTTTATTTACAGTAAGAACCTGGTTGATATGGTTTGGTTGTGTCCCCACCCAAATCTCATGTTGAATTCCCATGTGTTGTGGGAGTGACCTGGTGAGAGGTGATTGAATCATGGTGGCAGGCTTCTCCCATGATATTCTCATGTCAGTGAATAAGTCTCACCAGATCTGATGGTTTAAAAACGGGGAGTTTCCCTGCATAAGCTCTCTTCTCTTGTCTGTGGTCATGTGAGATCTGCCTTTCACTTTCTATCATGATTGTGAGGCCTCCCCAGCCACATGGAACTGTGAGTCCAATAAACTTATTTCTTTTGTAAATTGCCCAGTTTCAAGTATGTCTTTATCAGCTGTGTGAAAATGGGCAAATATAGTAAATTGTTACTGAGAGCATGGCACTGCTGAAGATACACAAAAATGTGGAAGCAACTTTGGAACTGGGTAACAGACAGAGGTTGGAAGAGTTTGGAGGGCTCAAAAGAAGACAGGAAAATGTGGGAAAGTTTGGAACTTCCTAGAGGCTTGTTGAATGGCTTTGACAAAAATGCTAATAGCAATATGGACAATAAGGTCCAGGCTGAGGTGGTCTCAGGTGGAAATGAGGAACTTGTTGGGAACTGGAGCAAAGGTGACTCTTGTTATGTTTTAGCAAAGAGACTGGCAGTATTTTTTGCCCCTGCCCTAGAGATTTGTGGAACTTTGAACTGGAGAGAGATGATTTAGGGTATCTGGTGGAAGACATTTCTAAGCAGCAAAGCATTCTAGGAGTGACTTGGGTGCTGTTAAAGGCATTCAGTTTTAAAATGGAAACAGAGCATATAAGTTTGGAAAATTTGCAGCCTGACAATGAGATAGAAAAGAAAATTCAATTTTCCAAGAAGAAATTCAAACCAACTGAAGAAATTTGCATAAGTAATGAGAAGCCAAATGTTAATCCCCAAGACAATGGGGAAAATGTCTCCAGGGCATGTCAGAGGTCTTCATGGCACCCCTCTCATTACAGGCCTGGAGGTCTAGAAGGAAAAAATGGTTTTGTGTGCCAGGCCCAGGGTCCCCATTCTGTGTGCAGCCTAGGGACTTGATGCCCTGCATCTCAGCTGCTCCAGCCATGGCTAAAAGGGGCCAACATAGAGCTCAGGCCATGGCTTCAGAGGGTGTAAGCCCCAAGCCTTGGAAGCTTCCATGTGGTGTTGAGCCTGTGAGTGCATAGAGTCAAGAATTGGGGTTTGGGAAGCTCTGCCTAGATTTCAGAGGATGTATGGAAACTCCTGGATGTCCAGGAAGAAGTTTGCTGCTGGGGCAGGGCCCTCATGAATAACCTCTGCTAAGGCAGTGCGGAAGGGAAATTTGGGGTAGGTTCTCCCACACAGAGTCCCTACTGGGACACTACCTAGTGGAGCTGTGAGAAGAGGGCCACCACCCTCCAGGCCCCAGGTTGGTAGATCCACCAACAGCTTACACCGTGCACCTAGAAAAGCTGCAGACACTCAATGCTAACCCATGGAAGCAGCTGGAAAGGAGGCTATACCCTGAAAAACCACAGGGTCAGAGCTGCCCAAGACCATAGGAACCCACCTCTTGCATCAATGTGACCTGGATGGGAGACACAGAGTTAATATCATTTTGGAGCTTTAAGATTTGACTGCCCTGCTGGATTTTAGACTTGCATGGGGCCATAGCACTTTGTTTTTGCTAATTCCACCCATTTGTAATGGCTGTATTTACTCTATGCCTGTACCCCCATTGTATCTAAGAAGTAACTAACTTGGTTTTGATTTTACAGGCTCATAGGCAGGAAGGACTTGCCTTGTCTCAGATGAGACTTTGGACTGTGGGCTTTTGAGTTAATGCTGAAATGAATTAAGACTTTGAGGGATGGTTGGGAAGGCATGATTGGTTTTTAAATGTGAGGACATGAGATTTGGGAGGGGCCAGGAGCAGAATGATATGGTTTGGCTGTGTCCTCACCCAAATCTCATCTTGAATTGTAGCTCCCATAATTCCCATGTTTTGTGGGAGGGACCTGGTGGCAGGTAATTGAATCATGGGGGCAGGCCTTTCCCATACTGAAGGCCTTTCCCATTCACTATCTCATGATAGTGAATAAGTCTCATGAAATCTGTTGGTTTTAAGAAGGAGAGTTTCCATGCACACGCTCTCTTCTCTTGTCTGCTGCCATGTGAGATGTGACTTTCACCTTCTGCCATGATTGTGAGGCCTCCCCAGCCACATGGAACTGTGAGTCCAATAAACCTCTTTCTTTTGTAAACTTCCCAGTCTCGGGTATGTCTTTATCAGCAGTGTGAAAATGGACTAATACACTGATTGAGCTCCTGGAGGTCAAACTTACAAAAGTGCGAGGAGACTCTGATGACTGGGTACCCCTGGAATTTTTTATCTGTCAGACTTGTCCATGCTAAGCCTCCAGCAATTTATCCCTTATAGTTCAGGTTTCTCCACCTTGGCACTGATTTCAGCGGAAGTTTGTGCTTATGGATTTCTGTTCTAGCAAGCCACAATTCTCTGAATTTGAATGTTGGGCTCTCCAATTTAGGAGCAGTGGTTTGCCCTGTGACCACAACCCACTGATGTATCTAAGAATAATTGTTGACCCTTCAGTTTGTTCAGTTTTTTACTTGTCAGGACAGAGTGGCAACTTCCAGCTTCTTATATGCTGGACTGAAAACCAAAAGTTCCATGTATTATTTTATGAAATATAAAATATTTTGGAGGAATGTTAAAATTAAAAAATTTACTTCAAGGCAAGAGATTAAAACTTCCACTATAAACTTTGCTAACACCCATAATGGAGTGTATAGTACTATAGCACTAAACTTGTTTTCCTCTGGCTTATAACTAGAAAACTGCACAATCTATGTAAACAACTCTTTTCTCATGTTGAACAGGAGGCAGCCCAGAAGTGTGATCCTTGATATAAGAGAACAAATAAAATAAGTCCTACAACTGTCCCAACTTTCTGCCTGCAGGAATTTTCTGGATCATTATGGAGGAAGAGGGGGAGCCCAAACAAAACACCGGACTCTGAAACAAGTCGACAGAAATCGGGCTTTGGGAGACTGAAACACACGTAATTTTCAAGGTAAAGTAATAGAATGAGGCAGAGAATAACTGTCATAGAAAGAACGATTACCATAAAGCTGTAAGGTGAACAATTCCCAGAGCTCACACAGGGCTGTGACTCCTTCTAAACAGCCAGAGTAAAGAAATCTTGTTTAATATCTGGGGAATTCAGTAAGAACCCCAGAAGCATGATACCTCTGTACTAAACATAAACTAGGCCTAGAATAAAGGTTAATTTCGGCTGCCTTTTAAAATCCTTCAAATTAAGCCTCAACATAATCAAACTAATCTGCAAGAAACTTTATAACCTGCCTAAACCAAGTTCAACTATCTTTAAAAGATGACAGCCAGGCACGGTGGCTCACGCCTGTAATCCCAGCACTTTGGGAGGCCGAGGTGGGTGGATCATGAGGTCAGGAGATCGAGACCATCCTGGCTAACACGGTGAAACCCCCTCTCTACTAAATAATACAAAAAATTAGCCGGGTGTGGTGGTGGGCACCTGTAGTCCCAGCTACTCAGGAGGCCAAGGCAGGAGAATGGTGTGAACCTGGGAGGCAGAGTTTGCAGTCAGCTGAGATCACGTCACTGCATTCTAGCCTGGGTGACAGAATGAGACTCTGTCTCAAAAAAGAAAAAGAGAAAAAATGACAACAAAACAATGTTATGTCCACAGATTCAGCATCTAATGAAAAATTATAATATATATGAAGAAGCATAAAAAATTGACCTATAGAGGGAAAAAACAGTCAATATAAACAGACACAGAAGTGTAAAAACTGATAAAGTTGACTGATAAGGACCTTAAGACAGCTGTTAGAAATACAACCAAGGTTTCAGAATAAATCATGATCAAAATATACAGAAAAATGAAACATTTAAAAACTCTAAAATTTAAAAATGCAATATCTAAAAAATTGTTTGAATCAGTGGATGGTATTAATAGCAGAGTAGACACTGCAAAAGAACTTGAAGACATAACAATGAACAGTGAACTTGGAGACATAGTAATGGAACTCATCCAAACTGAAGCACAAAGAAAAAAGGTTGAAAAAATAATCAAAATCACAGTAACATGAGACAATACTAAGTATGCTAATATACATTTAACTGAAGTCCCAGAAAAAGAAAGGGGATGGTCAGAAAACTCATTTGAAAAATAATGGTTACATTTTTAAATCAATTTCATAAAATCCCATATCCTTTTTTGGAAGCTAAAAAAAACAGCAAGATAAAAAAAAAAAAACCAAACGAACAAAAAGTCACACCGAGGCACATCATAATCAAACTGCTAAAAATCAGTAATTGAAAACAACCTTAAAAGCAGCTGGGAAGGGGGGTGGGGGAAGACACATCACTTACATAAAAACAAATAAAGAATGTTTTGTAACTTTTCTTCAAAATAGAGGTAAAAGGAATACAGAACAAATTAGGCAAATGGAAAATAAATAGCAAGATGGTAGACTTAAATCAAATCATGCCAATACTTACATAAAATGAAAATGGTCTAAAAACTCCAATTGAAAGGCAGAGAAAGTCAGACTGGATAATAAAGCAAGACACTATATTGTCTACAAGAAACTCATATAAGTATAAAGACACAGACTTAGAGTAATTGTAAGCAAACAGGAGTAGCTGTATTATCAAAACAGAGTAAAAGTAAGGAAGCTGGAATAGCTATATTATTATCAAAAAGAGTAGACTTTAAGATAAGAATATGACCAGAAATAAGTGGCATTTCATAGTTATAAATGGTCCACCAACTCATTAATATGATGTAATAGTCTTAATGCATATGTACCTAATAACAGGGCTTCAAAATTCATGTAGCAAATACTGACATCTAAAGAGATAAATAAACATATCCACAATTATAGCTGGAAATTTCATGACCTTTTCTCTAAATAACTGATAAAACAAGTAGACAGAAAATCAATAAGGATATAGAGGTCTTGAACAACACTATCAACCAATTTGACCTAATTGTCATTTGTAGAACATTATACTCAATAATGCAGAATACACATAGTTTTCAAGTGCACATGAAGCGTTCATCATAACAGACAATATGCTTGGCCATAAAGCAAGTCTCAAAACATTTAAACACACTGAAATCACTCAGAATATCTTCTCTGATCACAACCTAATTAAAATAGAAACCAACATCAGAACATTATCTGAAAAATCCCTAAACATCTGGAAATTTGTCTAAGGCAAATGTCTGTGAAATAAGCTTAAGATGTCAGAGATAGTTAAGGTAATTTCACATTCAATAGCCTAATAATTCCCAACTAGTAGTATGTGTCCTCTTCACTGTCACTCATCATAAAACAACTGATTTCTATGTGTAGAGAACTCAAAAACTGTATCCATTCCCATTATTGTACCAGTAAATACTAGTTTCCCAAGAATTTGAAAGGCAACTGGATATGATTTTATTTGAGAAATGAGTTCAATTTAATGTTAAGAATATAACAAAAATGTTTGGGCAGCTCACTGTATTTTAAATGTATCATATAAATCCTACTATCTCATCCTATACATTTTTAAAAAAACACTCTTTTCTTCCCACCTCATTCATCATGTTAGTTAGATTCATCCCAATGTTATAGCCTATGGGAACTTTTTATATCTAATTTGACTATCAAATTGTCTATTATTTTCTACTGTGGGCCACCTTCTCATTTGAAAAACATCTTTTAGAAATCATGCATACTTCGATTCTGCTCTCCTGTCATTAAAACAGATTTGTACAACCTGACCCTCTTCCCTTGGGGTAGGCTCTTTCCCATGAGCCTCCTCAGTCCACTGGGGCAATAGTTATGACACTAGAGGACTTTAACGTTAAGTAAATAATTCAAACACTTTAAAATCACAAAGGTATATTTCCCCCATGTTGTACAGAGATAATCTTGATAATCAACCAATTCCTAGCCAAAATCCTGATATACCAGTCTATGGCGTTTCTCTCATTTAATAATGCTACCACTAGCAGAAAAAATGGTATAGCTGTCCTTTCAGATACTGTTCTCCTTAGGTCAAGGGAGGGGCTGATGGAGATAGAAAGGTGATGGTTTCAGTATGTCATGTTCTTGGTGAGCTGACCCCACACTGTGTTTAATCAAGAACATTTCTCAAATTGGGTGTTTGATGATGATCACACAAGCATGCATTCTGCTACTGTCTAAAAAAGTGCCTCCACTTCTGCCTCTGCCCACTCTTCTCTGTGACAAGGATACTGACTACTGAGGGTGCTGAATTTTGCATTGAAGTTTCTGCCCTCTATAATTGTTGTAGGCACTCTTATGATCTCCTTTCACGGCAGGAGTTGCTGCTCACACTGTATCCTACAGCTATTTGTTTGTTTGTTTTCTTTACTTATTTATCACTCATTGTTTCATAGGACCTCTAGAAAGGCGAGTTCAGTCATGACTTAATAAGGATTGGGCCAATGGAAAATCTAAATGAGAGATGTGAAATTATACTTAATCATTCCTCTACTTCAGCGCCAAGTTTGAACCCAATTTGAGGTCTGATGTTTAATTTCATGTGTTAACTTGAGTAGGCCACAGGATGCCCAGATATCGGGTTAAACATTTCTGGGTGTGCCTGTGTGGGTATTTCCAGAAGAAATTAGCATTAAATTGGTGGACTGAGTAAGGTAGATGGCCCTTCCCAATGTAGATGGGCATCATCCAATTCATTGAGGGTCTGACTAGCACAAAAAGGCAGAGGAAAATTGAGTTTTCCCTCTGCCTGCCTATGCGAGCTGGGACTTCGATTTTTTTTGTTTGTTTGTTTTTTTAAGACACAGTCTCCCTCTGTCACCCAGGCTGGAGTGCAGTGGCACAATCTTGGCTCACTGCAACCTCCACCTCCTGGGTTCAAGCTATTGTCCTCCTTCAGCTGATTAGCTGGGACTACAGGTGCATGCCACCATGCCTGGCTAATTTTTTGCATTTTTGGTAGAGACGGGTTTTCACTGTGTTAGCCAGGATGGTCTCAATCTCCTGACCTCGTGATCCACCTGCCTCAGCCTCCCAAAGTGCTGGGATTACAGGCATGGGCCACCGTGCCTGGCCGAGACTTTGATCTTTTCCTCCTCTCGGCATTTCTGGTTCTCAAGCCTTTAGACTCAGACTGGATTATACCCCAACTCTCAGGCCTGTAAACTACAAGCCAGAATTCCAGGTTTCAGGAATCAAGGGTGGAAATGAGAATGGCACCACTCACTATTACTCCTAGTGACCCATAAGCAAAATTTTTGCTTCCTGTTCTCCTGACCTTATGCTATTCTGGCCTAGAGCTCTTGGATCCAGAGGGAGAGAGGCTTCCACCCACACAATTATCTGATTGAACTGGTAGTTAAGACTGCCACCCAAAAGAATCATCAACTGAAATACACACCAGTAAAGAATTAATTTGTTTTATATAACATGTGTGAAGTACTTGTAAATTTGGAGTACTTTAAAGTACTAGTAACTTTAGAAAATTTTATTTATTCTTCTATTCCTGGCACATGATGGCCGCTTAGTAAAGGTTTTTTGACTGTTAAAAAAAAAAAAAAGACTGTCACCCAGCCACTCTGGGCTCCTCGTGCCTCTGAATCAACAGGTAAATAAGGGAGTTACTGTGCTGGCTAGGGTGATTGATCCTGAATAACAGGGGGAAATTGGAGTACTATTCCACAATCGAGCAAAGAAAAAGTATGTCTGGGATACAAGAGATCCCTTAGGGTGTCTCTTATTAGTACTATGTCCTGTGATTAAGTTCTATGGAAAACTACAATACCCTAATCTAGGCAGGACTACTAATGGCCCATACCCTTCAGGAATGAAAGTTTGGGTCACCCAACCTGATAAAGAACCATGATTAACTGAGGTGCTTACTGAAGGCAAAAAAGACAAGGCAGGGGAAGAGGGTAGCTATATATATCACAAGGACTGTAATCACCCTCAAGCATTTTCTCCTTAGTTTGTTATGGATACACCTGTGTATGTTTCAACTGTGTTTGTTTTCTTTGTTCTCTTATTTCCTTATCATGTACACCAATGCCTTAAAATACATCTCTCTCTCCATATACAAATGTATATATATAAATACAATATATCAACTTGACTAGGCCACAGAGTATATACAATATTATGTTTATATATAATATATTATATTATGTTATATATTTATATAATTTATATATATCATATTATATATTTATGTAATTTATATATCATACATATCATATGTAATATAAAATTTATATATAATATGTGTATATATAATGTATACAATGTATATATATAATATGTATATACATATATTGCCTATTGACTTTATTTCATAGTGTTTAAGTATTAATTTTACACTATAGTAGTTAAGTTATGGGATATCAAGAAGAAGAGTAAACATCATTCAAGGACTTTACCTCCTCTTCTGAAGAATAGTTTAGTGTATTTTTGGATATACAGGGTAGTAGTGTCATGTTAGGCAGAATTATGGGCCTTGTTATTGTGTTTATTTGGAGAATAAGTATCACTTAAGGAGATATCTATGGGTGCCAAGTTGACAAGGAGAGGACTTGTAATGGTTGACTTTATGTGTCAATTTAACTGGGTCATGAGATGCCCAGATACCTGATTAAACATTACTTTGGAGTGTGTCTGTGGAGGTGTTTCCAGAAAAGATGAGCATTTGAATTGGTGGACTGAGTAAAGCAGATAACCCTCCCTACTGTGGGTGGGCATCATCCAGTCCATTGAGGGTCTGAATAACACACAAAGGCAAAGAAAGTTCGAATTTGCTCTCTGCCTGGCTAATAGAGCTGAGACATTAATCTTCCCATGCCCTGGCTTCTTCTGATTCACCATCTTTCCTGGGTCTCTAGCTTGCAGATGGCAGGTTGTAGGACTTCTCGGTTTCCATAATCACATTATTCAATGCCATTTTATCTTCTTTTATAATATGTTCTTACCAAATAACAAATTTATCATGTCTATCATGTCCTTAAATGATCTATTCTGTGGACATTTCCTCATCACATCTAGACATGCTTGAATCCTACGGTGATCTGCTTAGGCTCAGGCTGCAATAGCCATTACACATATTACTCCCATCGAGGACCTGTGAAGCATCCTTTCCGGCTCTGTGAGCCACACGAAGGTGAATAACACATAGCCTCTGACATTAAGGAGCTCGCAAATTACTTTACCTAAGTCCCCTAAATTATCAGGGTATGTTCATATTATGAAGGCCACTGATTTGTTTGTGGAGCATTAATTCTTCCTATGACTCTACTGTGCATGGTGAAAAAAAAAAAAGTGGAAATCACTAGAAGGCAAGGGTGACCCAGGGTTTCTTTCCTTTTTATGTGTTAATTCAGCACTTCAAAATTCTGAATTTCTAGGAGGCTAATCTGTTGATTTTGTTATAAATTGAAGAACATGGGCATCCTATCAGATATTTTTTTTTCTCAGTGCAGAGTAGGTGAGCAATGGGTAGAGGATGATGGTTACACATTTTTATACTTGCCACTGGTTCTGAGATGTTATCCATCTTAGAGAATAAAAATTTCAAAACTAGTAACCTTCTAAAGCTTTTCAGACACTTATTATAAAAGAGTGGTATGTGTTAGAGAAATATTAGTGGTTACACTCTACACTGTGTGTTAGAGAAATATTGGCAGTTACACTAATATTAGTGTAAACTCCATCCACTGACATTGGTTTCCCACTTTGAGAATGGCTAGCAGCTAGACTCATGATCCTGTGACTCCTAAAGGAGCTTACATTTTTTAAAAATGTGTCTTCAATCCAAAATAAAGAAATGCATGTTCTCGTCTCCTGATAATCTTAGGTATAAGACTTTCAGAGACAATGTATTTTAACAACTGAATTTTAAAGAAAGATAAATATGAAGTCAAAAATAATAAAATTCCCCTTTTATTTTAGAAACAATATATAGTTTTAAAGCTATTGAACTGATTGAACTGTCTTCTTTTTCTTTCAAGCTTCTGTATTTATACCATGAGTCATTGTTTATATAATTTAATTAACATTGGCTAGTGCTGGCTAACTAAAACAAATGCTTTAGCATTTGCTTGAAAAGTCTCCTTGTCCCTGAGCTGTCATTTCTTAGCATGATGGATAATGGATAGAAATAATTACCATGAACAAGGCTAGACAGCTTAAATTATTAGAGTTTCAAAGAATTAGCAGCCTTAGCTAAACATCTTATTTTTCAAGATGCATTATTAAAGGAAAATACCATAGAGGCTGTGATGAATCTGAAAACCATCTTAAAACAGTTCCATTGTCCATGATGGGTAAGTTTACACTAAGTGTATTTGCAGAGGCTCGTTTAAATCAGCTTGCCAAACAATACATCATAAATCCTTCCACCAAAGTGGCTTGGGATAGCTTTGACTGTCCAGTGTCAATGCAGAACACACATAAGTGGAAATGTTGGGGCTTGTTTTGTCCATGCCAGGGCCTTGATTTGTCTCTCACAGATGGCATTTTCTGTCTCTTCTGTAGGTCTAAATATTCAAGGGGTTTCTATTTGCTGCATGTGTTACAGATAAGATTCAATATTATCCCATGTATTCCCGACTCAGGCCCATTCTCTTGGCTTGCATAGAATGCCTTCTGTGCTGCCACTTGGAAAGATTTACCACCTTTATTTTATTAGAGCGTTTTTATTGTTCAATAAAATTTTTTACTTTTATGTTCAATATTGTAAATGGTGAGGAGATGATGAAAAACTTTGAGGGCAATCAAATATCTAAGGAAGTAAGCAAATCAATTTAATAAAAGCTATATTCTTTTCAGAACTATATCTCAGACACACAGTGAGCAGAGCCACCAAAGGGCATTTATGCTGATGCTTCTTAATCTTTTCCTAGGAAAAGAGAATAGACCCAATCTCCTGTCTATGGTCAATAATAAGTCCTTTTATCTATTCTATGAACATTCAGTTTTAATCCCATCCCACTGGAAAACATTTTACAAATATTTAAGAGAAATCTCAGGAACAAAAACTGAGGCTGTGCTAGAGAAGTTGTTACTGCTGAGTTAAGCCTGTGGGGCCTGTTTATAATGATGCAACTTACCACATCTGTAACTATAGGCAAGCTATCATCTTGTCAGAGCTGATGTTTCATTTGCAAGTGGGGAAGATAATATTTATTTCACACGGATAATCTAAGGTTCTAATTGGATTACACTTAGCACAGTATTTAGCCCACCTCAGGCAAAACAACAAGAACAGAAAGTTTGCTCACATTTTGTAATGAGAGAAGTGTAATTAACAAATATAAAACAGCATCTCATTGAGATATAGAGGAGGTAAAGGCTGCCCCCAAAAGAATTCAAAGAGACAGACATAATTTAGGGACTACTATGTCCTTCTCCCACCTTCTAATGCCTAATGCACTTATAAAAACTGTTAGTGTCCTTATAATTCTCTCTGATGACCAATCCTTTTTTATCACCAAGATAATATTTGCCTAATACAATACTGTATTTCAAAATTACTTCTTGACAATTCATCTTCAACCAGTAAAACTCTCCTTCTCTTAGAACAATGATTCGCAAATTTGGCTACATATAGTAACTAACTGGGGATCTTTCGAAAAACAAAACAAACCCAATGCCAGGATTCAACCCATAGAGCTTCTGATGTAATTGGTCTGGGTGTAGCCATTGGGATTTTTGAAAGCTCCCAGATGATTCTAATGTTCAACTCAAATTGAGAACACTGCCTTAGAAGTTGATGTCAGGAAAGCAATCTGATGGCTAATGCCAGTGTTTTTCACACATGAAAGTACAACAGAATAGTCTTGGGAGCTTTTTTAGAAACACCAATACCAGAGCATGTCTCAGACCTAATAAATCCAAATTTCTGAGTGTAGCACATAGAATATATTTTTGCATGTCTCTCAGATAATTTTTATACAGCCAGCACAGCACCAAAGTACAAGGAAATCTGATTACTCACTGTGACCAAAATATAAATTGGTATCTGTTTCTGAACACTGGTGCTTCCTACTCTTTGTCCTTCCTCTCCAGCTGCTAGCTGCTTAACATAGTTTATATGTATTATCTTGCCATAGAAAGTAACAAAATACTGTTAAAAATTAACTAAGTTTTACAAAATGCTTACCAAACACCAAGAGTAGGGATGAGAAATTTGTGTGCATTGTTTTATTGAATCCATGCAATAATGCTCTGAATTGGGCCCATTTTATAGCACAGGAGACTGACGTTTAGAGGAGTAAAGTAATTTTCCTGTAGTCATTCAAGTGAAAGAACTTGGATAGGAACCCAATCTGTCTGAGTTTAGACAGTTGTTTTCAAAGTGGGACCCCCCCGCCCCGGGTCACCAGTATCAGTAACATGTGAAAAATTATTAGGAACATAAAATCTTGAACCCCATGCCACACTTGCTGAATCAGAAATTCTGGAGTTAGGACCATCAGTCTGTGTTTTAACAAACCCTCAACATGATTCTGATGCATGTTAACCTTTGAGAACCACCAATCTACCTTATACCATCCACTCACTGAAACAACAATCTCCTTCTCCATGGCACTGAAGAGACTTTTAGTCTCAGTGTCATATGGAGACTCTCTGTGATATTTCCTAAGCAATTAGGGCATGCATTGAGGCCCTAGATTCAGCTTCAGGTAGAGCAGACAAGACCTGTTAGGAGACAGGTTCAGTGGAAAAGGGATTGATGTCGATGTTAAAAGGAAAAGCTTAAACGAATTAAATAGAATTTATTTGAGCAAAAAGTGAATCATGAATTGGGCAGCACTCTGAACTAATGGAGGTTCAGAAAGCTCTGACCAGCAGCATGAATAGCAAGTGTTTATAGACCAGATGCAAAAGCAAAGTAGATAAATCAACAGATTTGCAGCAGGTAGGCATCTGCATTGTTTGGGCATGGCATAATGATCTGGATGCCTGTGATTGCTTACCCAGCTGCTTGCAATTGGCTGAAACTGGGCTTTTTGTTATACTCCTAAATTAGGTTTTAGTTAGTACTAATAATGCAGTTCACTATGTAGGGAATCAAGGTGTGGATGCAGCCTCAGGCCAAATTTAACTCGACACCACCTGCCAGCAAGAAAAGCAACAAGAAGAGAGAAACCACTTCCTCCTCTCCCTTGCCTTGGCTCCTCTCTTTAGGACTGTTTCTTTCCCCAGCTGACTCCAGGAATGCTGGAATTGGCAAATACAAATGATAGTAATTATATTCTTACTGCAAATGACTTACAATGTATGCCTCATTATTATAACACACAATTATAATCACACACAGGATTATAAAAGCTTTTAATTATTTCATTTCAACCTTATTTCTTTCTCATTTATGTATAGTCTCCTCAGAATCTGAATGTCTCTCATTATTTCAGTTACAGTGAGCATTGCTTCTAGCTTTGTTTTCTCTCTCTCTCTCTGTTCTATTCTTAAACTAGTCCAGTTAGTAGAGAGACTAAATTCTACTATATTCTCCTATTTAACAGCTGGCATGGTCACTTTAAATGTTAATGTGTGAAAATGTGTGTAAGTGCACCTAATGTAAATGATGAGTTAATGGGTGCAGCACACCAACATGGCACATGTATACATATGTAACAAACCTGCATGTTGTGCACATGTACCCTAGAACTTAAAGTATAATAAATAAAAAAAAAGAAAAGAAAATGTGTGTAGGTATTATCACCATATATGTATTTTTTCTCTGAGCTTAAAGTTACAACAGTGATGTCTCTTCATTTCGGTCTTGTACTTTAAAGTCCTTTACCACGGTAAAGAGTGATGGATTTTTCATGTATCTTGCAGAAAGCTGCGTTTTTGCTACTGTGATAGCATAAAGCTGAATGGAGAGTGATATGTCAAGAGAGGGATGCGGGAGAGGGCAGTGTGCACATGGTAATGGATATTGGAAAACTCCTTTCTTGCCTCCCTCCCCAGTGTCCTTTTAATGATGAAGTCACTGAATAAGTCAAACATTCCAGGAGCGTTTTAAATCTGTGTTTGTTAGTGGAACAGCTGATTAATATGATATGTAGGGCAAAATGAAAACCACAGACCTAAGGACAAATAAATACAACTTGACAGTGAGTCAAACGTGGTTCTTCTCCTTCCTGCCCTCCAAATTAACCAAGTATTTATTGAATGTAGTCCAATGGAAAGAGGCTGAATTTGGAGTCACTCAGACCTAGGTATGATTCCCAGCTCTACCTCTTATGATCCAAATGTCAGCTCGTCTGGATATTCATTTACTTTATCTGGGCTTCAGCTTCTTCTTTTGTAAAATGGGGAAATAATAGGTTATTGAGAAAATAAGGTGAATGAATATGCATGTAAAAATCTTAGTATAGTGCTTGACCCGTGATTCAATACTATATATTTTTTCTATCTCTGCCCCGTCTACATAATTGAACTGTGGTTCTCTTCAGAATAAAGATTATCTTATGCTCTTCTTTAGAGACTTCTAAGGGTGAGTGACCATCACAATCTTCTCCCTGAACATATTCTCTCATACTACTGGGTACCCCTCTGGAAATAGAGACTCTGAAAATTAAAAGAGAATGGCCTCCCCAAGAGGGTATTTTTATATAACAATGACTGTATTGGGAATTTCCTTCAAATATAGCCCCCATTGTCTACTAATTTGGAGCTGGCTGGAAAAATGAAGGGACTTTAGAACACAGAAAAGTTCTTGAATTCACATACCAATTCTCTGTGATGCACTCTGATATCCTAATCTTTCTTCCCCTTCTGTTTTTTTTTCCCCCCTTTATCCCACACTGTCAAGCATGTGTTTCACATGAGGGAATGAAAGTAAGTAATGTGCAAAGGGAGAAAGCAATCAGATATATATTTAAATATACATGGTCATCAGCCAGAAATTCAGAAGCTGATCCTGAAACCTAAAGATCTACAAGATGGAATGTTCTAAGGCTAAGATTTGAACTCAAATTGTGCCCAGTTAGGAATATCTTGTTGTGTTAGAAAAAGTAGGAATTTTATTATCAAGCAGACAGCACTTGCTTTACTTTCTGGCCATGTGATCTCAAAGCAAGTTGCTCAAAGTCCCTCTAGAGCTTTAGTTTGCAATAACACTTATTTATGGATTGTTTTGAGGAATGAATAAAATGATGGAAATAAAGTGCTTGGTATGTGGAAGGTGATCAGCAATTGAGAACCATGGTTATTTCTACTTGAGGCTATTTTTTCCCATCCTTTTATTTATTACTAAACTCTCCACTTAACCTGAAAAAGAGAATTTAACTCTATCCTGTAAGAGACAATGAGTTGTCTTCAGTGAATTTCATCTAACATGGAGGTCAATGTAAAAACTTAATGCTTTGTCTTTGGCCCAGTTCCAACTCTCTGGCCCTAACTTTCTTTATCAGTGAAGTAAGAGAAAGGTACCTAATGAATCTGATAGTGACACTTCTCACTTTTATAGGGTTTGTAGCACAAGTCACAATATAATAGATTGACTGCTTATTTGACTAATGTCTGTCTTTTACATCAGATTGCAAATCTCAACGAGAGACTGTTTTGTTCATCCCAGCATCCCCTAGGATTAAATATAGTACCTAGCACCTAGAAGATAACTTTTGTGGAATAAATCAGTGAATATGACATGGAGGTCACACATAAATTAATTGTTCCTTCACTCAACTGCTTTAATCATTCATATAATACGTATTTTTAATGTTTAATATGTGCAAAATCATGTGCTTTGTGGTTAGCAAGGCAATTTTCTCTGAGATTATCTCATTCAGTCTTCATAAAACACTGTGGGGAGACTTTGCAATTGCCCATTTTCCAGATAAGGAAAGTAAAACTCAAAGACATTAAAAAATTTCTCCATAGTTACACAAATGTCAGTGAAAATGTGAGCTAATAAAATATCTTTAAACTAGGCTGGGCGTGGTGACTCACGCCTGTAATCCCAGCACTTTGGGAGGCCAAGACAGGTGGATCACCTGAGGTTGGAAGTTCAATACCAGCCTGACCAACATGGAGAAACCACGTCTCTACTAAAAAAAATACAAAATTAGCCAGACATAGTGGTGCATGCCTGTAATCCCAGCTACTAGGGAGGCTGAGGCAGGAGAATCGCTTGAACCCAGGAGGTGGAGGTTTCGGTGAGCCGAGATCACACCATTGCACTCCAGCCTGGGTAACAAGAGCAAAACTCCATCTCAAAAAAAAAAAAAAATATTTAAACTTAATGATATTTTACATAGTTAAGTAGTTTACATATGTTAACTTAATCCTTACAAAAAAGACTTTGAGGTGGTTACTATTGTTATCATCAGCTTTCAGAAGAAGGACAAAGGTATGACTTTCCCAAGGACACACAAATAAATGGAGGTTAAGCAATTTGCCTTGGAACTCAGGTAATGAATAGTGGAGAGGTGATTTGAACCCAGGTATTCTAACTCCAGAGTTTATTCTCTCAGTCATTATGTTATGGTACTTCACAGAAATCTGTACACAACTCCCAGAGAAATAAAAAATGCTGCCATGCTTCTTTTGGTTGGGGCCAGCTGAGTCAGTGACGAGGTGGCTAAAAACTGAAGCACAGTGGAAATGATCCACGTATGTGGTTTATGAAATTCTTTGAGGTTTTTCTGTTTTTATGTCTAAGATAACACAATGATGCACTGCACTTGGTACATGCTCAATAATTTTTTGTTGATATTATGAATGAAGTATACAATGTCAAACCTAATATGTCATATCAATAAATTCAAAATTAAGCATAAATCAAAGCAATTGCTAATTATTCAGCTGCACAAATGGTCTGTTTTCTTAGTATAATATATGATATTCCAAAATAAGAGTTTTAACAAGAGTTGTCTTCAAATTTATCCTCAACACCTTCAGTTAAGTCTGGTTGATATCAGTACAGTAAAAGTGTTAATCCTTTCATCTAAAAACCAACCAACATTCCTTGGAAATGGAACCTTTAAGAGGGGAATTCACTCTTTAATATTGTTATTGATACAGGACAAGAGCTGATTCTTGAAACTCTGGGGGAAGGGGCAGGGTTTGGGGTAACAACCTTTAAATTCAAAAGTAGGCTGTACTGGAAAACAACTTCACCTTCTAGCTTAAGATGTTGATTTTAGTTTATGAAGTTTCAGCAATCAGAATACCCTAAAACGTGGGTATGTGATCTCACAACCTAAGGTTTGTCAAACTGAGGACCTCCCTATCTCGTTTAAAAATAAACTGACTGCAAAATTATGCAACTCCACTGTTTTCATTCTAAGCAGTTTTAAAAGGTGATTGTTGCCAAGGAAAATCTCAGAAGGGTGAAGGCAAAGAAAACAGGCTATAATGAACCTTAGCTCCTTACAGCTACCTTAGTTTTAGCTAAATATATTCAAATAACACTGGTCCAGCTGTTTGAAGTTCAAAAGGAATAAACTCTTATCTTTGTTGAGGTAACTTTGAGATCAACTAGACAACCTCTGAGGTATAAGTCATCAAATCTTGAGTTGTTGTTGCTTTTTTAATTTTCCCAAAACTGTGTTTTAATTTCCTCCAACTAGATTGTAACTTTCCACTTTATAAATAATTCATACATCATGTATTCATTTATTCCACAAACATTTATAGAATGCCTACTATATATAAGACAATAAGAAAACGTATTTACATTTACCACTTCAGTGCCTGCTGTGTACAAGACACTCCATAAAAATGGTTTGAATAATGCAATTTTTCATCTGACTTCTTACTCAAGTTTATCATACTTACAGTGTATTAACTTTTGTTCATTCATTTAATAAATCTTTATTGATGGTTCTCATGCTATTATGCAAAGCACTGGCAGCACAATGATAAGTAAAAAATACATGGCCTTTGCCTTACGTGGTTTATGGTCAAAGGTTCTCACGAACACATGTACAATTTTTATTGAAATGTGCTACAAAGGAGAAATTCTCATTATTTGGGGTGGAGAAAAGATTTTAACTAGTCAGGAATTCCTAAGAAGTGATTTTTAACCTGAGATCTAAACAATTATGACAACCTGTGTAGGTATCTAAGATAGGGTTCCCTAAAGGTGGGCCCTGAAACACCAATTCCTGCGCTAGTGATTTATGATGGAGAGATGGGTATGGGCTGGAGGAGAACAGAGAAGGAAAGGAGGCAAACAACAGTGTGATCTCAGGCAAAGTGGTGCAGAGAGTAGCTTCAGCCAGATCCTTCAGGGAAATTCTGGATCGTATGCCTTGCTCAGAGTTGTCCTGACTTGCCGCAGGGTTGCTGGTCTTTCAAATTCTTTGACTTAGAGTCTTTGGTTAGAGGCCTCCATGGGAGGCTGCCTTAAAAATCTTAGATACCTCCTGTCAGCAAAGTCCCTGCAGTAACCAGAGGACAGGCCTCCACAAAGGAACTGACAGTGGTGGGAGGAGTGAAAGCCCACAGAAGGATAAACTGCAAAGAGTTGATGAAAAGCTTCCCAGGTTATCAAGGAGGGCCCTAGCATTGTGCTTTAGAGTAGATTGGGGTAAGTGTTCCAATAAATGCAAAACTCCTATAGCTGACCAGAGCCTTGAGAATAGGAGGTGCTGAAAGAAATGTAGAATGGTTAGAGCCAACCAAGTCTACAAGGTAGATTGGTATGGGGTGGGCTGGAGAAGGAGTTGAAGACAGGTCGCACGTTAAGACCATGACTTTTATCCAAAGCAATGGAAGGCCACTGAACAGTTCTGAGCAAGGGATCAACACACTTGGATTTGCATTTTAAAGCTTTTTCCAGACACAGTATAGAGAACAAATAGATGCTTGGATGGAGGTAGGCTAACCCACTTAAAAAGTAATCTAGAAATGAAACGGTGATAGAGCAGAGTCAGGTAGTGGTAAAGAGAATTAGACAGAATGGATAAATTTAAGGAGATAATATCACTGAGAATTGTTGATGGATTCTCTGGGGGAGGGGTGTGCAGAGGTATCAAGACTTCTGGCTTGTCTGACTAGATGGATGGTGGTTTCATCCATGCAAAATTAAGAACATTGGAATGCTAGATCCTCAGGGCTTAGAGATAAGAAAGTTTCACATATTCATGCTTAGGTGGAGGCCCAACACCCAATGACTGTCTACTTTAATTCTGACAAGAGATTATCTGCCACCTGGATAATAGTTCAGTAGCAATAAGAGGAACCAGCAGCCAGAGATCAATTTCCAAATGGAGGTTTGGCAGATCTAGACAGGTATTAAGTGGTCAACTTGCTCCAGGGAGGTACCATCATATGGATGAGATGGGACTGACTGGGAAGACAGACCTGGTATAGATGCAGGGATTATAGAACAATTTGAGAGACAATGTAATTAATATTCATGTGTGTGATTCAACTATAAATCAAACATATCTCAGAGAAGTTTTAATGGAATGAAATTATCAAGATTCTAGTCTGTGGTTGGGGACCAAATTTGTTTCCCATTCTTCTGCATTCTAAATACTGCTGGAATGAACATCAAAGGGATTGTGGTAATATACATCACTAGAGTCTCCTGGACAACATAAAGATAAATATATTGATAAATGTATATCAGGGTGTTAGCTGATGTCATTGGCAAGAACAAATAGGCACTGAGTACTTGGTGAGTGTCAGGCTCTGAAGTAGACACCTTGAGGATTTCTGCAAACAGGGATGATGTCTATCTTGTTTATTGTGAAATCCTTAGCACAAAACACAGCAATATCACAAAGTACATGTGAAATAAATAATTACTGGGTGAATGAAGAAATAAGACTTGGAGTATCACCTTCAGTAACTTAGACTAATAAGAGAATTAACACTCATAATGCTAGACTTTTGCTTCTTCTTTTAAAAGGTCTATCAAATCTGTAATTATTTGTATATACATATTTTTACTCCTATATTGTAAAGTTTGTGGTTGCAAAGACCATATCTATTCTGTTGCTGACTGTGTTCCCATTGCCTAGCATAGGACCTGACACATAATAGGGGCTCAATATATATTTGTGGCACGACTGATGGGTAGATATGCCCCAGATTCCCAGCAAGGTAGAATGTGTTCAAAGTCATAAGAGTTGCAAAGAGATTTGGAGAGTTTAGGGATCCAGAATTTACATCTTGTTTAAAGGAATCTACAAAATACAAGGAAAAGGCTGGCATATGAGCTTGACCTTAAAGAATAGACAAAATTTTTAAAGTATGATAGGAAAAATAGAAAGTGTTATTTTAGGCAAAAGAATAGAATTATCAATGGTATCACATGTGTTTCTGTAGGTTTTTGTGACGTTGTGCCTTTTGGAAAGTTAGTCCTATTTGAAGAAAAGTTTAATTGCAGGGACCCACAGCTGGTACCTTAAGTGCCAGATGCTGGTTTTGTTTCATAGTTAATGGTGGCAACACCGCTTAATTGTATATTTACAAGCAAACACATGTTGTTTCATGAAAACTACTTGATAATTACACAGCGACTACTGGAACCCCTGATAATTACACAGTTACATGTGTTACTACTACCAAGTTATCTCCTGATAGCTGAGTAATTAACTTGTCAACTCGGCAAACGGAGCTGGAGGGGAGGCATTTGAAACGTGTGTTCCTTTTCTCACAGATGTCTGTGGGTTCAGTCAGCACTTGTTGAAATTGGTATCATTCTCCTTTCAGTCACTGAGTAGTTGACATGGAGGATGAAACACTTTCTGTCTCCCTAAGCTCCTTAGAGCTCTTTGGACTTCTTGTGACTTTTTAAAACATTTAACCTTGCTGAGAATTTTGTTAGTGTTCATCCATCCATCACATCACAAATATTCATTGAGTCCCAACTATGTGTCGGGCCCTATGTGAGAATCACTGCTACTGCTTCATAAAGCGGTGTAGTATCCCAGTAAGAGCACAAATCTGGTTTTGAAATCTGGAACTGCTATTCTTCAGGTCTGTGATTTTTTGCAAGTTTCCTAATCTATAAATGGACTTAATTGTGGCTAACAGTGTGGTTCTTAGGATGACAGCTAAGGAAAAACCTTGGCATAAAATTAATGCTTAATGAATCTTACCTAACCACTGCTTGCTCCCACCCTCAGACCCAATTAGCCTTAATTGTTTCACCCTCTCACCAAAACAGATCCTGGAATAACCTCTACTTGGGATTGTTAACATTTCTAGATATGGTTTAAATTAAAATAACTGCTTGTTTTAATTCTCAAAATTCAGATGTATTAACTAGATCAACTGGGCATTTTTCAAAGTATATTGCAATTAACAGATTTTGCTAAATGGTGCCCAAAATACCTGAAAATAGATGATACTATTAACACCTACTTCCGGGATGAAATACCATATTATTGAGGCTGAGACAGATTAAATGACTTGTCCATGTTAATGTTAGTAGGAGGTGGCAGAGCTATAATTCAAACTCATCATTCAGGCTCTCAACCCATGCTCTTTATACAACACCACTCTGTTTCAAGCTAATTTACACAGTGCCATGAAAAACTTGCCATCTAATGCTTAATTATTTGTTTATACTTATTAAGTGCCTACTGTATCGTGATAAAATATTAAGCCCTGGATGAATAAAAATGGTTAAAAGTAGAATTTACTCAATGTCGGCTATGTAACAAGCACAAATTTTCTATACTCATTGGATCATCTTAACGACAATGTAGGAAAGGTGCTATTGTCATTCTCACTGTATGTATACATGAAGAACCAAGGCACAGAAATCTAATATAACTTGCCTGAGGTCATACCTTCTTGCGTGGCACAAATGAGATTTGAATATAAGCTGACTCTCTCCAAAGTCCACACAGTTAGCCGCCAAGTTCACTCTGCTCTGTTTTGCTACAAGGCTCAGCACAGGACTAGAACAAGAGCTCACAGTCTAACAGGAAAGAAAGACACAGAAACAAATACCATTCAATATGCTGGGTGTTATGATGTGTGATTGTGATAGAGCCAGCATCCCACAAATCCCTGCTAGTTACTGAAGTTCCCTGAGAAAATATAAAAGACACCAACCGCATGTGCCCTGGTTATTCCTTGCCAGGGTTTTTGTCTGAATCCCTGTCTACTCTGGGGAGCTGGAATAGACCCCATGTGAAATAAGTGGATCAGAAGTGTACTTCAGGCTGGGCGCAGGGGCTCCCACCTATAATCCCAGCACTTTGGGAGGCCAAGGTGGGTGGATTACTTGAGACCAGGAGTTCATGACCAGCCTGGCCAACATGGCAAAACCCCATCTCTACTAAAAATACACAAATTAGCTGGGTGTGGTGGCACACACCTGTAATTGCAGCTACTTGGGAGACTGAGGCACGAGGATTGCTTGAGCCTGGGAAGTGGAGGTTGTAGTGAGCCAAGATCTCACCACTGCACTCCAACCTGGGCGACAGAGCAAGATCCTGTCTCAAAAAACAATAAATTAATTAATTAAATTAAAAAAAAAAGAAGGCCAGGCTCAGTGGCTCACGCCTATAATCCCAGCACTTTGGGAGGCCGAGGCAGGAGATTGAGAACATCCTGGCTAGCATGGTGAAACCCTGTCTCTACTAATACTACAAAAAAGAAATAGCCAGGAGTGATGGCAGGTGCCTGTAGTCCCAGCTACTCAGGAGGCTGAGGCAGGAGAATGGTGTGAACCCGGGAGGCAGAGCTTGCAGTGAGCCAAGATTGTGCCACTGCATTCTAGCCTGGGCCACAGAGCAAGACTCTGTCTCAAAAAAAAAAAAAAAGGAAACAGAGGAGAATGGTAATATTGAGCTTGAAATTAGTCACAAGTAACTAGTAACCCTTTATTCATTGTCTCATCCTACCCATCTGGTCCAATGTGGCCCTCTCAGTCTTAATGATTACCTAGCAAAAGGTATACCGAGGCTAAGATTTATAGACTAGCCACAGGGAAGGATAGAGTGCCCCATGGCAAATAGCATTTTGACCTTTTCATTCCTTTCATAAAGGATCATCAGACATTGCCACAGCTCTCCTTCTAGTTAAAGAAAGAAGAGCAACGATGTGCACCAACACAACAGAAGCCTGGAAAAGTGCAGTGGAAGCCCAGAGGCATAGCTACATGCATGGCTTTTGAGGAGAAAGAGCAGCTTCCAGAGCGGGAAATGTCTGAGTCAAGTTTTGAAGGATGAATAGGAATTGCCAAACACATGGGAAAGTAGAGAATTACTGACAGTGAGAATATACAGAGACACAGAATGGAGAATGGTAAAAGGTTCAGTGTGCACCTGTGTACCTGGACAGGGAGAGGCAAATGATGAGATATGGCCATAGAAGTGGCTGGAATAGATTATAAAGAATTTTCCTTGTCGGTTGAGTAGTTCTAATTTTTCCTGGGATTTATGGGAGATCTTGAGACATGGAACTGGGACAATTTATTTTAATGATACCTGTTGTGGGAAGTCAGGGACCCCAAATGGAGGGATCGGCTGAAGCCATGGCAGAAGAACGTGGATTGTGAAAATTTCATGGACATTTATTAGTTCCCCAAATTAATACTTTTATAATTTCTTATGCCTGTCTTTACTGCAATCTCTAAACATAAATTGTGAAGATTTCATGGACACTTATCACTTCCCCAATCAATACCCTTGTGATTTCCTATGCCTGTCTTTACTTTAATCTCTTAATCCTGTCATTTTGTAAGCTGAGGAGGATGTATATCACCTCAGGACCCTGTGATGATTGTGTTAACTGCACAAATTGTAGAGCATGTGTATTTGAACAATATGAAATCTGGGCACCTTGAAAAAAGAACAGGATAACAGCAATGTTCAGGGAACAAGAGAGATAACCTTAAACTCTGACCGCCGGTGAGCCAGGCAGAACAGAGCCATATTTCTCTTCTTTCAAAAGCAAATGGGAGAAATATCGCTGAATTCTTTTTGTCAGCAAGGAACATCCCTGAGAAAGAGAATGCACCCCTGAGGGTGGGCCTCTAAAATGCCCCGCTACGGTGTGGCCATATTCTATGGTTGAGACTGTAGGGATGAAATAAGTCTCCCATAGCACTCCCAGGCTTCTTAGGATGAGGAAATTGCTGCCTAATAAATTTTGGTCAGACCAGTTGCTCTCAAACCCTGTCTCCTGATAAGATGTTATCAATGACAATGGTGCCCAAAACTTCATTAGCAATTTTAATTTCGCCCCGGTCCTGTGGTCCTGTGATCTCACCCTGCCTCCATTTGCCTTGTGATATTCTATTACCTTGTGAAGTATGTGATCTCTGTGACCCACACCCTATTTGTACACTCCCTCCCCTTTTGAAATCCCTAATAAAAACTTGCTGGTTTTATGGCTCAGGGGGCATCATGGAACCTACTGACATGTGATGTCTCCCCCGGACACCCAGCTTTAAAATTTCTCTCTTTTGTACTCTGTCCCTTTATTTATCAACCCAGCTGATGCTTAGGGAAAATAGAAAAGAACCTACATGACTATCGGGGGCAGGTTCCCCGATAGAGACCAGGGATAGGAAGACAAGTCAAGAGCCTATTCAAATGTTTCAGAGCATATGAGGTTGTGAATAGACCAGAGACTGAAAATGGGGGCTATTTATAAATAATAACCTTCAGGGTTTAGTGTCAGATATGGGGAGCGAGGAGACGGGGAAAGAAGAGATGCCTCGAAAACTTCACTAGGAGAGAAAGAGAAAGTAACAGGTAGTAACACAAACAGTAAAACCCTATAAATCTCTTCTTAAAGAATTAAAATGACAAAATTTCAAAAAATACAGGCACACTTAAGCTTCAGAGCCTTGTTAAATGGGTAGGTGGTGCTAAATGTGAGTGGCAGTGGGGAAGGAAGGGAGATTTTTTTTTTTTTTTTGAGACGGAGTCTCGCTCTGTTACCGAGGCTGGAGTGCAGTGGTGCAATCTCGGCTCACTGCAACCTCCACCTCCTGGGTTCAAGTGATTCTCCTGCCTCAGCCTCCCAAGTAGCTGGGACTACAGTTGCATGCCACCACACCTGGCAAATTTTTTGTATTTTTAGTAGAGACAGGGTTTCATCATGTTAACCATGATGGTCTCGATCTCCTGACTTCGTGATCCGCCAGCCTCGGCCTCCCAAAGAGCTGGAATTACAAGTGTAAGCCATCGCACCTGGCCAAGGGAGGGAGATTTGGCTTCCAGGCAGAGCTCTTCTGTCTGAGTCCTGATGACACCCCCATTGTAGATAATAGTGTCCATTGTGGGTAGATAGCTCACTCTGAGAGAAACAAACCTGTTCTGCCAGAATGCCTTGCCAGTGGCTTCTGACTTACCTACACCTGCTCTATACTGGAATCTTAATTTTCAGGTTGGATCTACCCAGCAAAAGTACTCAATTACAAAAATGCTGGAATCTCATCTTTAACTCAAGGCATTATGAAAACAAAAGTATTACTGACAATGAGTGAACTCATTCTCTGAAATTCTAACAGCTTGTATAATAGCTAATGTTTACTGAGAGATTCCTTTGTTCCTGGCCCTGTACTAAGGGATTTATGTATAGATTGCTAATGCCGTCTTTGCTGTAATATAAGTTTGAGTTTAGGTGTCCATTCTCCTCCCAAATTTGTTTGCTGCAATTCTCCACAGAATTCCCAGCTACCATGGGACCAAAAATAGGTCCATTGGTTATTTGGGCCAAAATGTAATAGAACTTTTATGGCTGGAATGGAATGCAGTGTGGTATAATGATAAGTGTTTGGGGTTTTGAAGTTATGGAGAACTGGCTGCAGTTCAGTTCAGTTCAATTCAGTATAAAAGAGAGACTCTGAGCCACTACTACGGGAATTTTAATATACATGTATTTATTATAAGATAAGTACTGTGCATGTGAGGAGGTACACAAAGAAGAATGAAGACACAGTATCTGCTCTTAAGGACCCTATAAGTTATTGGGAAAAGATGGCACATAAATGGTAACTTTCAAAATAAATTGAGCAATATTAAGATAGTGATAAAGAGCTTTCTCTGGGGTCATGGAGAAGGAACACTTAATGCAGCCAAGATGGTTGCTGACCTACATCTTAAAAGGTAAAGAAGACAGATCAGCCAGGAATGGTGAGTCTCAAATTCCAGGCATAGAGATTATTATGAAAAAAGAC